>NC_000014.9:36278379-36581409 GCF_000001405.40 Homo sapiens
AAACACTTCACTTTTTCATTTTTTTTTTTTTTTCCTGAGACAGGGTCTCTGTCGCCCAGGCTGGAGTGCAGTGGTGTCATCTCACAGCTCAGTGCAGCCTTACTTCCCAGGCTCAAGCAATCCTCCCACCTTTCAGCCTCCCAAGTAGCTGGGGCTACAGGTGCACGCCACCACACCTGGCTAATTTTTGTATTTTTTGTAGAGATAGGTTTTCGCCATGTTGCCTGGGGCTTACAATTCACTTTTAAAGCAAAAAATCTTTACTATTTTTAAAATGTATAGAATTAAGTCCATGAGTGAGTATAAAGTTTGAAAAACTTAGGAAAAACTTTTGGATGTTTGTGACAATGTAATCATTCATTCCACATAATATACTTTAGGTCATTACATAGAGCACAGTTAAAATAAATGAAATAATATTGAGAAAAAGACTATAATCAGGATTAAACTGAAATGTAACATATTTAAGAATCCTTAGAAACTATTTGATGTAATTTAAAAAAATATTTTGAAAGTTATTGTGTTTTCCAAATTCAGAACATGGATTAATTCTACAGGCTCATGTAATAATAAAAATCATGGAATAGAGAATTATTATTCTCCACATTATCCTAAAGTAGCCACAAAACTGAAAATCAAATCAAGCATCCAAAATGTGTTCATGCACCAAAGATGATTTTTGATACAAGTATCATTTTCAATGTCAAAACGCATGCTCTTAAAACATTCATTGGATAGTTATAACAAATGATCTTTTTATCTTAGGAACAGTTTCTCTTTTGAGTATTCTCTTTTATTTTCTTAGTTGTCACTTGCAGCATTAACTAGCATTTTCCACCAGTTGGACTTAAACAATAATGTTTTTGTTTACGCTGTGTTCTAGGAGAGATTTTTAGCATAAATGAATTACAAAGCCTGCGAATTTGGGACATGGTTTTTCCTTTATTCATGAAAGCGGAGGTATTATACCAGTAAAATATGCTTTCAGGATTGCTGAGGATATCACATTCTTTTAATAGACAACAGTAATTTTCTCCAACTACATTATGTCTCTGTGTCAGTCTAATAATTACATGCTATCAGTTTTGTGTCATTTCCTCTGGGATTCCCTGTCTGCCATGCACCACTTTTAACTGTTTCACTTTATTCAACATACTCTCTAATTGCCATATCAAAGGTTTACTTGAACTCATTTTTGTGTATAATGCGTTTGACCATAAAATCATGCATTTGCAGTTGAGTATGCATTTCCATTAAACTTATAGCTTTAAATTTCACTTAGGAGGAAAGCCTTATATTTTAATGCAGGTTTTGAATGCAGATTTACTACAAAATAAGTGAATAATAATGCCAGGTTATTTTGGAAAGTGTTCTTTTATGCAATCACTGCATTCAATACAATCACAAAATGGCTGCCCAACAGGTGGTCCTTTCAGAGTGTTAAGCCACAACAATCGGAACAAAAAGGACACCAGAATCTAATGTTCTCAGAATTTAAAAAGCTGTTCACTTTCTTTTGTTAATTTTCAGATTTAGCCATGTTCATTATTGTTGAGCCCAAATGCAGGACATTCTTTTTTGACATTTTGCCCTAAATAGACACTGACCGAGGCTGACTCTCCAACTAGCTGTTTTGTCACAGGCGAGTGGAAACTAGTCATGAACAATGAGTGTGCATTCTTGCTTCTTAAATGGCTAAGGAACGAACCAGTTTTGACATGCTGCAAATCCGGCAAAGTCTGGGTTAACAAAAGTGTGTTTGACAAAAGATGAAGTTTCTTTTCCTATATTTTCCCCAGAAGTAAGTATTTAATTATGTCCTAACACATTTTCTTATTTTTTGCCTAGAGGATTAGATGCCTTAGTGACAAGCTCATTCACTCTCTGAGGTTATCATGTGGCATTATGAACCATACCATTCAAATGCCACCTTTGGAAGAAACTATTCTTTAAGCAATAATTATTCGTTTAAGGGGAAAAGGTTTAAAAAATATATAACTTTTTGTAGTGTTACCATTATATTACAGTACTAGCATTTTATAAGCTAACGTTGTTTATGGAGCTATCAGAAAATTGATAAATGTAGCAATGTATTTTTCTAAGCAAAGATCAGGCTACATTAAATATAAGAGGAAAAACATTTCAAAGACCTTGAATTTATAAATAGATGAATAAAAGAAGGAAACAAAGAAAGTAACCTTTATGCAGTACTTAAATGTGGGACTTAAAGTATACTTTAGAGTTAGTTGTTAAATGCCCTATCCATCATTGTAAAATCTGTCACCTTTTAAATTGAGGTTTTAAAAATATCAGTATGTACAGCATGGCATCATTTATATTTCTGTAAGTTAAATAGTCCTTTGCTTATGGAAAGAGTCTATTAATTGGTCTTTGTGAGAAGGGTGTAAATACAGATTTTATGATAAGAATACTTTGAAGTAATGTATATAAAATAAATTCCTGTTCATCTGCAATAAATAAGTAGGAAAGTTAAAATAACTGAAGTGGTTTTGTCTGGGTGGCGTCATAGAAAGAGGGAAGCAATACAAATTTACATTTAAGGGTTTCATTAACAATGCAATTTAGGGAATGGCATGGGCTGCTCTAAATTCAGCTGTCACCTCTACCTTCTGCATCAGAAATACTGTTCAAAGAATACTGATGTTCAGAATGGTGAATCTGAGGCATTTGGAATTCTGACTTCACAATAATCAAAAGTAAAATTGCATTATATGTGGCAGATTTTTTAAAAACCTTTTTACGTGACTGTGTCTTAAGCCTTGATATTCAGTAATGTGTGTTTTATAAGTGGAACTTTCAGTTTCCAAGACATAGAGTCTTTAAAAAACAGTTTATTGTGATGCTCATAGCTTGTATTAGACTGGCCCAGGCAACTTTCATTCTTCAAGGATTTTAAACCCTTTTTGTTTAGAGAGTTTCAGCCTAATCACCTAAAATTCTATCTGATTTTTAAAGTAAATCTAAGTTTCTTCATGTAAATTTGGATTGGCCTCAAAGAAACTCTAGTAAGAAAGAGACCAGGAGGGTAATGGCCAGGTCAGGAAATAGCGTACACCATGCTATTCACTTCCACACACATTCCATTGGCCAGAACTCAGTTACATGGTTCCTCTCAAACTGCAAGGGCATCTGGGAAGTGTAGTCTTCTCTTGCGCCTAGAGGAAAAAAGATAGTACTGGTGAGACCCTAACAGATCCAACCACAGTGAGGTCAAATATTAGAGGTCATTTGCTTTTCCTCTCACTTAGGCATACCCACTTCCAAGATGGACTTACTTGGGCACACATCTTAAGTGTCTTTGTGACACCTCTGGTCTGTGTCATAGGCTGAGTTGATCATTAGCACTTGGGGGAAAAAAATTAAAATAATTTTCCAGTGCTTCCAAAGCATTTTAACTGATCAGGATTTTAGGGAAACAGTTTTAATTAGCTTCTGGTGGCATAAAGAAAACAATGTATCTCTATTTGTCTATTAAGCAATGGCACTTAAATTTGTTTAGATCTATGCAAGTGTCAAATCTAAACACAGAACAAAATATAATTTTGTGTAGCAAATTATAATCACAATCTATTCCTTAAAAAAGAACAAAAACAGAATCAATGCTATCAGTGTGCTATTTGAGTAGATGATGGCTCTCTCTGGGTTCTCAAATGTGTATCTATCTATTTACTTATTTTTAGCAGATGATTTTTTTTAATCCTCTGATTCAAAAGCGTGAGGAGAGATATACAAGTCTTCAATGTAAATGTTAACATCTAGTAGCATTGGAGATGACTGTCTTTCTATTATGCTTTCTATTATGCTCTTGGAGAGTTTGCATTATGTTGTAAAACTGGAAAATGGTGCCATAATTAATTTGGGTAGCTAGTCCAGCCACATAGACAGAAGCGATTCACCTGCACTTATGAAACTGATTGGTAGAGAGTATCTATTTTGCTGCTGAGACCAAATAAATTTTTCATGATATTGTTATGCTAAGTTGAACATCACACCTTTTATATTTTCCCCATTTGGCCTTGAATAAACATCAGTACAATAATAATCTAAATGGTTTGCAAGTGTCATGAGCAGTTGCCCATCTGCTTTGGACAGATTTATACAAATCAATTACATGGACATAAAAGCCAAACAAATAGAGGCAAATCAACAGAAATGAAATGGATGAACTCTTAAGTTTTGTTCATCCTATGTAACCCCTTCAGTAACCAAAGATGGATAAATTACACTCATTAACCTTGAAAAATTAGATGATTTGTACATAATATGTTTGAAACAATACCTATCTATTCCTAGTTATGATGAGTGTTTTGTCCATGATATAGTACAGTTTAATTGAAGATCTACACAAGGGATTGTTTTGATATGGTTTGTTTCTTCCTAGAGAGATTATTCCATGAAATTAGCTTGTATTTGTTTTCCACTCTGTAACCCACCTGAAAACTCCGGTTGCTCAGTTACGCTTAGGTAAAAGTGAACATTGACTGTCAGGAAGGAAGTGTGTACATATTTAGTTTTAAGATGATTTCTTAGAACGAACTGAACCTGTGGACAGGGGCTTACCCTGAGAGAGACCAAAGGAAACACTGTTTAAAATTTCCACTGGGCGTTTGTCAAGAAAGTCTTATCAAATTATGTATTATTGCCATGAAAAATTTATCAGTGAAGAGAATGTGCATGTTGTGAAAAAGGTAAGCAAAATCAGAAGCATGTAGCTTTTTAGGGAATGTTCTTATTCCATAAAAGTATGACTTAATGAGATTACTGTTTTAACCATGAGACTGTTAGGGAGATCATTGCTGGGAAGCCCTGAGGGAGGAATTTCCAGTCCTGGTTCTCTGTTTCTGTTAAGTGGAGATACTTTAGTATCTATGTGTTGGTTGTCTCCTTCCTTGCTAAGGAAGCCTCTGGTTTACAGGATCTGGGCTGAAAATCCCAGTAGCCATCCTCTCAGAGTTGCTTTGGAGAAAACAAAATAGAAAAGAATTGCTTTGGAGGAAGCCATTTTTCTGCTACCCGTTCTCCAAACTGAGATGATGCATGGAGAAACAGTCTTGTATTACAGAAAGAGAATAAGAATATTATGTTGGCATATGAAGAATGATTTTAATCCTTGACTGGTTAAACTGAAATAGACTGCGTACATTGATAGCCATATCTAGGATACCTCATCAGATGTCACCAGCTTGGACAAAAGATTCTTTGAGTCCCCCTTTTGTGCTGTAAATCTACTGTAGAAAATAACCACAGAAAAGTTATTTTCTTTTCATTGCTATCTTTTCATCTCTATCTTTTGTCCTTATTTTTCTGTGTTTCATGCTCATTTTTCTTGAGTACTTCCTCTGTGGTAGGCCCTCTGCTAAGAGCTTTGGTTTTTCATAGTCTTCCTGGCCTTCTTCCTCTAACACTTTCTTCTGAAGTGAGATGTAATGTAAATCTAGCATATTCCAAGCCTTAAATTTTTAGTTTGTTCTGACAATATGTCTGGGCAATTTTTCTAATTTTCATTTGCCGTATTTGTGTGTGTGTGTGTATGTGTGTGCGTGTGTGTGTTTTACCAGCACCTGCACACATCTTGATTTCTTAATCACTCAGGGTTGTTGCTTACCATTGTTATGTTTTCAAAGCTCTTCATGCATCAGGATTAATCCAGAGGACTTAAGCTTGGCACTGGGGGAGTTAAAACACTTGAAGAGTAGTGTAAATTCTTAATTAATACAGAAAGAAGAATCACTTATAATTTATTAAAAATATCCAATGCTGATCCAAATAATATTTTGGAGTAAATGGGTATGTAGTGAACAGTCTTCCATGGTTCCTCATTCACTGATTCTTCCTGCTGGTGTGAGGGCTGTTCAAAATAGCACTTCACTTTTTGGTTTATTTATTAAGATCCTGCACTCAACTATAAAAAATTAGCCTCCTAGAGGTGAATCACTTCCTACACTGCAAAGGAGAAATCTGCTCCTATATAGCAAAGAAGAAAACCCTGCATACATTCCTGAAACAGACAATAAAGAAAAGATCAAATACGTTTATTGCACAGCCCATTCCAAGTGTGAAATGGAGCAGATGAATGTTTAAGTAATGTGGACTGAGTGTCTGAAAGAGTGATCTTGTTACTACCCATTAGACAAGGGTAATGTCCAAGATGGGGCATGATGGGTTTTTTGGTGAACTTTTAAACTCAAAGCTCTTTAATAATTGAAAAATGGAATAGCTTGAAGAAACGTGTCTTCCCTTATGTGGAATATTATGAAAGCTAATAGCATAACTGCACTGGAAGGGACACTGAGGGAGCTTGAGTCAAGCCCTGCGTCAGGTATGCTAAAATTGCCCTGCTGTGAGTCAAAGTCTCTACTTTAATTATCTGCAAAATGCTCTGGCAGAGGGAATGTTTCTCTCCCCTCCTTCTGTTCTCATCTGGTGTACTGGCTGCTGGCTAGTTTATTAAATCAACATTTTCAAAGACTTCCCCCTTCCATCTCTAGGTAGCTAATGCCAGTTAGATTTTAAGTCTCTCAGCAAAAATTTATTCTTCAATAAACACTGCCTCTGGGACAAAGTTGTACACAAGCCTTAGTGGCCAGGAAGGAGCTAAGAGTATTGGTATGTTTTTGTCTTGCCTCTCTCTTCCTTCTCTTCCACCTTTTTCTTTGGTACCTTGCTAATAATAAGTAGAGAGGCATAAACATCCCGTCATACTTGGAAGACAAAAGCTCACACACAGCACATAGCATATCCCATGGGAAGGGCATATATTACCTTCATCACCACATTGCGCAACTAAGCAATTTTTTTGCCTGTTCAGATACAACTAGTGAAAAACATGTCAAATAAGCAGTAGTTTGGGGACTGACACCTAATCCCTACTTCTCATAACACCTCAACAATTATATAAGAAACATCGATTGTACACTCTATGTACACAACACTCTGTGGTATGTTGGATATGCAGCCTCTGTCCTCTTTACTTAAATAGATTTACTTGCTTCCTGCCTAGCTGGCCTTGTTGAGGCTGATAACCCTGGGCCAGCGCCTTCCCCACCACACTCTCCCCATCTCAGCTCAGCAGTTCAGTGCTCCATTCCCTGGAGTTTTTGGTAGGGGAGTACCCAAAATGAATGAAGTGAGTGGGGTAAAGACTCAACCACACATATTAATTCAAGATCCCTACTGGGCAGGAGGGAGGCTGCTTTAAAGGAGACAGTTCCCATGCTCTTCACATCTCAATATACGGGTGACCATTGTCTGCCCAACTAACCCTGGATTAGCCTGTGTCTTAGAAAGGGCATGCAGTCAGGGTGATGGTATCTCCCTCCAAAGAGTTTGGGGGCATAAACCTGAGTGAAGGTTTCTTTTGGGGACGGGATACCTTCTGTTCCCTATAGCAAGGAGTGTTATCCTGCCAGGCAGCCATATCTACTAAAGGCAGCTGGCTTTCAGAGGATATGATGCTGATCAAGCCTCACGCGCAAATGTCAAATACCAGGGCATGTGAGAGGGGTTGTGTAAAGTAAGTTAGTAAGTAGGCTTCTTTTCTGTAGCAGTTCATCTTTAATATTAGTACCTCTGCAAGAAGACCATCTCTTGAATTCTGCAGTTCAATGGCAATTCTGTTACGGTTGTACTTGTAATGTGCTGAAAAATTCAAAGTTGATCATCTCTATATCTCTTCATTCAAGAAGCCAGTTGCCTTTTTGCTCTTTTCAAGAGGGTAATTCCTCATGCTTTTATTTTGCCGATTAATTTTCCCCTTTGGCCTATACATTTTCCCCTTTATTCTGTTTTTACTCAAGGTTATCTCAGCCTTTCTCCTACTCATCTGCTGCCTAACTTAGCTGTTCTGTATATGTATCTGCCATTTGTTACAGAGGCAAGAACTCGGGCTTTGGAGAGGATGAGGGCAGGCTACCCAGCCCTGTCTCTTACAGAGGACTTCTCACCTTTCTGAGTCTCAAATTCCTGTCTGCAAATAGAGATAATAATACAGTAAGCTCTTTGCTTATTGTAAGGATTAAATGAGATAATGCATGAGAAGTCCTCATACACTACTCAAAATTGTTAGTTCCTGCCAGTTCTTTCTTCCTTCTTCTCCATTTTTGCCTCTTATCTATTAGTAAAAATTCACAGAATTGAATAAAATTGCAGATGTTTGCTATACAGATAATTACCTTAAAAACTATATTTAAACAGGCCATAATAAGTTATTTAAAAATGGGTTTGTGGCTTCTTCAATGCCCTTTTCTGAAATTTTTGCTTTGAGGCCTAGAGGTTAAGACCCTCTTTACAAAAATAACTTATTAACCAAATGTAATGTACCCGAGCATAGTGATCCATTCTGCACACTGTAGCCAGAAGCCAGAGTGATTTTTCTAACGTGCCACTCTGATCGGGCCATCCACCTGCTCTTCCCACCGGCTCCTTAAGCCAGTGATTCAGTGATTTGCAAGGCTTTTCAGATCTGGACCGTTCTTCACTCTCAAGGGTCCCTCTCACACTCTTCCCACCCCATCGTATGACACAGTGCTTCATGCATGACGGCTAAACAATGACAATAAGTTCAATGAATAAATGAAGACAAGGTGGTTACATTTTCTATAGCTTTGACTGAATGACAGAGTTCAACAGATGGCCTTTCTGCTGCAGAAAAAAGTTTATTAATTTTAAATATAATAATTACCTGTGTTTGGCTGGTATGAAAGAAGAGACATAATTGGGCCATTCAATCAAAATGTTTTAGATTTTTTTAAGGCAACTGTTATTTCCCCCCATAGGAATTCTCTCTTTTGTCAACTATGTGTATGGTATGTTTTTTGGAAGACATACTTCTTTACTGCAGTTCATGGCACATGGCTAGCTTTGAATGGGAATCAATTATATTAACCTATGTGTCTACGTATTAGATGTGTACCAATATTAAGAGTGGAAAGATAGAAACACCTATGTTTTCCCATGTGTTTTCATAAAAAAACTTCCAACTCCAACACAGTGGGAAAAAATATGCTGAAAAATAAAATTATTTAACCACAAATTAAATCTTGCCTTTCTGCTGGAACTGGTTACTTGGAGATGATTTTCCAGAAGAGGGAGACAGACAATACACATGATATTTAAGCAAATTATGTAGTTTGTTGGAAGAAGCTGAGTGTTACAAGGAAAAAAATATATAGAGCAGGTGAGAGGAGTCTGGAGTTGGGGTGAAGGGGAGGTGGGATGTGCCTGGATCAGGGTAGAAACCATTGTAAGGCTGCCAGATGGAGAAAAAAAGTCAAAAACAACAATAGGACACCCAGTTAAATGTGAATTTCAGATATACAGCCAATACTTTATATGTGTGTCCCATGCTAAATTTGGGGGATTTGGGGCATGTGCTAAGATGCTATTCATTGCTTATCTGAAATTCACATTTAATGGGTGCCCAGTATTTTGTCTGGCAATCCTATCCCATTGAAAGTAAGATTTCAGCTAAGATATGAGGGGATATGGAACAGTAACCCAGGAGAGCCCATCCAGGCAGTGAGAAGGCCAGTGTGGTGAGGCTCAGGAGTCAAAGGGGGCTTGTCAGACGAGGAAGGGGGGTGGTGCAGGCCAGGCAGATCATGTAGGGCCCTGTAGGCCTTTGGAAGGACTTTGTTTTTTACTCTTGAGTGAACTGAGAATCCATTGTAGGGTTTTCAGCAAAGAAGTGACGTGAACTGACTTCCGATTGTGAAGGATCATTCTGGCTGTTGTGTGAAAAATAGAGAGCCGAATGGCAAGGTCAGCAGGGGGACCACAAGGGGCTTTTGCAGTGATCCAAGGGATTAGTATGATGGCGGCTCAAGCTGGCATGGTAGCAGTGAAGCGATGAGAGAGGGTTAGATTTTGAATATATATTGAATGTAGAGACCACGGCATTTTCTGACAAAATGTATGATAGGAGTTAAAGACGGCCTCAAGGTTTTTTGACCCAAGGCCCTGGAAAGAAGGGAGTTGCCATGCACTGAGATGGGAAAGACGTGACTGGAGCAGGTCAGAGGAAAAGATCAGGAGTTCAGTCTTCAAAGTGGAGAGCTGACATGACTCCAGACATCCAAGGGGGAGATTTTGAGTGGGCCACTGGATACTGGAGTCCGGTCCAAGCAGGAGATGTAAATTTTATGTTCTCTATAATCTCCACTTAAATCAGCGTTCCCAAAGGGAAAAGACATGTCACAATTCTCTTAAGGAAATGTTTGCTCCTCCCTTCTAGCTTTAGTTAAAAAATTATCTCTTTCTTTGAAGCTGCTGCTTTGTTTAGCTTCCTGTCAACCATCCATCACTGTTGAAAGATAGGGGCTGTTTGATGCTTCATGACATTTCTTTGCTTTTCTGCTCCTTGAAACCCAGGAAAGTGGGAGAGTTGTTTTTCCTATGCTAGACTCGTCTAGTGAGATTTTTCTCAAATTTTCCTTTTCCAGCCCAATTTTAGGTACTCTTGTTCTTTTTTACTTTGACTTTTGGCTCTTTCTGAATATTTTCAGAACTTTTAAAGTAGGATTTAAAGTCACACAAGGGTCCAGGCTGAGACTTGCTGAATTCTGAGTTAATATGATATATATATCCAATAGGGAAAAGGGATAGGACCATTTGGAAAAAGAACATTTGAACCTAAAAAATCTAAGGTCCCTAAATTTCAGGGACCTAATAGCTGGGGCGAGATTGGAGAAGATAAAATCTGAAAGAAGATTTTATATCTGAATTTATTCAGAAGTGAGATTCTGATTATTTTTAGTTTTTAAAATAGCCTTGCATAGCATCAAATAATTTTAAATTACACAAGATCTTGCCAAATTGCTCCAAAAACATTGGATTAGGAATAAAGTAATTCAGTTTTAATCCTGATCTTTTAACTACTTAGCCATGAAACTTGGGTAATCTTTTAACTCTTGACATGTCCCAGTTCTCACATCTAAAAGATGAGGAATCAGCACTGTTATATACTCCTTCCCGGAGTAAGAATGAGATGTAACTCAGATTACTGTATGAGAAAGCACTCTGAAAACATAAAATATGCTACAAATTCAGTGGATTATTGCTGTATTGTCAGCAGTATCATTTTATCCAAGAAGAATTTCTTCTACTCTAATAATTAACATAAAACATAAAATTCAACTCATTGGCAAAATATAAAACAGTCAGAAACATACTTTTATTTCTTGAGGGAGAAGAGTATTCTTTCGGTAACGGTGTTTCCTTGATGAAATGAATAAGAGTTTAACTATTGAGTGATGCCTAATTTCTGTTATATTTCCCATTTGAAGTTTCAGATTTGTAATTATTGCTGAGCGCAAGAAAACATCAGGAAGATTTGTGGTTTATGGAAGAATAGGCACCTTCCAACGTTAATCTTATCTCCCTATTGCAGGTAACTAGTATCTTCAGCTGGAAATATCAAATGCAAATCTCTTAATTTGTTTAACACAGAGATTTTAATTTCCCATTCATATCAGTGTCTGTATACTCCTGAGTTTTACACAATGCTTGTCCTCCTTTAGTTGGCTTGTACAGTATTGTTTTTTCCAGTTATAAATAGAGAACATTGGGCATGTGGGTTATCATTTTTAATTGAGCTAAATTAAGCTAATCATAAAAATTCTTCTTGCCAGTGATTAGGAAGAAACATGTGATACAATTCTGGCCAATGAGACATAAGAGGTCTATTTCTTCTGTTGTCCTATATTGTTTTATCTGGATATGGTACCCGGAAGTGTGGCAGCCATCTTGCCACCATGAAATGGCCTAGAGGCTTCAGATCAGAAACATGAGAACTTAGGTCCTCAGGGACAATGTTACAGAGCTTGTGAATTAACCAACTTGGACTTCTCTTTACATATAGTAATAAGTCCTCCCCTAGTTTAAGCCAGTTGAATAGAAGTTTTCTGTAATTTGCACACAAAAGCTGCATAATGAATACAGGTTAAACATCACAAATCCCAAAATCAGAAATCTGAAATGTTCCAAAGTCTGAAATTGACCGTCAACATGGCACCTTAAGTAGAAAATTCCACGTCTGACCTCATGTGAGGAATCTCAGTCAAAATGCAAACTTCATTTTGTGTACAAAGTTATTTAAAATATTGTACAAAATTACCTTCAGGCTATGTGTATAAGGGGTATATGAAACAGAAATGAATTTCATGTTTAGACTTGGGTCCCATCCCCAAGATATCTTACTATGTATATGCAGATATTCCAAAATCTGAAAAATTCTGAAATAGAAAAGTCTTCTGGTTCCAAGCATTTCAGATACGGGATACTCAAACTGTACACAAACCCTAATAATGTTTACCTCTCCTGCTTATTTTCATTCATGTCTCCTCTTGATCATGTTAATTATGCTTCTTGGGTGTTTCCGGAACCCCCTAATTTTCTTGAAAAGAAGCAACTGGGGTTGTTGTCAGTGCTATGGGGAAGAACACACACTAATTAAAGCTTAGGAGGGCAGAAATTCCATCAGTGTATTCCCAGCCCCAGCACAGTCCTTGTTATTCAATATATGTTGAATGAATAAATAGACTTTCTATAATTCCTTTTTTTAATCACAATAACACATTGGTTTGATAGTCTCAGCCAAGAGACGAAAGTTAACAGAATGAATGCTCTTTTAATTCCCTTGTTTTGGATTTTACCTTAGACAGGTAAATAAAGGTCAGAGGCCATGACCTTTCAAGCATCAGTCATATTTTTTCTCTAGATTTGTTAATTGGCATGAGAGTTCATCTACCCCTTGTCTTTCTATTGAGACAGAAAAATGAGATCAGGATTCTGAGAGCAGGAGAAAAAAAAAAGGCAGTGAATAGCTGCTATTTAATAGGCTGCCACATGAAGGCTGGAGTCCTTTAGCAATGCAGTGAATTTCAAAGCATAATTCCCAGGCTATTAAAGCCTAGATGTTTAAATTAACTGAGATGATATAGGAAAGAAACAGAATTGCCATAGTTAAAAATCGAATATACACTTTATGGTTGGTTATACTTTCCTATCTACTGCTAGATATTTGTATGGTTTTATCAGTAATACATAAATAACTTGTTAATTTTCATCCCTCTTTTAAAATTACTTTCTAGTAAATCTTTTAGCTAGCTTGTTTTCCATAGTTGGAAGCTATATGCTGGGATAGTTACTCACTCCAGAGGCTACCACATACAGGTCAGGATCCTGTACAAGAAATACAAGAAGTAGAAACAACTTGGGTATCTCTTATTTGGGAAATGAATAAATAAACTCTGGTTTATTCATACATTTGAGATATTTAAATAGCAATTAAAATTGGTAAAGTAGAGCTACATCAATCAGTATGGTTAAAACCCAAAACCAATGTTTAGTGAAATGTAGCAAGTTTCAAATATGTAATTAACAGAATGTGTTAAAAACAAAACAATACTAAAAATGCCTGAGAATGATGCATATGAACTTCAGGATTGTGATTCTCACTGGAGAGAGAGAGAAAGAGAGAGAGAGAGAGAAAGGGATAGATTTTATCTATGTCTGCACTTGGCCTGGTTCTTTAAAAATAAAAACTTGAAGCAAATATTAACATTTATTAAGTCTAGGTGGCAGGACACAGTTGTTTGATATATGATTTTGTGTACTTTTCTGTATGTTTGAAAAGTTTATAGTTTTTTAATGGACCCCTAATTTCACAATTCTAGAATGGCAAAAAAAATTCTATTAACTTGATAATCTAAAATTATATAAATATTTCAAACTTTTAATTTTAAGATAACTTGGAAGAAAATTCTATTTCTTAGTGATTTAAAGCAGTGTAAGACAAAGACCATCCTACAAAGGCCATTTAAAGACAAGAAAATAGTACTTGCAATAAATTGGATTTCTCAGACAGTGCTGTGGTTACCAAAAACTGCAAGTCACAAGAATAAGAACATTTGAAGCATTTTGTCATGTAAGGATGGGTTATTTTTGAAAGTGTCCCTACTTAAAAGGACTATTTTTTTAGAGCAGTTTTAGGTTCACAGCAAAACTGAGAAGGTACAGAGATTTCCCATATACGCCCTTCCCCCACACAGGCATGGACTCCCCCGTTATCAACATCCCTCATCAGAGTGGTACATGTGTTATAATTGATGGACTTATACTGACATGTCATTTTCACACAAAGTTCACACTTCACATTGATCCACTCTTGGTGTTGTACATTCTATGGGTCTAAGCAAATGTATAATGGCATGCATCTATTATGATAGTATCAGGGAGTATTTTCACTGCCCCTAAAATTTTCTGTGCTCTGCCTATTCATCTCCACCCCTCAACTTCCCTCACTCAACCCTTCGTAACTATTGACCTTTTTGCAGTCTTCATAGTTTTGCCTTTTTCAGACTATGGTATAGCTGGAATCATTTAACATGTAACCTTTTCAGCTTGGTTTCTGTCATTTAGTAATATGCATTCAAATTTCTTCCATGGCTCTTCATTGTTTGATATTACATATATAAATTTTTTTTTGAGACAGAATCTCACTCTGTTGCCCAGGCTGGAGTGTAGTGGTGTGATCTTGGCTCACTGCAGCCTCAAACTCCTGGGCTTAAGCAATCCTCCTGCCTCAGCCTCCCAAATAGCTGGGACTACACGCTTGAGCCACCATGGTTGGCTCAAAGTTTCGAGAGGTATTGCATTTCAGCAATGCAAGTACAAGAAGAAATGGAAGTAATAAGGAACTGGGACCCAAAAGAAACATATCTGAGACATGGAATAATTATTTACAAGGTGGATATCCTCTAGGTTCATTCATGGCACATATTGAGCAGTTACTTACATTCAACCAACGTTGCCCATTTTTACCTTCAACACTAAGAAAATATAAAATAAAAATTGTGCTTACTGTGTTTAAATTCTTACTAAAATTTCTAGTAAAGTTTATTTTTTAAACTATTTCCTTATAATTCAGTAAATTATTCATAAAATGACTTAAAATATATTTTCTTTATTTTTTTGAGACAGAGTTTCACTCTTGTTGTCCAGGCTGGAGTGCAGTGGCATGATCTTGGCTCACTGCAACCTCTGCCTTTCAGTTTCAAGTGCTTCTCCTGCCTCAGCCTCCCGAGTAGCTGGGATTACAGGCGCCTGCCACCAAGCCCGGCTAATTTTTTGTATTTTTAGTAGAGACGAGGTTTCATCATGTTGGTCAGGCTGGTCTCAAACTCCTGACCTCATGATCCGGCCACCTCGGCCTCCCAAAGTGCTGGCATTACAGGTGTGAGCCACTGCGCATGGCCTTAAAATGTATATTTTTTAAAGTTTTAAGATTCATTGGAACTAGATGGTAAATGGTGATGACTATTTTTCCTGGCATGAGAGTTAAGATATAATTTTTAAATCTGAAGATTTTAGTAAAGTCCAAATGCCTAACATTAAATTTTTAAAAGAGTATCAAATTTTTTAAAAAAATCTATCATATATTTAGGCAACATAAAATCACTTTCAAAGGATTATTTTTTAAAAGTAGCTCCAAAAAAATTTGAATACATGTGAGATTTCTTTCCCCGCTCCCCCTGACACTTCCTTCAGGAAACCTTGGCCACAAAGAATGTATAAAAGTGTTAGAAAATGTGGGGATTGTGAAATGTTCACATGCTTCTGCTTTTTAAAAAAGTAAACATGCAAGGCTGGCAAACTGCTTTCCCTGTGTAAAAAGTAGGGACAGTGATTCAGTGCTCAGAAGAAATGAGCTATCAGGCTGGGTGCAATGGCTCATGCCTGTAACCCCAGCAGTTTGGGAGGCTGAGGCTGGTGGATCACCTGAGGTTGGGAGTTTGAGACCAGCCTGGCTAACATGGTGAAACCTCATCGCTACTAAAAATACAGAAATTAGCCTGGATGACAGAATGAGACCCCATCTCTAAAAAAAAAAAAAAAAAAAAAAAAATTAAAAATAAAGTCTAAAGCTTTAATGACATAATTTTGTTGAATGATGGCGATTATTGCAAAACATTTTCATTTTTAGATTTATAAGAACCAATTAGAATGAATTTTTTTCATTTCTACATCTTTTGATTTTTTAAATCACCTTTGTGCACATAGCTATCTTCAGCATTTTTCAACTTAGGAACTATGTCAAGTAAATTTTGGTGGATAAACATCATAAAAGATCAAATACTGGTACAGCATTTAGCAAAATTAAATGGTCCAGGTTCTTGTCACAAAATATCGCATGATTAAACTCTTCTCGTTGAGTACGTGGTTGGAAATACTATTTCCTTGTTGTCCTTGGAAATATATGGTTCACTCCTTCATTCTTGAGTATGAGAAAGCTCATCTAGAACATGCATCTTTAGACTCATGGTCTGAGATTTTGCTTACATGATCAATTTCACCAATGTCATCTAGGGTCTAGAGTACTGCCCTCCGTCTCTCTGTGTTCACCTTCTGCTTTAATAATTGTGGAAATTCTTCTGTTTTCTTCTACTTGCTATTATGGGCAAAAAATGAAAAATTCTGAACTCTTAACTGTATTCACTGAAAGCTTAAACAAAAAGGACTCTAAAGATGGTGTTTCTCCAGACTTTCATACCTTCTTGAAAGATGATGTAACAATTTTGACAATGCTATATGAAAACTGAAGGATATTATAATAATGATCATTTATTTTCCTATCACATTATCCTTTTAGGTAATTCCATCAATGTTCCATTTCCTTTTTATTTTAGTCTTTATTTTTATAGCATAGTTTGGAATAATTGATTAGTAATGATTCAATAATTCCTAGGATAATGAGATAGTGAGTTTTGAAAGATACAGAAAAGATCTCGTCTTAGATTTATGAGTCCAAAGAACCCATATGAGATTTACAAAATAGGAGCTTTATTCTATTTTTAAAAAGTAAATTTTCTCTTTGTCATTTGGAGGATATCTAAGGAAGAGTAGAAGTCATGAAATATTAATTCTTACATTTAGAACTGCTCAAAAAAGAAGCCCCAAACTAAAATTTTTTACAATAAACCTGGATGCTATCTCTTGGATCATAAAGTATTTCCTGTTAATGTCACTGAAAAAAAAAAAAAGTATTTCTTATGGAACTGAAAGTTTTATAAAGGCCAGCTGCATTTTCATCAGTCTAGGTAACAGGGTCAGGGGTCTCAGCTCATGCTTTCTTTATTGGAAGTGCTCTTCATTCCCCCAAAGGTCTGGGCACATGTGGCTATTTTGTTCTTGGAGATTCTACCGTTCAAGCCACAGGTCATTGTTCTGGGGTGGACAGTTGGCCCAAGTTGAGAATATGAACTCCTGTTCCAGATTTTGAATCATAAGGATCAAACAAGGGATACTGGAAGCAAAGAGCTACGTCAGAAATAGCTCCACGGAGCCCAAAGCCCTGGGCAAGACTAAATTGCAAGGAAGCAGAAAGGAGGAAATCTTCAGAGAAGCCAAGCTCCAAAGGGAAAGAAGGGTATGCAGAATCCAGACAATGTGGCCCAGTGAGTGATAAAGAGTAACAAAACCTGCCTAAACTTCCTGCAGTTTGGATTCTTTACATTCTTTATACCACCACCCCTTTATTTTAGAATTGGGCTCCTGTTTCTTGAAAACAGCAAATCTCTAAAACAGAAACTAGTGCCAGGAATAGGATTACTCAAGTAGCAGATCCTCAGTGAAAATGTAAAACTAACCATGGAGTTAAAGCAAAGAGAAGGGATAGAGGTAGGGGGTGGACAGAGAGGATTCCCTATTCTATGGAAAACTGGTACTTTGAAGGTAAGTGATAACAAAAGAGCTGAACAATGACCTATTATCTCTTGGGACCAAACCACATGTGCAGGTTGTCTGGCTAAAAGCAGATAGAGAAAGGCAGGGAAAATGACCTGTTTCAAAAGGGAAATCTTCTGCTGAGATTGCTGGAGACCAGGTCCAGATATTATTCATGAGTTTGAAAAAGCTCAAGAGGCCAGCAATTGAAAGAATGTCTAACAGTACCCAGACTAGTGTGGGAATCCTAAGCCTTTCCCACAGGATAAACATGTTGATGCCCAATTCCAGCCCCACCAACCCCTCGTAAAACACTTTTATAGACTGGAATTTAACCTGTGGAAGGGAGAGATCTATAGGGCAGACTAGGGAAGAGGTGCTTTCCAGTCCCTGCAAGCAAGCCTCTTTCCAATCACTTGTGCTCCTTTATTCTCTTGAGGACAAGGCCGTTAGAAACAATGGGAATAGAAAGCTGAATAAAAATCCTGAAGGTAAAAAGGTCATTAGGCAGCCCTGTGATGAAGGGAGCAAATTTATCCCACAGAAATTCCTGGCATCACGTTTCAGTCAAAGATGTACTCAGGACAATGACTGAGAGCCCACTAATGTTCTGGGGTAGTTATCACCAGAAGAACCTTAGTCTTGGACAAGTACCTATCCCAACTCCTATCAAGATGGTGTTGAATCTTGAGCCTCTTCTGCAGGCTCCAGACTCAAGTAGAAAAGGCTGCTGGCACCAGATAATAATTACTCAAGTGGAGAGAAGACTCCTCTCTTAGGTCCCTCAGAAGGTAGGCCTGAGGACAATGGAAAGAGGGAATCGTAGTGAGCATATCCTAGGACCCCCAAAGCATGACTTAGGAAGTTACTCTATTACCTAGGCAAGAAACAGACTTATGGCATTTATTGGTCTGGACTAGTGATCAGTGTATGATCCTGTTTTCTAAGTTCCTTCCCTACCATCAAGTCAGCCTCCTTTTCTAATTGATAATTTTTTATTTTAATTTTCCCTACTGAATGGCTGGTGTGCTGATAGTAAAATGTGTCACTAAATGTGGAGGATGTCTTTCTGACAGGATGATGATCACATGGACCAGATGCAGAGTGGGGAATAGGTATTTGTAGCTGTACTTATAATACAGGATCATGCTAGAAAAGAACATCTTGAGGGATAAAAGTTTGCTTTGCAGAAATGAAATACAGTGGTAAGTCATTGGTGGAATCCAACTAGCCCCTATCTTCTTGGGAATGATTCCAATGCCTACATTTTCTATGAGGTGACCACAATTTCAGGGCTGCCACAAATGGTTTCGCAAGGTTGTGTGTACACTGCAAACTTCTTACGAAGAGGTTCGGCCCCATCTGGCCCCAGCTGACTGAGACGCCTGGTCACACTGAGTCTGGTTTAATCTCTGGAGAATATGAGCTAAGAAACACAAAACATGAGGTAAGCAGCAGTCACTGGAGTTGTGAAGTTCTAGAGCTGAGTTCAGAGTTTGCACCATAGCAGCTCAAACACAACAAGCCGAGGCTCTGAAGACAGGACTAATGAAGACAGGACTAACATGTCACTCCATGTGGGGAAGCAGAGATAAAAAGGTCTTCAGAGAAACCAGTCCACAGAAAGATAATATAGTAGGTACATAGATGACTATGTGTAAGATTTAAAAAACAAAGGCAGAGTAACAGAGACAAAAGGAGAGGGAGAGCAGAAAACAAGGTGAGTAGAGGACAGAGACAAAGAATGAGAGGCAGTCAGAGACACAGAAAGAGATTAATTGCTGGCGACTTTCTAGATCCTACAGTGTTTCACTGTACTTCCTGCAATAAAGTTCCAGATTTCTGCTCCTTTTTAGCAACAACTCTTTTCCAAGCTATTTGGTAGATTTCTGATTCTTGCAACCAAACCTTTTTTGTTTGTTTTTTAAGACAGTGTCTCACTCTGTCACCCAGGCTGGAATACAGTGCATCACTGCAGCCTTGACCTTCTGGGGTCAAGTGATCCTCCTACCTCAGCCTCCCAAAGTGCTGAGATTACAGGAGTGAACCACCAAACAATTATTGACCTGAACAACTGCTCCATGAAAGAATTTCCACATAACTGTAGCTGCATCTTTCAAATGTTTAATTTATAACTGTGGTAATGTATGTACTGCCTAATGTAACTGGGGTATTGTAAAGGGGAGGCTCTCAAAAGAGAGGTACTATAATTTCTTTGTAATATCCTAATTGCTGTCCAAAAACAGACCTGGTTTTATAATATTAGCTAACATCTACTGAGCAATTCCCTTGGGACAGACAGTTTCAAACATGCAAGATCTCACCTCTTCTTCGTAACAATCAATAAGGTAGTCTCTACTATTGTCATTCCCATTTCACAGACTGGGAAATAAGAACAAAGACAGATTAAGTAAATTGATCAAAGTCACACCGTCAAAGGGATAAAGCTGGATCTATTGTTTATTTACATGAATACTGACATCTTAAAGATTAAGAAAAACAAGTTCATACACATGCATTTAAAATTCATTTCAGTCAATAAATTTTTGTTGAATGCTTATTATATGCAAAGTACTGATTTAAACTAATAAACTGGTTAACATCAATGTTACAAATATAAAGTCCTTTTAAAGTATCAATATCAAAATAAATCTTCCTTCCTGTGGTCCACAAAAGAAAAAAGATGTACCAGCACTTGTAAATTAAGTTTTTCAATTTCCAAAATACCTCCTTTAAAACAGAAGGGAATAAATTCCAACAATGCTATTTTCAATGCATTCATTATTTCAAAACTTACTGGAATATTTGAAGATTACTTGCTGCAAGCTGGACTCATGTGAAAATAAACCTTGACTTCACAGAGAAGTCTACATTGATAAATATATATCCGTTGAATTAATAACAGTGTAAGTTACACATATGTATACAAAAAAGTAAAATGACAAGGATGAGAGGAGTTTTTCATGGAAGGTGGTGGGTTGCCATGGATTCTGCTTCTCTTGATTTTCTGAGGAGGGCTTGTTTGAGGGCACTAATTTTCTCATCAAGTTCAGCCAGTGAATAGTTCTGCTGTAAACAATAACGACACAAATTGCTGAATAAGATTCTGAAGTATCTTAATGCAGATAAAGTGCCAAATGAACTATAAATATTTAAAATATTCAAAAGCATGATCAAATGGTTTTTTTCCCTCATGAGAATAATCTTAAAACTGAGCAACTATATATGTTGACTATATCATAAATTTAAAGGCATAAAATAACAAGGCTTAAATATTTCTTTTTCTCTTTTCTAATGACTAAGCTCTCCTGAACCTTTTATACTTAGAAAGAATAAGTTAAAAAAAAAAAAAAAGCCTGATTATTAGACACTGGAGCCTATTTGAAGATGGGAGGAGGGAGAGGACTGAAAAACTGCCTATTGGGTATTATGCTGATTGCCTGGGTGACAAAATTATCTGTACACCAAACCCCCATGACATGCAATTTACCCATGTAACAAAGCTGAAAAACCCTTGAGCTTAAGTAAAAGTTGGAAAGAAGAAGAAAAATGCTAATTATACTACTACCAGGAGAAAAAAATCATTTGAGACATCAACTATCCCTTTTAATGGAAAACTTTCTATGTTGATTACTAAAGTTAACCTGAAGTGGAAAATAGTGAAGAAAATACTTCTTTTACCTTCCAATAAAAATTGGATTTATTCAAGTCTACCTATGTGAACACCCTCACTTATATATTAATATTTCTAATTTAGACACAAGTATTATGTAGTGGCTATTAGGGGGTAAAGAGAAGGGGAAATTGGGACTGAGTGCTAATAGATACAGGGTTTTGGGGGGGCAGTGATGGAAATGTTCTAGACTTAGTGGTGATGGTTGCACAACATAGTGAATATACTAATAGCCACTTTAAAATGATGAATTTTATGTTATGTGAATTGTATTTTTAAAGCAGCAACGAAGTGTTACAGTTTACTACATAAGAGAATAACTTTTAAAAACCTGATTATTCTCATAATCAATAGTAAAAAAAGTTAGTTAACTTTAAAAATAGCTGCTTAAAATACTTAGAAATTCTCTCTTGAGGGATCAACTATAATAATTTACTTCGGGAAAAAATAGCTGCTATCAAAAAACTTACTCAGAATTTTACAAGAAAAAAATATGCTACTCTTAAAAATCAGAAAGTTTTCTCCAACTTTAAATTCACATTACCACTGTTAAATTCTAGCAAAGCCTTACTATTTAAGGTTCAACTAATTAGTAAAGTAGCACTTTAGACAGGGCTGGCTGAAGTCAAACTCTGCCAAACACCCTTTTTGATCTAGGTGCTGCTAATTAGAAGTGTTCACAAAAGGAAGGGATGGGGGGAGACTGAAATTACTTGAGCACTTACTATTTTTAAGCACTTTGTGAATGACACATCCTTGTACTACTAAAAGCAGGACAAAGGTTTTATTTATTTAACCTATCTGAGTCATTCCATGCCCTTAAAATAATTTTTCTATTCAACTGTATTAGTTTATACTGCCCTTTTCTTCAGTCCTAAATTTTACCAGGGTATGACCTAAAAGCAACCATAGTAGAAACTTTTATTAATAAGAAAGGTATAAAACTAATCAAACTATTTCAGAAACCAAAATGAAAATGCAGTAACTTACTTGAGGTGGTTGAACTTTTCTTCTTTTTCCAGAAAAGCTCTAGATTAAAAAAAAAAAGGTAATGTTTAGAAAAATCTAAGCATCATTTTTTTTTCTTTATAAAATACTGTACAAATTATGTACAGCCTTGGGAACCCTGACAGAAAAAAAACCAACCAATTTACCAATACCAATTACTGTCTGTAACCAACATCTACCTTATATTCTGCAAGTTACCCTCTAAAGAGGATGACGTTAACAATATATAATAGTAATATTGCAGCAACATGCTCATCCTTGGCAATACATATTTTCCCATCAACTACCCGCTGCTAATGAGCCTGAGTGATTTCGGAAAGAGGTGCTCTGGGGATTTTCTGCTTAGTTTTTTTTCATAACCTTTCCATCCTAGGGTATTGAACAAGTGAAGTGACAACAGACAAAGGAAAAACGGAATCTGGTATATGAGGCCAAGGGGTGAAAACACACATACACACACCCTGGACTGACTATAGTAGACACTGTGGTTGTTTATGCAAGCAGCTACCTATCCACTACTTCTCTGTGTGGCCCAAGCCAATGGCTTCCCGGTCTTGTCAGTGACTGAAATGGGCATGGGTCCAGTTCTGGCCAATGAGTAAAGGAGAGGTCTGCTGGAGATTAAGAGGAGAGCTTCTGGAAAAAGCTTCCTCACATCTTTTGAGAGAAAGCCCTTAAAGAAGGCAGTTCCTCAGGATACTGCCGTATTGGGTAAGACACCTGAAAGTGCTGTAGCCATCTTGCCATCTGCCTGGGAAAGAAGTTAACACCAAGCAGAGTTAAGAGGGGAAAGAAACCTGTTTTCTCACAATTATGATTTAGCCACTGAATCAATTAAATCTGAAGCTTGTGCTACCATGGACTTCCTATTTTATAATTTACATAATGTTTAAGCCAGTTTTGAGTTCAAATTTCTTAGTTGAAGCTAACAACATTCTCACTGATCCACTAATGAGCCTTTTAAACTTTGGCCTAATGAATTCTTTCTAGACTTTTTCTTAGTTTCACACAAGCACTAGCTTTTGAATGGCAAATTAGTAAATGAGTATATTTGACAAAGAAACTGTGAATGTCCAAGACAAAATGTTCTCATGAGCATTTCTGACTACTGAGATTTTAAAGACAGCATTAAAACTCACATTTTCCTTTGTGTCAAAAGTTGATTCAAAGAACATCTAGGTATGCTTATCAAGTTACAATAAATGGGAAATCATTAAGTATTAGAATTAGTAATTAAGAAATAATAGAGCTCAGATAATTATGCTCCTTCCTTTGCCAAACCAAGCTGGATACCTGTGGTAGGGCCTATGGGCAAATAAGGAATCAATGTTTAATTTGGCGATTGATCAGTCTCCTAACTTCCTAAGAGGTGGCTTTTTATACACTTGATGCAAATATAATTGCCCTTGGCCAGGCGTGGTGGCTCATGCCTGTAATCCCAGCACTTTGGGAGGCCGAGGCGGGTGGATCAAGAGGTCAGGAGATCAAGGCCATCCTGGCTAACATGGTGAAACCCAGTCTCTACTAAAAACACAAACAACTAGCCGGGTGTGGTGGCAGGTGCCTGCAGTCCCAGCTACTTGGGAGGCTGAGGCAGGAGAATGGCATGAACCCGGGAGGCGGAGGTTGCAGTGAGCCGAGACTGCACCACTGCACTCCAGCCTGGGCGACAGAGCAAGACACCATCTTAAAAAAAAAAAAAAAAAAAAAAAAAAAATTCCCCTTGTTCTCCTAATCGTTTAACCTGTAATATATTGATAGTTTCCATGCTATTAAACAATCAGATTACTACTGTATCATAGAACCAAAGCAAGAAATATTAGAATGAGGAAAATAAGGTCATCAGTCGCTCAGTGACTTAAAAACAGTAAAATGTGGCCTTTTGGACTTGTTTTAGCTCTGAGCAGAATATTTTGATAAAAAGAACACTTAGAAATACCATATCTACCGTGGATACACTAGATTAACTTTACTGTTTGTTTTAGGTATAAGGAAATCTCAGTACAGTTCCTGACTTATGATGGCTAGATAAGGTTTTTCAAATTTACAATGCTGTGAAAGTGACAGACATTCAGTAGAAACTGTACTTCAAATGCTGAATTTTGATCTTTTCCTGGGCTAGTGACATGTGATACGATGCTCTCTTGTGATGCTGGGCAGTGGCAGTGAGCAAAGCTCCCAGTCAGCCATGGGGTATGAGGGTAAACACCCGATACTCTACAGTGTACTGTGCTGCCAAGGGACTTTCCTCAACTGTACATGATAGGCCAGTGTACACATTCTGAACATGTTTTAGGCTAGGCTAAGCTATGATGTTTGGTAGGTTAGAGGTGTTGAATGCATTTTAGACTTAATAATATTTTCAGTTTTTGATGGGTTTATTGGGACATAACCCCATCTGTATAGAAGTATAAAAGGTGGACATTTTAACAGGTTTTGGTACCTGAGAGAAAATACTTGAGAGCACAGCACACTAAAGAAAGAGCTGGAGAAAGGTAATGCAAAATTGTCTCTCCTCACCCATTATTTTACCTTACCAGGTTCCTAGTCATGCACCGCTTAATGATGGGGATATATTCTGAGAAATGTGTTAATTTTGTCATTGTGTGAACATCATAGAGTATACTTATAGAAACCTAGATGGTACACACCTAGGCTATATGGTATAGTCTATTGCTCCTAGCATATAAACCTTATGGCATGTTTCTGTATTGAATACTGTAGGCAAGTGTAACACAATGGTATATGTGTATCTAAACACGTCTCAACATAGAAAAGATACAGTAAAAATACCATACTATAATTTTATGGGATCACTGTAATATATGCAGTTGACTGTTGACTGAAACATCCTTATGCAGAGCATGACTGTCATACACACGTTCACGCACATGCACACACACATATGAATCCAGGGAACCAGTGCTCTAAGGAAACTCAAGGGTAAGGAGGCCTCTTCCATGACTGGCTTGCTTTCTTTCAGTTGTAAAAGGCAACTGATTCTATGCGTGCAGTATCTAAAATGTTTTTCTTCCCTTCTAGTCCCAGAGCCCTGATTCAGACCTTCATTTCTCTCTGGCTTGGATAATGACATGTTTCCTAAACTAGTTTCCTTGACTCCAATTTCTCTCCAACTCAGACTTCATAATGCCACCAGACAGGGACCTAAATTACAAGTTTCTCTCTTTCTCTAAAACTTAATTGTGCTCCAATGATACTAGAAGTGCAAACTGGTTAGTGTGACCTTCAAGGCCCTCTGAAATATGTTTACAATCTAATTTTCTAGCTGAATCCAGTTGTTCACTCATGCTTCAGACCCACCACACGTTCACACGCACATGGCCTGTGTACATGATGTTGACCTGATTTTCAGCATTCCCCTCCCCCGATACTTCCCTTAAGAACCAGGAGTTACTGTTACAGACTAAAAATTACTCTCAGTCAGTGCTTTGAACAAAGTTAACACACCTTCAAAGTCCAATAATGAGCTATCAGCCAAGTCCTATCCATTCATTTGCACATCTACTCGATATTGACTACATTCTGTGTCTCAAAGATGAACAAGACATAGTTCCTGCCCTTGAGAGTTTCAAAATATAAAGTGAAAAACATGTATAAACATATGAGTGATAAATGCTATAAACTAAACAATATACTTGTAAAAGCATGTTGGTACTTACTGTTTTCAAGTATCATAATTTAAAATCAGTAAGTCTTTGGAAATACTCTAAGATCGTTCTTTTAAATGGACTGTTAAGGCCATGCCCTTAAACTTTTGAAAACATTACATTTAAAGCTTTCCATGGCTAATGTGAAGAATAAAGATCTTTAGAACTCTTATATCAAAATGTCCAACAAGTATTATTAACTTTTGTCATAAATCCTGTTTTATACACATATAACTTATTTTGGAGTTTTATGTCTGGTCGTAAAATGAGAACTTTACATAATCTGATTACATTTTATAAAACAAATACAAATGACATCTTTTTTCCCCATAAATATTTGTTTTTCTATGCTACGCTTCAATGTTACCCATGATAATCAATCTCTATCCAATTGTAAGAAGCTCCCCCATGTTTAGAATTCATCTACATGTGAATCTGAATAAACACATTTCAATGAAAATCTTTTCAGAGTTCAGGAGTTCCAACAAAAGTTCAATCCTTAATAAACTGAATGGGCTCAACTTTCCTTTCCTATCTTTAGAAGCTATAGGACTGTGCTACATATGTAGTTTCTTCTGTATACTTTTGAGGGATAAATATGTAAAATTATGCAATTACCATGCATGTACTCCCAGCATGATGGTGAGGGTGATGAATAATGTACTATGTCCTCTGTAAGGTATGTGCTCAACTTCTCCTGTTTGCAAGGACACTCTTAGAGCTGACTGTATTCCAAGTGAGGTTCCTAAAGATGGCTCATTCATCCTATTATAGAAGGGTGATGAGTATGAAATCTTCTTTCCCATAGGGCTTGTGTCATGTATGTTCACAGGCCTAAAGGACAGAATGAGTCTGAATGTTTAAACTTTCCAGTGTTTTGTTCTTCCTTGTAGCTCACTACTAATTTAATGTGTCACTTACAACACTAATCCAGAAGAACTGCAGTTCTTCTAAAAGATATATAGTTTTTTTTTTTAACATATTTGGAAATACTTTTAAAAATCACCTGTTTTATCACAGGTTGCCACCATCCATCCTTTTCTGAATGCTTAATACATATATGCCAATCCTCTGTTTACATTTACAAATGCTTCCTGCCCCTGAAATTAGGCAGTCACCAAGCTTCAGACTTCAGGCCTCAGACAATCTGTGTTCCTATCCATCAATGGACTCTCACACTACACAGACTCTCCCAATTGTCCCAAGTGTAAGTGCCGTATCTCAAAAAGCTTACCTGATGTTTTTACCTTCATAACCTCCTCTGCCTTCAAATTCACATTTCCCACAAAAGTATCTCTCTCTCTAGATTTTCTTATTTCTATCAATGATGGTATCATTTTTCCAACCAGAAACTGGACTCTATCCTTGTTCTCTGTCTCTTTCCACATCCAATCATCAGTATTTGTCCATTTTTTTTCCTACTTGCATTAATCTTTTCCATTCTCACTCATGTCCCTATTTTAGGAACTAACTTCACATCTAAGCTAGCATAATACTATCTCCTTATCCTTAGTTTCTCTCGTTTGTCTCCCACAACTGTATTAGATAAATCTTTCTAAATATCGTGTTCACAAATCACTTCTCTGCTCAAATGCTTTCAGTAGATTCCCCCTGCTGCCTGCCTGGAAAATAGATTTTAAACTTCTGAGCATAGCACTTAAGGTCCTAACAATCTGGCTACTTCTACCTCTTTACCCACTCTATCCTATCTGTAACAGATCAAAACAAAACAAAAAGATTATGATGTGGAGGGCTTTTTTTTTTGTTAAACACATCTATAAGTTTTGTTTTTTTTGTTTTTGAGACCGAGTTTTGCTCTTGTTGCCCAGGCTGGAGTGCAATGGCGTGATCTTGGCTCATCGCAACCTAAGCCTCCTGGGTTCAAGCGATCCTCCTGCCTCAGCCTCCCAAGTAGCTGGGATTATAGGCATGCGCCACCATGCCCAGCTTATTTTTTTTATTTTTTATTTTTTTGTATTTTTAGTAGAGATGGGGTTTCTCCATGTTGGTCAGGCTGGTCTTGAACTCCCGACCTCTGGTGATCCGCCCACCTTGGCCTCCCAAAGTGCTGGGATTACAGGCGTGAGCCACTGCATCCGGCCTCTGTTAAGTTTTTATAAATCAGAATCAGAGAGAAGAGAGGAATGATGCTGCAGCAAGTTCTCATTGGAGGCATCTGATTTTACCATACTCTATTGTAAGATCGGTTCTATCGTTAATAAGAATTATATTAACAAGGTATGAAATTGAACTAGAAAAATAACTTTCCTAGGTTATTGCCTTCTTTAATGAAGGCAGTTAGAATGGGAAAAACTTATGGTAGACTACTGTAGGAAAAGTCATTAAAAATCTTTATGAAGTCTCCTAGGAAGACATTCAAAGAATAATCCTAAAAGTGAAAAGACCTTTGTAATTATGTAGTACAACCAATACATTTTCTAAAATTAGACATCTTGAAGATCAGAGGAATAGAGTGACTTTTCCACGTTTATACAGCTACTTTGTAGTTATAAAACTAAATAAATGCCAATGAGGTTTTTACCATGTGCTAAGCAGTATGCTAAGTGTTTGATCAGCATTATCTCATTTGATCTTTGCTTCAGCCCTTAGTATTTTCATAAACCTCATTTTACATTTGAGAGTAGTAAATCACTAAAACTCTTCTCTGAAATTTTGTCATTTAGGACTTGCTGCTCCCTTTTGTTACGTGACCTGCCTTCTTCTTCTGGAAATACTTCTTTTCTGTAACTCACTCTTATACTCAATCTATAACTTTGGAAGATTGCTGTCATACCTAAAATAAATTTTAAATATATTTTCACCACTAACTTATATGATCCATGCTAAAATGGGCTATCTCACATAATTTTTCAGAAATAGGAGTTTTGGTATAATCTCACTTTGATATTATTTTAGTTCTAATATGGTACTGCTTTAAAAAAAAAACAAAACTTAGAGAAGGCAGGTATTATACATAATCACCTCAGAAGACTGAGGAAAACACAATGAGCTCAGGATCATTTTTCTGAAAAATGTTGATGTGCCAAAGATACTAACTTACCAGCACAACACTGTTTCTTAAGGTTCTTGGAAAACGGGGTAAGAATGAATGAATGCTAGAGTTAAGGAATTACAAAAACATAGAAAGTCTGGTGGTTAAGGTAAAGAATAAGAGTGGCAGCTTGAGGTGTGTGTTTGTTTAGTATTAACTGCATATGAGCTGAGAGAAGGAGCCTGTTGGGGAAGAGAGATTAAAGAGGCAGAGGGATCACTGAAAGAGCAAGGTTACAGAGGAAGCCTCTGTTTTACAAGGTAGCAAGTTCAGAGTAACAGGCCCAACCACCACCCAGGCTGACTTACTATGCCATGAAAATGGCCTAAGTTTGAGAATGTGGGTAATATATAATAGAAGTATCCCTTTTTAAAAATTCTAAATTTTAAAAATATTCAGAACCAGAGATTTTAAGGAATTAGATATATCCCCTATACAGGACTGTGTTCATTCATCTTTGAATTATTAAAATAGTGTTTTGCTTATAGATCAATGAGTGACTGTTAAACCACAAAGAATCCAGAATACAATAACATTTTCATTTATTTTTAAAAGACACTTATACTCACTACAGACTGAAAATATTCAGGAGAGATGCCTTCCAATTCAAGGATTTTATCCTCAAGTTTTTTAATTCTCTGATAAATGTCTCTTGGCACTGGACCACCTAAATACATTAAAAAAAAATCTGAGATACTATTGAATAATTCTTTCTTTTCACAATTTTTATTCTTAAAATACCATGCAAAGACACTTATGCAAAGGAATGGAAAATACTTAAGAAAATAAAAAACAAAAGTAAAACAGAATGAAGTCCTTAGGTCGTATTTTTGTATTATACACTATCGGACATATTGTACTACACTTCCTCTCTCCAAACCCCATTTATGCTTCCTATATTCTAGGAGTTTCATGTTAAATTCATTTTACAAGATATTGAATAGCTTCCATGTAGAACAATTTATATTTCTGATATGCTTTGATAGTTACATGGGAGGACAAAAATGCATAGTGACAAATGACGATAATTCAATGCAGTGGTTGCAATATGTCATATTATTTTCTTCAATTAATATTTCTCCCTACATGCCATATTTTTCCTTTGACCTAAAAGAATGTAAAAAAGGGGCTTTACCATAATTCTAAACTAACAAACTTTCTGAGGAGGGGAAGAGTAAATTATGGCCACTCAAATTTTAAATTTATGATTATATCAAGAATCCTTCTACTTCTCACCCCCTCCACACTGTGGCCTTTCTGGTCCAGACCACTTCCACCTCTCCCTGGATTACTGCAACTCCCAAACTGGTCTCCCTGTTTCTGCCATGCTTCCGTAGAGTGTATTTTCAACACAGGAGCCAGTGATCCTCTAAAAATATAAGTTAGATCACATCATTTCTCTGCTTCCAATACCTGATCATTTCACTGAGGTTAAATACCTTCCAATACCTGATCATTTCACTCAGATTAAATACCAAAGCCCTCACAATGGCCTACAAGGCCATACACAATGTGGATATTCTCCCTATGCCCACATGGTTCCAGCCACTTGATTACTTTTTTTCTGTTATTCAAAGAGGCCAAGCACCCTGTAAGCTTCAGCTGGTTCCCTCTACCGCCATAATCCCAAGTCAATTTCAAGTCTTGGCTCAAAAGTTACCTTATCAGTAACACCTTCTCTGACTATTCTGTTAAAAATACCAGTACTACCACTCCCCTACCCAGCACTCCCTTATCCTCCTTACCTTAATTTTCTCCATTCCATTACTACCACCCAACATTCAGTATATTTTCTTTCTGTATTATTTGTTTCCCCATTCTAATATAAGCTCCAAGAGGACAGAGTTTTATCTGTTTTGTTCATTAGGTAGGGCTGTGCAGCTTGTGCACTGCACAAACCTAGGAAGCATCAGTTCATAAGACTACAATGCATGGCAAAGAGCTGGTGCTTGATATTTACTGACTGAATGAATACATGATTAGCCAATCATTATGCAATTAAAGAATACGGGTAAATTTCTATATCAAAATTGTCAACTTGTTATGTAAAAATTCTAGAAATTTTGAGGATTTTAAGAAATCTTAGGACCTTGGTTGTTCTTGTTCTTAAATAAGTTAACTTGTTCATTTGACTTTGCTTTTGCTGCTCCCTTTACCTACAATGTCCTCTGCCTTACTTCTGTATCTTTCAAGAGCCAGTTCAAGCTTCACTGGGTAACGCAGGCACTGCCGAAACCTCTTCATTCGCATAAAGGCTCCTTGTGCCCCCACCATTCTTCAGTGCTCCTGAGTTTTTTGGGACAGACTCTCACTATACTGTCCAGGCTGGTCTCAAACTCCTGGACTCAAGCTCTGTTCCCCACTCAGCCTCCCAAGGAACTGGGATTATAGGCACACACCACTACACCCATCCTTTCATTACTCCTTTAAAACTCTACTTCACTATTAATCTTTCTCTCATTTGGATTATAAAGTCCTTGAAGCTGGGGACTATGATTATATCATCTCAGTATCCCTTGTGCCTAAAATAGTGCTTGGAGCATAGTAAACATTCAACAGATATTTTTCCAAAAACTTAACTGTTTCATACTATTATTAGAGACTTAACCAGTCAATCCTTTTATACAGTGGCATTTTAAACCCATCCACTTCTGAGGGAAGAGATTAATTCTTAATGCCAGTGTCTTATTACTCTCAAAGACTTACTCATTCTGTTTTCTTCTTCTACCTTCATCTGGCTAGCATAGCTTCAGATAGCTAGTATACTCCAGCTATACTGGATTCAGATATCTCCTGAACCATATTTTGTGTTTTTGTCCTTTTTTGCAAATGGTGTTTCTTCTTTTTGGAATGCTTTGCTCTGGAAAATTCCTACTAATCCTTCAAGGCCTCAAATGTCACTTCATTAGGATGCCATCATCCCTTGACCTACCCTGAGAGAGTCAAACACTAACTTTCTGTCCCTCCGTACATACATCTGCAAAGGTGAAATAAGCAACTGTCCATTCAATAAACATTTGAGCACTTGCTTTGTGCCAGGCACTGTAATAGGTACAAAGAAATGAATATGACAGACATAGTTGCACTCTCACGGACTATCTAGCAGGAGACAGACATTAAACAAACAGAACCATGATAACTGCTTTAAAGGGGAGCAGGGAATACCAGGTGCTATATAAGATTATACAAAAGGTGAATCTGCACTGGTCTAGGATTAGGAAGAAAAAGCATGGACAGAAGGGCATGAGTATAAAGATCCTAAAGCAGCACAACGAGTGGGAGATGGGAAGCCCAGAGGTGTAGCTGGAACTACAGATGTGGACAATACTATTTAAAATTACAAACCCCCTTCAATCCCAATCTCCACATTTTTAGCTGGGAAGAAACAAGATCAAATTTGAGCTTTAGAAAAAGCAATCTGGCCACAGGGTAGAGATGATCTAGAGGAGTCCAGTGGCAAAGAAACCAGTAAATATCCTTCCATCAGTCCAAGCCAGAGATCACAGTGGCTTCAACTCTAGTAGTAGCAGTAGAGATAAGACAGAAGTGGGCAGATTTGAGAGATATTTATTTAGAAAACAGAATCAACAGACATGGTGACTAAATGGAGAGGGAGACTCAGTCTCTGCACCCAGTGAGGACTTGGGTTTGAGCAGGGTGCAGTAGTGACACATGATTGTAGTCCCACTGACACAGGAGGTTGAAGCAGGAGCATTACTTGAGCCTAGGAGTTCAAGTACAACCTGGGCAAGACTGGACTATCTCTTTTTTCTTTTTTTTTTAGAGTTGTCACTTAGTATCTTAGGCATGTTTGCTTGGGCTCTTTAAACTTCAATTTATTTATCTGTACAGTGATAACACCACCACCATCTCAAAAGGGTACTATGACCTTTTAAGTGAATTGACATACACATAACACTTCCTGAGTGACTGGCACTTACTGTTCAAGAAATGTTAGGAGCTAAATGAAAATTTGGTGACTAAATGAACTGCAATTTTTTAACCATTTGCAAAGGTTCATTATGAGGTGCCACTTAGCACTTTGCTTACCTGTCTGTAACCGCAAGTGGGCCTCAATATTTTGTAGTCGTTCTTCTACAGCCTGATTACCACAGTCTCGAAGCATGCTGTTAGGTTTATGACCTGACCCTGGAATTCCTTCAGGTCTAGTCTGTGGTCCGTATGTATTCACAACTCTAGAAACTAAATTAAGAAACTTTTGAGCCTATATACATTTGTATTTCAAAAATCAGAAATTCTTATTCCTTAACAGCACTTTATATTTTTTTCATAAAGACCATCTAACCACAAGTATGAAGGACGGCAAGATGTTTTTGTTTTAAAATAAAATTTAGATGGGAAAGTTATTTCTATTCCATTTTGCTAATAATCTAGACTTCTGTCAGTGACTCAGATGTCATGTGGTGGTTACTTACCTTTTACGTGACTTTTAAATCCGGGGTAAGGGGTAAAAATCGCATCAGTTCTTGCACAACTATTTTCTAAGGAGAATTTAGATAAATATAAGTTTAAATATATTCTTCCCTTCAAATGTATGAGATTTTAATAAACTTTCAATAATTCATATTAACATTTTACTCATAATAATTTTAATAAATAATAGTAACAATAAATTACTATCACACATAGGATAGAATTTAGTGACCTTCTTTACCTGTCAAAATTTATCATAATATCTAATATTCTTACCTAATGTTCAGATTTATATACAGAAAAGCCATCAACATTAAGTGGCACAAATTGATACAATTTTGAAAACCAATGTCACTATTTGGGCCACTGGAGAAAATAATCTACCATAGAGTATTTAAATTCTACTTCATCGTAGAAATAAAACTCATCATTTTTACTAGAATTCTTTTAATTCAGCATTTTTTATTTTAATGACCAAATTAGTGAACATCCAACAAAAAGAATTATTTAACATTTTTATTTCAGAACTCCACACAAAGATGACCTCAAAACCTCAAGTACACATACATTTCCACTCTACCTAGATTTCCAGTGCTCATTTTAAAAACCCTTCATCACAAAAGTCATCTACTTCTTCTTATCCCACCACTTTTCAAAAAAGTTTCATTTTAGTAAAGGTCTATTGTGAAAATTTGTCCCTATTTTTTTCCAAGCTGAAAAGTAGTTTCTTTCAAATTAAGTATCAATGCATAAATTACAAAAGGGGAAAATTGGAAAGATGTTAACATATAATACAACTAATTAACATAATTGTTATATATTAACATACGATACTACATAGTAATAATATATACTTATGTTTGAAATAATGTTTAAAGGCCACACATTGGCAGTAAATCTCCTGTAAAATTCCCCTGAATATTTTGTAAAAAATGGCTGGTAAATGAGATTCTTTAAAAAAAATTATTTTTTCCCCCCTATGAAATTTGATTTTTAAAAATTCCACTGCTTATAGTTAGGTTAAATTTGTAGGTATTAAAAGGAACACACTAACATATTAAAATACATTTGTATTTTTTTCAGTTGAACTTTCCTTAGTAGTTCTGTTGATAAATCAAATAGTATGCATAAAATTCCAAATCCACTTAGCTTTTATATCTAGAGACTAAATAGACATCTTTCCTCCTTTTTTTTTTTTTTGGAGGCACCTCAAAATATGCTTAAAGGGCCATCCTTTCTCCATTCTCTTCCTACCATTTCATGGGGCTAAGGGTTAAAAAAAGAAGCTATCATCCATTCCAGAACTATATTCCAAACATATAGATTAACTGACCATCAGTGAGAAATTCAGCATGGTGTGAGTGTATGACTGCTAGTCACTCTCCACAGCAATTCTTGCTAGCACTGTTTTGAGCCAGCAAAGAATTGAATGGGCCAAGGAATCCTGCTGAGCATTTCAATTCTCGTCAATTTCTATCCCCTGGTGGTTTATAATAATAGAGTTAGCAGGGAGAACAGAGGAATAACATTAGTGACACATGTGCTTGCTCTCTCAACAAACCCTTTCTCATAGTCGCTTGTAGTTGGTTGTAGTACCTGAGATTTTGCCATTGTTGCACCTGTTCTGAAAAGCTAACAGGAAAATATACCAAATTTAGAGATGCACATGTGTAATGTTAATAGTAGCACACAGCTAAATTCAGGACCCAATACCAGCCTATATTATTTCATTAAGAGAATCAGTGTACCAATGTGATATGAGTCATTTCTAGGTTCATCTGACAATTCTATGTTCATAATAATTAGCCATGAGATATTAGAGGCAACAAGAAACATGTTCATTCCAATTATGAACTCTTCTCCATAATTTTTCCTAAGAACTACTTGTTCTGATTATTACTATGGTGCCTGAGTATAATCTATGGCACTGCATTGCAATATTTTGTATTCTGCAGCATACTTGCAGATTTGTAAATGTACTATAGCATCAAGTAGAGAGGTAAAGGTGAATCAGATGAAAAACAGCAAATGTATGCACTATGGCAGAAAGGAAAAAAGCAAGACACCATGGTCTTCATGATAAATTGGTTGTATCGTGACACAGGACATTTCAAACAGCTCAGGAGTAGTGAGAAAACTGCTCCCTCTGGAGGAATATTAACTTTACTAAGTTCACTTACGTATTAACATCATGATTTCACAGTACATGTATAGGTTTGAAATTCATAGAGCTCAGTTCCTTTTACTAGTGAGATAGATCAACCTTCTCACTCGTACCTCACCTTCATTTCCTAAAGGAACTTTAAAATAATCTTCACCTGTGATAAACACTTTTTAATGTTAGCATTTACTTTGTGTAACCAAAATGAAAACCAGTTTGCAATATAGTCTATTATTAAGCAGAAGGAAACTCTACTGTCTTAATTACTAACTAAATCCATGAAATAAATTGAATTGTGTTCTAAAAGCTATTCATTTAAAAAATAAATAAAAGATTAGAGCAACTATAAAAATTGTGCTTAAAACCCTATGAAAATTAATTTCCAGGTAGTTACCTTGATTACAATCAATAACATTGCAAAATTCCCTGACGTTGTTTTCATTGATTTCAGCTTGCTTTCTTTCAATAAATGCAGATATTCGTCTGTCAATCTACAAACAACAAGTTTTAACAGTGTAAACATAAGATTTTTTAAAATAATACCCTCTCGCCCCCGCCAAAAAACCTTCTTACTTCTGCTTTTCCAGCCTTTATCTGAACTACTTCTGGATCAAAATGGATCTGTGTCTTTTTCACATCTCTTAAATCACTTTCTTTGTGCTTTTCTTCCTCTTGTAGGTCGCCAATGGAAAATTTGTCATTTACTTCATTTTTGTTCCCCATTTCTGTTCTTCCTATCTCTTCAACAGCAGTTGTATTCTCCTCTTTAATCGGAGACTGAAGTTTTGCTAAAAAAGGCTGAGAACAACACAATTCCATCTGCTGAGGTTCAATCTGACCAAAATTAATTACACACTTAATATATTTACATAAATTTCTGCTAAGTAAATGAAATACTTAATATCAGTTAATAAATATAAAAAGTTGGTATACCAGGACACATAGATCTGACCACATATAAGTACTCACTATTCTCTGCTATTGTAACCATTATCATTTGCTATAAATTTGTTTTTTAAAAAAGGAGAGAGGAAAAAAGAAAAGAAAAAAGAAAAGAAAACCTAAGGAAATTTAAAATTTTCTTTGAGAGAATCATTCTGTCACTCATCTTTTATTTTGTGCCAAATCAAAGCCTTCAGCCTCTGGCACCAATGCCACTTAATTAACATGTCATTCAAATGCCTCCTCAGAACACTAAGGCTTAGTATTTTTCCTCCTTAACACGAGAGCTAGTGCTCTCACTCAGCAAAGCCCTGCATTATCACTGTATCACTGGAGATTCTCCACTTGAAACTGCAGTTGGCCAATGTGAATGAGGAAGCATAGACATGAAATATATAGGTGTTAGGCTGAGTGAACACTCAGACTTTTCCTGACATGGCAAGATATCTTTTGGTCATAAAATTAAATTTTAAAAAAGAAAACGAACAAGAAAAAAAAAAGATCTATAGCTGAAAACAGGCAGAGGCCTATCACTATACTACAGGGGGAAAACCCCTGTTGTAGAATTTAAACTATATTACTCATTTACTGTTCCCCTCCCCCACTCCCCACAATGAGGTCTCATTTGAGTTCTAGAGCTCACTGCTCTGCCCTTTAAAAACAGGGTTAACTATTACTTTTAACATGAAACAGTTAAAATTTCCCACAAAGTCAATGAATGGAGGGCTGAAAATTAATGCCTATTCCATTAGTCAAAACACACTAACACTAATAACGTTCCAATTATTTTTTTCATACCTACAATTTTGCTTCCATTGTTCGCTATACTACTCTTTTGAAATCTTATAACACCTTAATCACAGTAAACTGACCAATCCAGTTTTTCCACTTATCTTTTTGACACTTCACATTTTACACTTTGATTAGAGATAAACTGCAAACTTACATCAATTATAATTGCAAAGATGTTCAATTAGAAACCAGCAAGGTCATAATACTGTTCAGTTATTAACATGAAATATTTAAAAATATAACAACACTATTATAAATACCAATTCAATATTAACTTCTAATATAAAGAATGAATTATTTCAAACTGTTAAGGAAAAGAAATGATAAAATAGTGACTGGCTACTTACTAAGATGAGACATTAATGTCATAGAAATTACTTTCTTTTTAAAAACTATGCTGAAACTGTTTAATTGCAATAGACACTCCAGGATGTGTCATGCTGGGATAATGCCCCTTCTTGAACCACTGAAAGCACTCCATGAGCCTCCAAACTCACCCAAGGCATGGAATCATTATCATAGCATGACACACACCTGCCGTGTCTTATTGCTTAATTATAACCCACCATAGATGGAACTGTATTGAATTTTCAGTGCAGGTCTAGAATTGAATAGAATTGCATTCATTCACTCATACCCACATTGGTCTTTTGGGCTATATTCCCTTAACTGTCCTGATCACTACTGAAATTAACAGATTTAGATTAAATCCGGATGTAAATAACGTTTTATTAGCAACACTATTAATATAGTGTTTAGAACTGTCAAATACTCCAACTAACTTAACCACAATCAATTTCTATTTTCAATATCGGGTTATCATTTCTAACAAGAAATTTACCTGTAAATATAAAATGTGTTGTTCAAGTGCACTAAAGAGCAATGCAGGCTGGAATGCCGAGAGGCTCTGGAGCTTGTTCCAATCGATTGTAATTTTCACCACATCATCTCTGAGGTCAAGCTTCAAAGGGGCAAACCAGCAACATCACAAAAATTACACGATTAAGCTCTACATATGGAATTGTCACAAAAATAAGATTTCTAGAGTAACGGGTCTATTTTGCTCTAAGTTATCAAGTTTTTAATAATACACTGAAATGCTCTACCCAGTTACCATTTCAAAAGGCCAAGAAAGCTACAGATTTTCATAAAAAAACAAAAACAAAATGACATGTCGTTCAAATTCTATTCTTAGGTCTGTGTAATGGGACCATTTTAGAGGTAAAACCATTCATGAAAGATGAAAAGATGAAGGCTCTTTTGATACTTCAATATATACAAACCTTTGGATGGAGTCCAATATAGGCTTGCCCTATTCAGAATCCTACTACTTCTAGCTCAGAGCCTTAAACAGAGGAAGTACAAGTGTTTTGTGAAAGTTTTAACATGCATCTTTCTCTTTAAGTATGTACACAAATACATATCAGAAATATATCATTATTCTGATGTCCTCCAAATCACATTTTTAGTTTTTTAACTTTTAACCGATTTTTAAACTAATTTAAAAGTCAAGATTATTCATACATATAAAGTGTAGGGATAAATGGCAACATGTTTATTTCAAATAAAAAACTATTATTTAGCAATGGAAGTCTGAAGCTGAAAAACAAAGACTTCTCCACCACAGTGAAATAAGTTGTCAGACTGGATGAAATGTCCAGATCTTTTGTAAATGCTAAGATGTGACAGCTCATTATATGGAAATTTCTATCAGTTGGTGATCTAATAGAATAAAATCATATCCAGAAAACTACCAAGAACCTGAATATAAGATTATTATCAAAATGAGTGAAAATTTTACAATGAGAGCGCCCATCTGCAGTCTTTTGAATGAATAAAAGTGAACCATCAAAAACTTTTCTAGGGACATGTGTTTACAGCATAGTATAAGACTATACTTCATAGTAGAATCAAGTTAACATAATTTATTCAAAATGAGTCATCTTTTCTACAAAATAAAGGTGTTACGTGAGTTCAAATACAGATTTTATGAGTCACAATTATAATAAAAAAGATGAATCACTGTACAAAGATCAAAAAGATATAAGGTTACCAATAAAAAGATAATATATTGAATAAATACTATGTGACAGAAATTTACTGCCCTTTGAAGATGAGAATGGAAGCATTTAAAAGTCCATATTAGACAAGTATAAAGAGATATGAAATTTCATGTAGGCTGCACTGGCAAAGATTAGAATATATTAAGATTGTACATTAAAGTTAATGCATTAATTTATATTACTTTAATTCCTATAAAGATTTTGTTAGACAACAACCTGTATTATGTATGGAAGTAACCCATTAATGTACTTTCATAGTCTTCAAGGAGATCTATAGTTGATTATAGAAAACTTAAGAATACAGCTTGGGGATAAAGCAGGCAAATCCTCAACCAAAGCAAAGTATCACATTTTCTAGAGAAAATAACTTATAGAAAAATAAGTCTTAATGTTTGGTTCATATTCTCATTTCAATTCAGCAGAATTACATAAGCTTCAAGTGCAATTAAGAATAATTAGTCTTTTAAGAAAACCACATAATGTCACAAATTAATTTTAAAACTGTCCTAATACATCTAACTATTCATTCAACAAATTCATTATTAGTAATATGAACTCTATGCATTTTGCCCTACAGAACTTGGAAGAGTAAACCACTCACTCGAAAATCTCTATTAGTCTGCTATTAATATAGACTATTTAAATATATATTTTCAGTAAAAACTTTACTAAATTAATACAAAAATCCAAGCTAAAAATAAATAATTGTTTAGCTTGGTAAGATGGACCATCCAGAGGCAAGCAAAAAGGTTAAAATTAGTAAATTTTGTGATCTTAAGTAAAAAATTATTTTTAACATTCAGTTTTATGTTTCCTACTGAGGAGATCTAATAATACAACGATACTTAGGGATGACACAGGATGAAGTTAGGCATGTTACAACATACATTCTAAATATCCTTTAAAGTGGTTGCAAAAGAAAATACTGATTTCTCTGGGGGCAATTTTATAAGTATGGAACTCTAATTTTCACTCTTAACACTTCTCAAAATATAGAGTATTATGAAAACAGTTTGTATTTAATTGATGAAACAATCATATTTTTGACACTTGTATAGGAGGTCCCTTCACTGTGTCATGGTAAAGTAACCAAATATTTACTGTGAACATTTTTGACAGGTGACATAAGTAAATTGTAATCACTTCTTTACTTGTACAGTACTTGAATGTTTAAAATTTTCTAATGAGTTTGAAAAATTCAGTATGCAAAATATTTCAAAAGAAATGTTTAAATCATTGCTCAGTATTTTTTAAAAATATTCCATCTTCTGTTAACAGGTGAGAATAAACTTTTTTCATCTTGACATTATAAAATAAATAAACTTAAGTTCCAACGTCGCCATAAAAAGTTCTCTAACTTTTAAACCATTTAAACGTCTTGGGTCTTAAGAATGGAATGTTAATAACAAAACACCCCAAGTCTTTAAAAAATGTTTTTGGTAAGTACTTGGCAAACAACTGAATTTAAAAGTTATATCTTTAAGCAGACTCCATTAATAACTGCGTCATTTCATAAAACCGTTTAACTTACAGTAATGTTCTTTGTAAGACACAACATACTACGATTTTTAAAAATAGTAACTTCTTAAAAGACTGATTCTCCATCTACTCAAGGCTTTAAAAATAATTTTCACAAATCAGACAAATGTTCTATTTTCATAGGAATTTACCATTATCTTTGACACAAATGCCTGCTTTGTCCACTTGCGCTAGTACCAGCCCCAAAACAAACTTTTACGGCTAGAAAATGGTCTATGTAAGATAGAAAATATTTCCTTTTAAAAGGCAGGTAAACAAGCATACTTTTAAATTGTTTCTCATTTAAAACTTGAATTTTACACCATGAAACGAAACAGTGACTTGATCGAAGAAGCCCATTTCAATTTAAAACCAATTTTACTATGACATTTCTGCAAAAGCGATTTATCAGCCAGTTAAACTAGTTAATAGTTAAATAACGACAGTTCTAACGCCAACAGCATTTTACGCTAGAAGTATTTTAAATGAATTCCTTTTACTTTTCTCCCCATTTGAAAGGATTATAGATGCGCAAAACAGCCCGAAGGAAAAAAGAAATAAACAAAACCAAGTAACTCATAAGAACAAATTACTCCCTCCCCCACCAAAAAAAGCTAATAAGCGCGCGCTTTTCTATAAATCTCAGGCCTACTGACCAACCAATTCCCATAAAGAGTAAGTTGGAGGAAAAAGGACCCTGAACGCTAAGCGCCTCCTAAACTCGCAGTGAAGCTTTTCCACATTCATTCTCTCCAAGCCTGCCTCTCTCGGAGCCGGGTTTTCACTTAGGCCAACCTCACCCACTCTTGGGGAGGACAGCTGCAAGGTAAACGACTCTGCAACCGGTACCGCCGTCCTCCTCACTCCGACCGAGGAGGCTGGGCCCGGGCTCCTTCCACACCTCGGCTTCGGGACCGCATCCCACACCTCTGCAGGCCTAGCTGCCCCCGGCCTCTGCTAGAGAAAAAGAATGGCGAGGAGGGACCGGATGGTTTCCATATTCCCAGTCCCTCAGGCCACCTCTCACCTGTCCAACCAGGGTGTGTAGGGAGCGAAAGATTTCGTAGAGCACCTCTCGGGAGAGGTTGGGTCTGCATCTTCGCTCCAGGTTCCTGTCACCGCTGCTCGGGCGATTAAGCTCCGTGGCAGCAGCCATGATATCTTCTCAGGCCGCCCCACCACCACCACCACCAAGATTTGCTCACAACCCCGCCCCCTCCCTTCCAGCTTTAGTCGCTTGGCGATGACGTAAGACACGGAGTCTGGTTTAGATCGGGCTTTGAGGCCCCACCCTCTCTATGTGAATGACAAGCACGTTACACCAATCAGTTGCAGCTGTGACATTGCGCCGAGGCTCTGAAGTGGGTAATTGCAGACCACAGCTAGGCTGGAATGCTGTGTTTGGGGTGGTCATTAGAGTCGTGGTCTCTTTAGCGTTATGAAGCCTACCTTGACTCCTAGGTGTTCATTGTGAATCTTGGTAAGAGGAGACATAGTTAAATTTTGTAGTTTGAGTCCAAAAAGTAAAAGTTGACATTTTAACATGGCGGTGTGGAGTGGGTCTGGAGGAAGCTTGCTGGTCAGGGATGGAGTGGTGCCCACACGTGTTTCTAAACATTGGAAAACTCACACGGAATTATCATGATTGGATAGAACATTTTCATCTCTTCAAGTTTGTTGTTGTTGTTTTGGAGACAGAGTCTCACTCTGTCGCCCAGACTGGAGTGCAGTGGCACTACCTCGGCTCACTGCAACCTCCGCCTCCCAGGTTCAAGCGGTTCTCCTGCCTCAGCCTCCTGAGTAACTGGGACTACAGTTGATATTCTCTGTTTTAACTGTAGAGACGCTTAACCCTAAAATTGTTTCAAAGAAATGAAACACTGTCAATATAATTCCAACAGGAATTTAACCTGGATAAATAATATCATGCAACCACAATCTTTGAAATTAGGACATAAAACCGAATTCAAATTTTACAAAGTATTATTTATCATAATAGCTTTATTATAACGATGTTTGTGGGGTTTTGTAATCTTTTAGTCAGACTCCGATATTTTTAAAAAGTGTTATCCAATTAAAGTATTACAATAATTTTTAGTGTTAAGCTTTATTCAAAAACACTTTAAGAAATCAACATCAGCTTAGAGATAAGGAAGGTGGGATTTAAAACTCGTAATTCTGTTAATAGTCTAATGCATTTACAGTAGAGAAAGCAAAGGTGGAAACTTGCACAATGTGTATTCTTTAGTTTTAGGGTAGACTAAATTAAAGGGAAGGACTAATGCATCAAGGAACTAAGATAAGGACGATGGGGATAAAAACTCCTTTGACCTGTCCCTAGGGAGTCTCTTAATTAGGCTTTCATTTCCAAAGACAAATGGGATCACCAGGCTTGACAGAATCTTGGGAAATCTTTTCTGTTCCCTTGTTGGCAGCAAGATATACAACTGACATTCCAGCCTATTTCTACAGGCAGAAAAATACTTCACAATGTCCAGTCTCAAATTGAGCAACCTTCTTATTCAAGCATGGTAATGGGGTAACTGTAAGTTTTTGTTTTGTACCAAATTAGCAATCAGTTTCAGATCATTTGTTTTCATTGAGGTGTTTCATATTTTTTCAAATATGGAGAACACTGATATGCAACACATTTGGGAATATGCTTTGTATATTTAAAAAATGTTGTCTTTAACAAGGTGCTGCTATTCCTTTCTTTGCCATCATTGATTTTGAATTTTCAAGTTTTACTTGTTCTTTTGAGCCTCTAATACAGAATTAACTGATGGCCATTTGATCTGTGTATTGCTTCTCCATGTAATTCTGTGATTTGATATCCAGACCTGCACTTGTATCTTAGTATTCTTTACTTAGGTACAGGTTGAGCATTCCTAATCTGAAAATTCAAAATCCAAAATGATCCAAAATTTGAAACTTTTTGAGTGCCAGTACCACAAGTGGAAAATTTCACACCTGATCCGACATAACAGGTCACAGTTAAAATGTAGTCAAAACTTTGTTTCATGCACAGAATTATTTAAAACATTATATAAAATTACCTTCAAGTTATGTGTATAAAGTATACATGAAACATAAATGAATTTTGTGTTTAGATTTGGGTCCCATCCCCAAGATAGCTTATTATATATATGCAAATATTCCAAAATCTAAAAAAAATCCGAAATCTGAGACACTTCTGGTCCCAAGTAGTTCAGATAAGGGATACTCAACCAGTAGTACTTAAAATTTGTTAACTCTTTTGTGCATTCTTTCTTCTTTCTAAGGACCTTTCTTACTCTTCTTGATGCCTATTACCTTCATTTTGGAAATTTTTCTCATTTTCTTATTTTATAATAGAAAATTCTATTTTAAATAGAAGAGTTTGTAGCCTGAAAAGATTTGGATTCCTTTGGGCCAACTCAAAATAGAAATTTGTAGATATTGTATGTGTGTATGTATGTATAACAAAAGTATAATATGCGCTATGAAATTTAGAAAGGGAATAAAGGGAATAATTTGCTCTTTATGGAAAACTAATTACAGTTTATAAAGTGGGTTGCTGAAAAATCTGCTGCCTGGCAGAAATGATTCAAAGTGTTGGTGTTCGCGTTAGCAACAGAGTTAGAAATACTGTCCAGCAGGCTTATGCCAAGAATCAATTGGGAGGATAGAGACTATAAATGAAATCTAGGCTATTTACCTTATCAACAAAAATGTCTTTTATGGTGAGCTTTAATGGCATAACTCTATTGAATAACCCAGTTCCCAGCAAAATACCTGAGGTATTAGAAGGGCTCAACTGATGTTTGTTGCATATATGATAATACAGATTTTATTTCAATGCAGAAAAAGTAAAATAAATGGTATTTGTCGTCCCTGTCTCCCCATCACCTGCTGCATAAGTCCAAGTTCTTTAGAATGACATGAAGGCTCTTATGATGTGGCCTTTGCCTAAATTTCCAGCCTCATTTTCTGCCACAAACCATCTGGTGCTTAGTGCTTCTGAAACTGCTTTTATGTCTTCAACACTTTACTATTTCTTGCCTCCATGCTTTGATTTTTACCCAGTGCCTGTTGTCTGCTTGAGAAACTCCTTTTCCATTTTCAAACTCCAGTTAGAAAATCTTTGGGGAATCCCCCCTCATAAAGAGCTTATTTTCTCCTCTGCTAAACTACTCCTACAACTTGTATATACTTCTATTATTGTAGTTATCACAGTGATACTTGAATTTATTTGACTATATCTGTCTCCTTATTGAACTATAAGCATTTATATGTTGGTGTACATAAGGCTTAGCATAGTTTCTGGCACAGAGTTAATTGCTCAGTATATGCCTGTTGAGCTGAATTTATTTGCCTTCATAAGTGAACAGATTTATAAAATGGAAAAAAGTAAACAAGTGCCTATTGTTGAAGGAAAATTGTAACATATAGACTGCTATAAACAATTTATTTTAAATAACGAAACAAGTCTGTTTATTCTCTTTTGTGGCAGCAAATTCAAAGTGTTCTAAGTTTTCTTAAGGGAGTAAATATAGCTAGCCTTCATAACCATTCTCAATAATTTTACACATACAAATTAATTGTACCTACTATATACCAGGCACTCTAATTGACATTGAGCTACAAAGATGAATCAGACAAGGACTGTTCCTCAAAGAGCTCCCGTTCTAGTGGGATAGGTAGATATATAAACAAACAACTTCATATAATGTGACAATGGCCATATTAGAGGTATGTATAAAGTAATGCAGCCAATTAGTTCCTTTGGGGAGGGGGTTGGGTCCAGAATCAGGAAAAGCTATAAACACTTAAAGTAAAATCTGAATTGATATTGATAAAAATATGAATTTGATATCAAAATATGAATTGATAAATAAGAATTCTCAAGGAATTTATAGAAAACATGAACAGCAACTTGAACATGCTTAATATGTTTAGGGAGGATACATTAAATAGAGAAGTATGGCTAAGCAAGCATTTCCTAAAGTGTATTTTATGGAATGCTAGTCTATAATGTGCTAATTTTAGCAAAACAGTTCATGATCAAGTAAATTGGGATAATAATTGGCAAATTGTATTGCCATTTCATGCAATGGCTCACAACATTACTTCCTATTAGCAAGGAGTTTAGCAGTGCAGTCAAGCCCAAGGACATAACTAAACCAATCTCAAACTCCCATTTTTGAAGATTTACTTACTGGTATAAATAAATCTCATACCAATTTCTGTATCAGTTGAGGTTTAATCAGGAAACAGAAGCCATACATGTTATCTGAACAGAGAAAGTTTACTATAAACATTGTTAATTATGGTAAGTGGTTAATTAACTGAAAAGGTAATAAAACAAAGTATCACAGAGGTAGTACATTCAGGAAGCAGCTAATCTCTAGGGCTGGGGGAAACAAAAGAAAGAGGAATTATTAAAATTGTGGAATTTAGAAGAACAGCCCTGTGGAGTCCCTCAGAGAAGAGGGTGTTGCTCTGCTACAGATGGTTGGGCACCATAAGAGATGATTTGGGAAATATTGAACACTGCAAATGAGCATCTAAGCACTGAAGGACATTATTCAGTCTGAGGTACCTGTAATTGAAATCGTAAAAGGAGACTAGAGAGAGAATAGGGCAAAGAGATATTTCAAGAGATGATGACGCTAGTTTCCAAAAATAGTGAAGGACATCAAACCACAGATCCAAGAAGTTTGGAGAACCTCAATATTAGTTACATACTACTGTCCAACAAATCACCTCAAAATTTAGTGGCTTAAAACAACATTTCTTATCTCATAGTTTCTGTGGGTCAGAAATTCAGGAGTGGCTTTGCTTGGTGTTCTATCACCCACTCTGAAAAAAAACCCAGCAAGACGTAAGCCACACCTTTTAGGACCTAGTCTCTCAAGTTACACATTGTTGGAATTTATTTGTTGGAAGCAAGTAGTTGTGTCTGGCTGACACTCAAGGGAAGGGAAGTTAGACTTCACATCTCCATTTCAGAAATGAAAGAGAAATAAAGATTTTTAAAAGAAAACAAAACTAATATAATTTATTGCCAGTAGAACTGCCCTATAAGAAATGTTAAAGGAAGTTCTTCAGGCAAAAGGGGTGTGATACGAGGAAGAAACCTGTATCTATATGATGAAACAAAAATCTTAAGAAATGGTTATGATAAAGTGACACATGAGATATTTATTTTTATTTTTATTTGCCATCAAGATAATTCACTGTCTAAAGCAAATATAGTGGCAAATTATTGTGGATTTATAGAATATATAAAGAAATGTATGACACCATAGCACACAAATTGGGAGGGAGGAATTGTAAGTACACAGTTGTAAGTTTTCTACAATATAGCAATATAATATTAATTGAAGGTAGTCTAATAAAGATATATGTTGTAAGACCTAGAATAACTAAAAATATTTTAAGAGGTATAAATTATAAATTAATAATGGAGAATCGTAAAAAATAGTTTATTGAAAAAGTCATGAAAAGAGAAACAGAAGAAGAGATGGGACAAATAGAAAAAGAAGTAGATTTTAATCCAGCCATATCAGTAGTTATATTAAATGTAAATGATCTAAACGGAGATTGCACATTGCATTAAAATTAAGATTATGCTGACTAAAGGAAACCCACTTTAAATATAAAGACAGAGGTTAGTTAAAAGTACTATAAAAAGATAGAAAAAGATATGCTATGCAAACATCAGTAACAATAAAGCTGTAAACATTTTAATATTAGACAATATAGTTGCCGGAAGAGCATGATGTAATCTTAGAGAGTTAATTCCCCAAAGGAGACTTAATACTAAATGTGCATTAACAACAGATCTTCAAAATACTTGAAACAAAAACTGATAGAACTGAAAGAGGAGAAATAATCTACATATATACTTGGAGACTTTAACACGCCTCTGTCAGTAATTGGTAGAAACAGTAGAAATACGGTATGTGAATTACTAATTTTAGTGGACTAAACCAACTAAAAGAAAATAAATTCAAGGGGAAAAGGCACTTTTAAAATTTCTTTTCTCATTTTATTATAGTTATTATATATAGTTATTATATAGAAATACTTCTATAGTAGAAGTTCAATTTGAATCTTAATTGTGTCTTCCATTTCTCGCCTCATTATTATCATGTTTTCTCATATTTTCTTGAACATATAGAGCATATTTATATCAGGTATTTTAATATCTTTCTTTGTTAGTTACATTATCTCTTTTTTCTGGATCTATGTCTATTGAATGTTTTTCTTACACCTTCACACATGCTTAGCCTTCCCCATATATCAATATTCCCCTACCAAAATGGTAAATTTGTTACAATTGATCAACCTACATTGACATATCATGATCACCCAAAGCCCATTTTTACATTAGGGTTCACTCTTGGCATTGTACATTCTATGAATTTGGACAAATGTATAATGATATTCGTCTATTGTTATACTATCATAAAGACAATTTTCACTGCCCTGAAAATCCTCTGTGCTCTGCCTATTCATTTCTCTCTCTTTCCCATGTGGAGCTTTAAAAAAAAAAAAGTTTTGCTGTCAGGAGTACATGTGCAGGTTTGTTATATAGGTAAACCTGTTTCATGGGGGTTTACTGTACAGATTATTTCATCACCCAGGTATTAAGCCTAATACCTATTATTGTTCTTAATCCTCTCCCTCCTCTCACCCTCCTCCCTCCAGCAGACCCTGGTGTCTGTTGTTTCCCTCTATGTGTCCATATGTTCTCATCATTTAGTTCCCACTTGTAAGTGAGAACATGTGGTATTTGATTTTCTGTTCCTGCATTGGTTTGCTAGGGATAATGCCCTCCAGCTCCATCCATGTTCCTGCAAAGGACATGATCTTGTTCTTTTTATGACTGCATAGTACTCCATGGTGTATATGTACCACATTTTCTTTATCGAGTCTACCATTTATGGCTATTTAGGTTAATTCCACATCTTTGCTGTTGTGAATAGTACTGCAGTGAACATAAGCATGCATGTGTCTTTATGACAGGACAATATATATATTCCCTTGGATATATACCCAGTAATGGGATTGCTAGGTAGAACAGCAGTTCTGTTTTTAGGTCTTCAAGGAATTGCGACACCGTTTTCCACAATGGTTGAACTAATTTACTCTCCCAACAACAGTGTATAAGCAAGCATTCCTTTTTCTCTACGATCTCATCAGCACCTGTTATTTTTTGACGTTTTAGTAATAGTCATTCTGACTTGTGTGAGATGGTATCTCATTGTGGTTTTGATCTGCATTTCTCTAATCGGTGATGTTGAGCTTTTATTCATAAGCTTGTTAGCCACATGTACGTCTTTTTTTGAAAAGTGTCTGTTCATGTCCTTTGCCCACTTTTTAATAGGTTGTTTTCTTGTAAATTTGTTTAAGTTCCTTATAGATGCTGGATATTAGACCTTTGCCAGATGCATAGTTTTAAAAAATTTTCTCCCATTCTGTAGATTGTCTGTTCACTCTGTTGATAGTTTCCTTTGCTGTGCAGAAGCTTAGTTTAGATAGATCCCATTTGTCGATTTTTGCATTTGCTGCAATCGCTTTTGGCATTTTTGTCATGGAATCTTTGTCCATTCCTATGTCCAGAATGGTATTGCCTAGGTTCTCTTCCAGGCTTTTTATAGTTTTTGGGTCTTACATTTAAGTCTTTAATCCATCTTCAGTTGATTCTTCTACCATATGGAGCTTTTTAAAATTAAATTTGCTCAGTATGAGACAAACTTTTAAAATAGGAAGATGAAGTCTTTTTTTTAATTTCTGGGAAATTGTTAGTTGTTCTTACTTAAGATATGCCTTCTGATCATTCTCTCTGTTCTTTCTTTTTGAAAAGATTTATCCTAAATGTCTTATAATATTTCTTTTATATTTCACGTCTTTTTATTTGTTGGTGCTGGGAGCTTTCCTCAGTTCCATTTTCTGGCTCACTAATTTGTTTTACATCTGTATTTAGTTTTCTATTTAGCCCATCTTTTGAGTTTTTTAAAATTTCAAATAGAGTTTTATTTGTAGGATGTCTAATTGGTTATTTTTCTTATCATTCCTGTTTTATTCTATTTTTGCCTGCTTGTCGATTTCCTCCTTTGTGTCTTTCTGAAGATATTAAAATTATTCATTTAAAAATTCTTTTCACTCTGTTACCTTTAGCCTGGAGTAAATTCTTCTGTTTACTAAATGTATTTGTTTTTTCGTGATATTGGTCTTCCATTTTTTTTAACTGGACTTTTTGTATGTTTGATTGCTGATACACTTTGATTTTACTGGGTTATTTATTTATTTTTAGAGACAGGGTCTTGCTCTACAACCCAGGCCGGATTTCAGTGATGCATCCATAGCTCATTGTAACCTCAAACTCCTGAGTTTAAGTGATCCTCCTGCCTCAGAACCTAAGCACCTGGGACTACAGGCATGTGCCACCATACCAGGCTAATATATATATATATATATATTTTTTTATTTTTTTATTTTTTTATTTTTTGTAGAGACTGTGTCTTTCCTACGTTGCTCAGGCTGCTCTTGAACTCTACCCTCCGAAAGTACTGGGATTACAGGCATGATCCACAGGACCCAGCCCTAGATCTTCTATTTTTGATTGTGAAATAACCTCTGATTGTGAAGACACCTGCTTTAAGAGCTTTTTTCCCAAAAGAATTGTGAAAACCCAGTTGTCTCTCAGGGGATTTAGCCCCATCTTGCATGAGAAAAAGGTGGAGGTATATTGTCAGACTTTGGACACGTGGACTTCTTCCAGTATTGGAGATTTAGTTTCAGCTTCTCTTACAGTTAGGTGCTGGTATATGACTGAGTTTTGACCAATGAAATGTGAGCAGAAGTGATGTGCACCTTTTCCAGACTTGGCTCCTAAAACCTGCTGCATGGTTCTCTGTGTTCTATCTCTTCCCTGTCTGCTGACAAGATGTAGAGAATCCAGGACAGGATTTTGAGGTGTAAGGAATGCCACAGCCACAAGTTTAGGAGTTTCCGTTCTAGGATCCACAGACCCCCTAAACAATTTACAGATAGAAATTAGGGAGTTCATAAACTTGATTATGGAAGAAAAATCACATATTTATTTTCACTATCTTTTATCTGAAATTTAGCATTATCTTCAGTCATGATTGAAGGCAAAAAAACTACCAAATTAGTACCTGTGACTTTGATATCAACAGAATTCACAGATTTTTCTTTAATCACAGGATAGTTGTAGATCATTTGCATTCATGACTTCTTTGAAATTATTATAATTACTAGATTCATTTCTGGATTTTATTTCAATACCTTAGTAAAGAAGCATCTATTGCTATTTTGTTATTTTGATAACTGTATTTCAATATGATTGTTTTCATTTGTAATTCTAAGTGTTTTGTTTATTATAATCTTATGTATCTTATTTGTAATCTTATTTATTGTCTGCATTTTACTTATACTTTAAAAAAAAATCATTCTGAGAACAAGTCCAAAGCATTCACCAGACTCCCAAGGGGCCCATAGCACTCAGGTTGACCTGTGATGTGAACAAAAAATAAATCTTTGTTGGTAGAGCATCTGAGATATTAGGGTTGTTTGTTATAGCAGTTAATGATGAATAATACCGTCTAACTGTAGTGGATTGAATTATGGCCCCTAAAAGAGATGTGTACCCAGAACCTCAGAATGTGACCTTATTTTAAATAAGGGTCTTTGTAGATCTAATTGAGGTAAAGATCTCAAGATGAGATCATTCTAGATTAGGGCAAGTCTTAAATGCAATGACAAGTATCTTTATAAGGAACAGAAAAGAAGGAGACAGCGAGAGAGAAGGTCCTGTGAGCATGGAAGCAGAGGTTGAAGATATGCAGCGACAAACCAAGGAATGCCAAGGATTGACAATGGCTTAGGAAAAAGGCATGGAACGATTTCTCTTTCATAATCTCCAGAAGGAACCAACCCTGCTGACAACTTGACTTTGCACTTCTTTCCTCCACAACTGTGAGATAATAAATGTATGTTGTTTTAAGCTACCAGTTTGTGATAACTTGTTACAGCAGACCTAGGAAACTAATACACTAACCGTTTTTTTCAACATAGCATCTCAGTATCATTCTTCTATACGTAAGTATCTACCTTTGCTTTATCTATTCTGTTTATTTTTCCTGTCTCTTCTTTTGCTAATTCTAACACTTAATAGCAGTATGGTTTTAAGTAAGTTAGATCAGGGCTCCTCAACCCCTGGGTTGTGAACAAGTACTGGTCTGTGACCTGTTAGGAACCGGGCCGCAGAGAAGGGGGTGAGCGGTGGGTGAGTGTGCATTGCCCCCTGAGCTTCACCTCCTGTCAGATCAGCAGCGTTCATTACTTATAGGAGTGTGAATCCTACTGTGAACCATGCATGTGAGGGATCTAGGTTGCGCTCTCCTTACGAGAATCTAATACTCAATGATCCAAGGTGGAACAATTTCATCCTGAAACCATCCCCTACTTCCCTCATCCCCTGACAACCCCAGGCCATGGAAAAACTGTCTTCCATAAAACTGGTCCCTGGTGCCAAAAAGGTTGGGGACTGCTTAGTTAGATAACCTCTCTGTGCCTGTTTCCTTATCTGTAAAATGAGAATAACTATAGTCCGAATTTATATGATTGTGTAAGGAGTAAATTTTTTTAATGCATGTGAAGTGCTTAGAGATCATGGCACTTAGTAAGCAATGTTAGTTATTGTTACTTTTTACATTTTATTTATTTTTTATATATTTTTATTTTTTATTTTATTTTACATTTCAGGATACATGTGCGGAATGTGCAGGTTTGTTACATAGGTATACATGTGCCATGGTGGTTTACTGCACCTATCAACCCGTCATCTAGGTTTTAAGCCCTGCATGCATTAGGTATTTGTCCTAATGCTCTCCCCCTTGCCCTCCACTCCCTGTGTTGTTTCCCTCCCTGTGTCCATGTATTCTCATTGTTCAACTCCCATTTATGAGTGAGAACATGCTGTGTTTGATTTTCTGTTCCTGTGTTAGATTGCTGAGAATGATGGCTTCCAGCTTCATCCATGTCCCCACAAAGGACATGATCTCATTCTTTTTTATGGTTGCATAGTATTCCATGGTGTATATGTGCCACATTTTCTTTATCCAACTGTTACTTTTAAATTATAGTGTTTTTCAGCATACAACATTAAATGCTTTGCACAAAAGTCACCAATAAAAGCTATGACTTTTTGTTTCCTTTCTGGAGAACTTAAGATATATGTGACTAATCATAATTAAGGTTAGGGAAAGAATTTTCTGTTAGAAGAGTAAAATATGTTGGTAATTAGACCAGCAATCACAAGTTAATGTGGCAGGGAGTAGCAATTGAAGTCATATCTGATGAGGGTTGCTTTATGGGATTAGTAATCTTTCTAGGTAGATGAAGAAAGGATTTGTACAGGTTAAGCATGGTATGTATATTCAGAGCAAAAGATACCTGGAGTCAAGCAAAATAGCAGCAGAAACTGACAATGAATTAATCACAGAGTTCACTAGGTAGAATGTGTTGAATGATGTTCAGCTTTCAAGGCAAAGGCCATCCTGGAAAAATCTTGCCTGGAATATTAAGAATGGTGGAGCATATGTAAAGGGAGTGTGCTCATTATAGAATGTGGTTAGTGTGACAGTGGTAAGGCTGTGGTGAGGGTAGGCTTGCTATATCAGCAAAAGAACATAGGGCAAAGTCACCCCCCTAAATCTTGGAGCTACAACTTGTTTCTGTGATCATGCTAGTCCTAGTGATGAACAAAAGTCACCTGACAGGTCCTTCAAATGCATACCAAATCACTGTGGTAATCCTGGGGAATAATAACAATAAAGTAACATTTATTAAGCACCAACCATGTGCCTAGTTTATTCAGCCCTAACCCTGTCTGTGCATGATCTAATACATGTAAATGACCATATGGAGGAGAGGTCCTGCTTTCAGGTAGTAAAAGTGATATTTTCTCTGCCCTGCTGTTTTCTCTCCTGAAGCCATTGCCCAAGGATTTAGATATGACAGAGAATATACAGAAGGCATTTGAGTTCCCGTGAATAGTTTGATATGAGAACTCTATGTTGCCAACATGGTACTTTACCCTTGTCTAGATGTTACTATAGAAGTTGCCCCCTTTGCCTACATTCAGGAACAGGCTCAGTTTCAGACCTGGTAGTTCTCTTCCTATTGATTTTTCCTAGCCAGTAACTTTCTGGTACAGGTAAATGTCACCTTAATACAGTCCCCACTTGCCACAAGTCGTACTATAAAACAACGCAGTACATAATGGGTATCTTTACTCCTACTAGGTACATTTTCATGTCCTTTTTTTTCTCCTAAATATAGCCTCAAAACTCAACATGCTTTATCTTTTACCCACCAGACCCGTGATTGTCTCTCATTCCTGCAACTCCTAATGGTGCACATCAGTGAGGGCAGAGCACTGGCACCAAGGGACTGACTAGCAGTTCATTAAGAGGGTAGATTGATTTTCCTCTAAATGTGTATGTTATCTTTGATTTACCTTTGCATATTTGAATCTGCAGATTACTTAAGTATGTACATTTTAATTTTCACATTTTTATGCACATCCTTTTTATGGTATAAAAAATTCATGTTTTAAAAGATGAATTTGAGAACATCTTATGTGGATATGACATTGAAATTTTTAAAAATACTTATTTTCAAGTTCACTGGCTTAACCATTCTATGATTTTTTTTTTTTTTGTCTCAGGCCATCGTTTGTTAGTAAAATACATTAGCTTCTATCTACTGGTAATGCCATTAATAAACCGTGGACGTCATACATTTAGTTTCTCAGCTTAGCCCAGACAAGCATAGCCTGTGGCATTTTTGAAATAACTGCTGGTGCCATTCCAACCCGATCTTCAGGCATCCTCCTATACACTCATTATCTCAAAATATATTTGCAAGTGTAGCTTGACTGAACTACTTGTGCCTGCCTGCTTGCTTGCTCTCTCTCTCTCTCTTTCTCTCTCTTTCATTGTTACTGTCTTTGGGGCTTTCTTTCTGCTGTGCCCTGAAGTCTTGAATGTTCTACTTTCTTCCAATCCAAGACTTCAGTCTTTTTAAAGGTTATCTCAAGGTCCATATATGACAAGAAACTAATTCTTACAGGCCTTTGCAATGTACCAAATAAATTATTATTTATATTGTCTGTTTTGTCATGTCAGATTGCTGTATCTATAATATAGCAGTTATATAGATTATATAGCAATTATATAGAACAAGACAGAATATAAATGAATATAATGCATTTCATGCTCTACTTTACGTTTGACTTGTTTCCTTTCTAAATACTTCACATTTGAAAGTCTTCTAAAAGACAGTGGTGTTTAAGGACTTTAGAATTAGAGTCCTGGCTCTTGCATTAACTTCCCATGTGACTTTAGGAAGTTTACCTAGCCTCTTTAAGGGGCGGTTTCCCCATTATTTGGGTTGGAGCAATAAGACCTGCCTCACGGGGATGTTTTAAGGATTCAATGAGACGTGTGTATAATGGCAGGCAATTAAGTAAATAACTAATTGTTATTATTATTTCTCTAAAAGATTGTAGGCTTATAAGATCAGGGATCATATCATTTTTTTCAGTTGTTCTTTTTCCATGGTGATTAGCCCAGTGTTACAGAAAAAAAATAACTTGTATAATAGACAGATATTGAGTAAGGACAAACAATTTTCATGGCTTTCTATATTTTATTCAGTTTTTAAAGACAGATTTATTTCTAATTGCTTATCTTTTTAGTGCTCCCCTTGTCTCAATTGTTTATTTTTAATAAAAATTTTATATATCCATTTATCTCACTTTTATCCAGCCATCTTTTCCCCTTCCCAACCCAGACTTCTATACTCCATAATGCATTTGCTGGTCAGTTTCTTCCCTGGTTTGTGTGGGAATAATTTTACGTCATAGCATTGTGAATATGAAAATTAGATAACATAAAAAACTTCTCAGCATAGTGATTGGCACATATAATAAGCCTACTATTTTTATCCCTTTTTTCAAGACATTTGATTATTTTCCTTTCTTTGATCCACATTTATTTATTTATTTATTTGAGAAAGAGTCTCGCTCTGTTGCCCAGGCTGGAGTGCAGTGGCATATTCTCAGCTCAGTGTAACTTCTCCCTCCCAGGTTCAAGTGACTCCTGCCTCACTTCCCAAGTAGATGGGATTATAGGCACCTGCCACCACGCCTAACTAATTTTTGTATTTTTAGTAGAGAGGGGGTTTTCACCATGTTGGCCAGGCTGGTCTTGAACTCCTGACCTCAAGTGATCCCCCCGCCTCAGCCTCCCAAAGAGCTGGGATTACAGCCATGAGCCACCGCACCCAGCTGTTTTTTAATTTTTATTTTTTGAGATAGAGTCTTGCTGTGTCACCCTGGCTGGAGTGCAGTAGCATAATCTCAGCTCACTACAATTTCTGCCTCCCAGCTTCAAGTGTTTCTGGAGCCTCAGCCTCCCAAGTAGCTGGGATTACGGTACACGACCCCACGCCTGGCTAATTTTTATAATTTTAGTAGAGACGGGGTTTCACCATGTTGGCCAGGCTGGTCTCGAACTCCTAAGCTCAAGTGATCTGCTCGCCTCAGCCTCCCAAAGTGCTGGGATTACAGGTATGAGCCACCGTGCCTGGCCTCGATCCTCATTTATATTCCCATTCTTACTCTTCTATTTTCAGCCATCTATTCTTTTAAAAAGAAAGAAAAGAAAATAAAAGTATACTCAATAAGTCATGCTCCTTCTGCCAATTGTTCTCCCCTTTCATTTTTAATAGTCTCTAAGTATAGATTCTACAACAACCCTCAAGATCAGAAAGTGTCTTTTTGTATACCTCTTGGTTAACTAGCGGAAGTTCTTCTGAATATTCTATATACATGTATTTAAGGGAAGGCTAAACTTACTTCCTGCATCAGTAAGTTGGCTCACCACTCCTAGTTGTTGAGGTGATTATCTTCTTTTTTCTCAATCATGTCATTATCTTTAGTGAGTTACTCTGCCAAGTAAATAATGAGTTCTCCATTAAGTTGGTTGCTATCATTATTATTACCATATTCATCTTTAGTTCTAATGTTCAGATTTTACAGTTTCTTAAAATTCTTCAGTGCTTAAATTTACTATTTATAATTCTATTTTAAAATAATAAAATCATAGTACTTATTATAGTTTAAGCATTGTATTTTATTATGTCATAAATCATGCAGAAGAGTGCATGCACAGGAAAGCCACAAAAACAATGGGAAAACAACATATGGAGAAAGATTTAAGAAAAAAATATTATTTTGAAAAGAGAATGATATAAATATTGATGATATTCTTTAAATATATTTTTATACCAAGATAGCACTAGATGTTTTATTTACTGGATAACATAATGAGAAGAGATAATGCAAACTGTGATTTGAGGGCTCCTGTCTTTAAGAGAAATGGAAGGAAAATTTTCTATAGATTTTTAAGGGAGGCAAAAATAAAATTATTCTCATTGGTGATAAGATTGGCTACATAAAATAAAAACTTGTCTGATTCTGTGGTTGATTCTACTATTTGCTAAATGTAATCTTGTAATTTAAGAAAATATTCTGAAATACAAAAACTTTTTAGCATAATTATATGCACAATATCTTTCTATTTATGCATGTTTAAAAACTAGAAATATGCAGTTATTCAAATGATATGTGAACAAAGTGGGAAAATGCTTGTTATGCTGTCAAAAGAAAAAGATAAATAATAAACTATACATAGACTGTTAACTAAAATATAGTAAGAGTGCATTAAAAAGACTGAAGAAATTCACCAAAGTATTGTGATTGGTTTAGAATGAACTTTTTCTTTATGTTTCCCCATATTTTAACTTTCCATAATGACTATGAATTGCTTGAATAATCAAGGAAATGGAAAACAATCAATGGGCAAATATTAGCTGCATGACAACTTATTAGTTGTTTAGATCCATTGCGATAGAGTATGTAAAAGCATGTTGTAAACTATAAACTGAAATAGGTAAATTTTTGTTATTATCAATAACTGAAGGGTAATACAGTTTATATTTTGAACTTTTTTAACGGGAGCTCTCTTTTCAGTCAATTTAATCTCATTTATTTTTGTCAATACAAATGGGTTTCCAAAACACTTGGAAAATCTCCCTGAAGAAAATAAACTGTACTATCTGCTTTGTTATTGTTTTCCCTCTCAGCTGGCTTTACCTCCTATCCTTACACCCAAACAGCAGCATCATCTCCCTCACAAAGAAAAAAGGCAAAACTATTGAGATTTCAAGTATAGTTTTACAGCAACTTTCTTGAAAAGGTAAGTTAGTTAAATCATGGGCAAAGAAAATACTAAAATTTATACGAACAAATGTGTGCCTATTAAGCAACACATTAACTGCAAGCAATTTCATATGTAAATTACCTATAATTTGAATGCAATTTTCTAAATTTTTTTAATGTGAGTAGTTCCAGAAGTTCTTTGGTGTTTAATAACATGTGCTATTATTAAGACAGTTGTTAAAGTGCAGATGTTTTGTTCAGTGCCTGACCCTTTCAGTACACTGTCTAAGAGAATGTTGTTACTTAGAACTGAAGCCAACTATCTTGGGCCTTTAGGCTTTCTTTCTCCTCAACATTAATTATATGTCTGATGCTTTGGTAGGCAATGGAGATTCAACTGTGAACAAGTCAGATACAGCCCTACTCTTGGGTTGTGCAAAGTCTAGTCACACAAATATTCAAGTGTCTAGTGTGAGTCTGGCCCTGTCCTGGGAATGTTAAAGGAAAAGATACTCCATATGCTTGAAGAGCTTCTGAGTTCTTATCCTCTTGAGTGGTATTTTCCTGAGAACTTCACAGCAACTTACATTTACCCACCTACCTAGTTTTCTAAGAGAGGGGAATTGAGAACAGAGTCAGTCAGCTTCTTTTCATTTAAAACTAGGAATCCATTTAAACTGAGGAAAATCCAGGTTTCATAAAATTGGTTAAAATAAAAGATACTAACTCTGCCATAAAGAGTTTTAGAATTGTGCTATATTCAATCATATCATTTTTGAATAAGCTAATGCCATATTGCCATATGTTCTTACAGTCATTTCAAATATGCAGACACATGGAATATGTAAATTCCAGGTAGATAAGGAACAGCATACATAAAAATCATAGTAGCTAAATCAGTGGAGGCTGTTCTTTAATTTTTATAGATTTAATGTCCTCTAAAAGGGTCTCATTTATTCAAAAAGGGAATTTATAGGGTTTGTTGTATGGAATTTCCAAAATCTCACGATGGAAGAAGTAAATATTACTTATTACTTTAATATTTTTATAATACCTTGCATTTAACATTTATATACTTTTACAAAAGTTCAGGGTAGGAGTTTATCATGAAAAGGCACTTCTGTGGACATCCTGATAAAGAATTCTACAACAGGTTTACTAATAGTACAGCTATTTCAGAAGTCATGTTGAAATGCAATTTAGAACAGTTTAGAAGACAGTAATTCATTTTTTGTGGGTTAAGAATATGGGGGAAATATCACGTAACATCAAGCTATTTGAGGGAGAGAGGGCTTGCCTTTAGCAAAATGTAAAACTCCACTTTGCATTTATTAAATCCCTATCTTTTGTCCAGGCCAATTCTCACCTTCCACCACCACCCTACCTATGTGTTTCCCCTGATCTTTTTCCTGTACGATAGAGAATTTTGTTAAAATAGTATTCTTGGAGAAAGTCATACCACCATATGTACCCTGGCCTACTACAAAAATCAATCTCTCCTATTCCAACTGGGTTCTCGTTGCTGCTAGGCTATCTTGATATTGATCTCCCATTTATTCCCCAGCACACTTCCCTTCGCTGATACTTCAGGTCTCTCGTTGCTCACACATCTAATTCACTACTTACCCTTTCCATTCTCAGCAGATAATAACCATCCTACTTTACTGAGAAATTCACAGATAACTAGTGTGTGCTTTCTCATTTCTGTTATCTCTACCTTAAAGCAGCAAATGTTTATTGAGTGTCAACCATATCCTAGGCAATGGTATGTCAATAGTGATGTAGCTGATTGATTTTTGTATCCATCACACCCAGAACAGTTCCTGGCACACAGTAGGTGTTCAATAAATGTTAAAATGAAAGTACCTATGAATGAAAAAATAGATCTAGTGGCTGAGATGCTTTAGCTAGAGGAGAGGGAAAGTAAGGAAACCCACAATAGGTATTGTGACCTCCTCAGATGTTCTTTCATGGTAAAGTAGGATTGTTGCTCTCTCAAAGGAAGAAGTGTTTTTTATTCCCAAGACTAAACTCATACCATCCCTTTGTGCTTCCTCTTTGAACTTGATTTGTATCTCCCAAAGGAGGACATCTTCACTGTACCTGAACACATAAACTCATATGCTCACATGCTATCCACCACCAGCTTCAACAACTAAAACTCTACCATGCCTTGTTGACTGGAAACATCCTATTTTCATACTTCTATTTTGCATAAGTCATTTGCAGTTTCTACAGTATACTCATTTCCTTGCCATCCATATTGTCCCCCTGCATTTTTACTTCTGTTTTATTACTCCTATTTAAAATAGGTAAAATCTCACCTATTTTTTCTAAGACTCAGCTTGAGACTCACCCTTTCCACCAGGCTTTCTCTGGCCCCCTCATAACTGGAAGCTTCCTTGAGAGAGCCAGCATTGTCTGTGCTATTCCTATGACATATATCGTTACCTCCTGTCTTAGTTGTTTTGTGTTGCTATAACAGAATACCTCAGGCTGGGTAATTTATAAGGAAAAATTTATCTGGCTTATGGTTCTGGAGGCTGGTACTGGCATCTGCTCAGCATCTGGTGAGGGGTTGCTGTGTCATCCCATGGTGGAAGGTAGAAGGGCACAGAGTGTGAGAGCAAGAGCAGGAAGGGGTCCAAACTCATCTGTTTTATTAATATAAGGAATCCACTCCTGTGATAACTAACCCACTCCTGTGATAATGCGTCATCACTACTTAAAGGTCCCATGTCTTAATACTGTCACAATGGCAATTAAAATTTAACGAGTTTTGGAGGGGACATTCAAACCATAGCATCTGTTTTCTATTTCTATGCAATATCATGGGTTTCATTTCCCTAACATAATCAGGGTTCAATAAATATTGGTTGAATGAGCATTGATAAACTGAATACCTTAAATGGGAATGGCAAAATAAAAAAATGATTAAAGTTTTACAATGTACTTTTTTTGTGTAATAACTCCAACAAACAATTTTTAATGCCATTTCTTTTCATGTCTTGTCACTCAAATGAATGAAGTTTTCAGAAATTTGTCTAGTTTCAGTCTTAGCTAGCAAGACATTGTTAGAAATGGTGGTAGTGATATCTTAGTTCCTTCCTTCTATTGTGGGAAGAAACTAATGTCTAATATAATATGTGTTACAAAAGACTCAATTTATCCAATAAAACTTCAAGACAATTTCAAAGGACCTCTGACAGACTGATTTCTGAACCAATTCCAAGATGTATTACTTAAGACTACAAATGAGGATTTCTGGTTTGCTTTCAAATGGTTCTGATGTTCCTCATTTTGTTATGTTTTTCAGTTGGTGCTGGTATCGCTGTACCTCTCAAATAGCTTCCCCATTTTGACTAAGAATGAAGAACTTCTTGGACAAAGAACTTGTAAAAATCAGGTACAATAATAAAGTTGTGAATGGTTCTTGGAATTTGCTAAAATGAAATGCTGCATCTAAGTGCAATGTAAGTGCAACGTCTTAGCCATGTAAGATCATTATCATAAAGTAATCATCGTGATTAAAAAAAACTCTAATTGAATCATTATTCTTTCCAAAAGATCAGAATTCTAAGAATACTTCTCAGAAGCTCTCAAGTTTAATATGGAGCAGGAAATATTGCAATGAGTCCTCAGGAGTGAGAAATTTTAAAAATTAAAAAAAAAACCAGTTGTGCCATTCTTTCATTATGCTTTTTAATCATTTCATTATTCATAACTATACAGTACTTACATGTGGTGAAGAATGTAGTCATAGGGGAATGTATTTGTCAGCATACTGATATGTAAAAGAGAATAAAAGTAAAAACAAAATAAGAATACTCAGTGGGTTCTCATATTTCATATTTGAAACTTCAGATATATGTTCCTTTTTTGAAACACATGAAAACATTTATATATTTATGCTATAAACAGGTAAAAACAACTCTTAAATAGATCAGCAGAGCCAGATCAGCAATTTCTTATCTTGACTAAATGGACATACCAACAGCAAAGTAAAGCCAAAAATAGGCATATAATATAATTTTACAGCTGCATCTATGAGGACACAAGTGATATTTTAATATTCAATCAGAAATATTACATACAAAAGTTATGGAAATCTACCACTAAATTTTCTGGTGGTTAAGATTTTAGTGGAGTGTGTGATCACTATAAAATTTTAAAATTTCAAAATAATGTGCCAAGTGTGAAGGGACAATGCATACCAAAGGGGAGAAAGAAATGTAATTGTCAACAACTCAGTAAGAAGATGTTTGAAGGATCTATTGAGCTTAATTCTTTACCTACCAGTTTCAGAAATGAAATGCCCAATCTAATATACTTCTGGATCATATTTGAAGATGATTTAATTTAGCCAGTCATTCTGTTTTTCACTCTCCTCCCATTTTGGCATACTGTGTCCCACCTTGACATTAAGAAGTTATTAGTCAGCCTAGGAGAGGCTGTGCTGCAGTAATCAACGTTGGTGGCTTAAAATGGCAAGTTTGTTTCTTACTCCTTTTACATGGTGGCCATAAGTTGGCCTGGGACTCTGCTCTACATTTTCCTCATTTAAGGACCCTGGCTGAGAAGGAGGCTCCATCTTCATTCTTCCACAAATACTGCAGCAAAGAAAAAGTAAAATGGCAAATAGCACACAGACTATTAAAGCTTCTCCTTAGAATTACTGTTTTTTTCACTTCTGATCACACTAATTGATCAAAGCAAATCACATGGCCATGTTAATTTCAAATGGGGTCAAGAAGAGTAATCCCCTCATGTGCCTAGAAGGAAAAAAGCCAGAATGTTTAGTGCACTAATGATTTCCACAGGAAATTTCCACAGGAAAGATTAGAGATGGCAACTCTTCTAACCGATTCTTAGTTCAATCCAGATTTCGGTGTGGGATTTCTTCCTTTTCTAGTTGTAGAACTCTGGGAGTATATCAATAACTCTCTTCAAGGATTTATGAGAGAATAACTCTCTTCAAGGATTTATGAGAGAATAGTATATGAAGCATTAGGATCAACTGTTTTACAATTCATTCATTCATTTATTTATAGATTCATGGTCTTTCTTTTGCCCTCAAGTGAGAGGTGAAGCCAGCTGGACTTCCTGGGTCAAGTGTGGACTTGGAGAACTCTTCTGTCTAGCTAGAGGATTGTAAATGCACCGATCAGTGCTGTGTATCTAGCTAAAGGATTGTAAATGCACCAATCAGCACTCTGTAAAAACGTACCAATCAGCTCTCTGTGTCTAGCTAAAGGATTGTAAACACACCAATCAGCACTATGTAAAATGGACCAATCAGTGCTCTGTAAAACGGGCCAATCAGCAGGATGTGGGCAGGGCCAAATAAGGGACTAAAAGCTGACCACCGGAGCCAGCAGCAGCAACCTGCTCGGGTCCCCTTCCATGCTGTGGAAGCTTTGTTCTTTCACTCTTCACAATAAATCTTGCTGCTGCTCACTCTTTAGGTCCACACTACCTTTATGCGCTGTAACACTCACTGCAAGGGTCTGCAGCTTCATTCCTGAAGTCAGCGAGACCACGAACCCACTGGGAGGAACAAACAACTCTGGACGCGCCACCTTTAAGAGCTGTAACACACACTGTGAAGGTCTGCGGCTTCACTCCTGAAGTCAGCGAGACCACGAACCCGCTGGAAGGAATAAACTCCGGAGACATTGGAAGGAAGAAACTCCAGACACACCATCTTTAAGAGCTGTAACACCACGAAGGTCTGCGGCTTTATTCTCGAAGTCAGCATGACCAAGAATCCACTGGAAGGAACCAATTCCGGACACACAAGGAGGATATAATTTGGTAGAAAATATAGATCTAGGCTCCATGAATCAATTAGGAGGATGAGGCTAGCCATCATATCATTCAAGTGAATGGTGATAGGTCACATAGTGAAAAAATAAGAACAACTCACGTCTGTAATCCCAGCACTTTGGGAGGCCAAGGCAGGTGGATCATCTGAGGTCAGGAGTTTGAGACCAGCCTGGCCAACATGGTGAAACCCTGTCTCTACTAAAAATACAAAAAAAAAATTAGCTGGGCTTGGTGGTGGGTGCCTGTAAGCCCAGCTACTCAGGAGGCTGAGGCAGGAGAATTGCCTGAACCCGGGAGGTGGAGGTTACAGTGAGCCGAGATCACGCCACTGTACTCTAGCCTGGGCAACAAGTGCAAAACTCCATTTCAAAAAAAGAAAAAAAGAAAAAATAAGGACAAATGAAATTACATGAAAGATTAGTGTTAAGTGGAATCAGTTAAGAACATTTTATTGAGAAAGTGCACCATTAGGTAGACATGAAATACTAGATTTAGTTTGATAGAAAGAAGGAAAGAGGGTGTTTCTAGTTAGAAACACAGTAACTTAGAGTCCAGAAATGGGAATGAACAAGGAAGAAGCAGAGATGAGATTTGCTCAGTTGGGCAAGGATGAGATTAGAATTGAAGTGGCATATCAATTCAGATCAAGTTTTCTATGAATTGAAATACGAGGCTAAAAAGTTTAGATGTTTAGAAAAGATTTGTTTTGGTAGGCAACACTGACAAACTCTGGATTCAACCAAAGCCAGAATAAAAAAGTGTTTTAAGTTGTAGGAGTTTTATGGGGTACATCTAAAGAAGAGATTCCTAAGAGGCTGTGTTTTATAACAAATCTTGAGAAAGTTAAAAACAGGGTTCCTTTTCAACCTTACAGAACTTCAGTCTGGTTGGGGAGATAGTGTTTAGTGTTTGAGTGAAAATTTTCAAGTGTAAATTTGGTCATGGAGAGAAACTCTTTCACTTTAAATAGTTAAGAAAAACAAAACCCTAATTCAACTATCCAAAAAAGTTTTGATTATTTTACCTGGAGATAAGAGGTTGGTTTAACTTATGTCATAATGATAAAAATACACGCATATATCATAAAATAGAAAATGTACACATGCTACCTAATAAAAGAGCATGTTGCATTTTCAAATCATAAATAAAAATTTATTTTGTTCTATTTATTAAAACATAAACCATGGTTTCGTAGGACAAATATGGTCTTTAGAAGGAGACAGACCTGAGTCCAAATCCAAGTTCTGCAACTTAGTAGAAAAGTAGAGAAGGTTAACTCATTTTATATCCCAAAGCCTCAGTTTCCTACCTGTAAAATAGGGAAAATAATTGTACCTGACTCAAATGGTTGTTGTAAGGGTTAAATAATAAAACATACATAAAGTACCTAGCACATAATAGGCATACTGGCAGTAATGACAATGATTATTTATAGGCAGTTTCTAAATATTATTTAGTTGAATTAAATTTGAGGAAAGGTTTCTTAATGACTTTATATTTGTAAGGATTATAAACTTAAATCCTAATTTGCTGTCTATTTATTAACTAAAGTTGACTTCATAATTTTATTTATATTTTATTAAACAAATATGTAAAAAGAAGAAATAAAGAAGAAAATAAAGCTTAAGTCAGATAATACAGTGTTATATTTCTTAGGTATTCGTGAGCCTTTATTGGTTTTGTTCCATTGGTTGAGCATTGTATTCAACAAATAGGAATGTTAAGCATTACATTCCTATTTTGCAGATGAGGAAGCTATACAAGATAAGTATTGCTTATTTACAAAGTTAGTTGAAAAAGCAGTTGTTTCAACTTTTGGCACCGGTTTGGATTAACTACTGTCTTGATTTCTTTTTCCCCAGTAGTTTTATAGTACTTGCCTTTTAGGTTAAAAGTTGTGGTTTTGAGTGTGTCAATTTTCAAATTGTATCCTAACAACTATATTTTAGTCAATCTGAGATTCCTAAGAACTTCATCACTTCACAAAATTGCATTCCTGGTTCTTTCCTCATATGTGTACCACACTTTAAATATAGAGGAATTGACAGTATGATAATCACTAAAATGAAAATGAAGAAATAAAATAGAAATTCTTAACAACTTAAAGGTAGTAATCACTAAATTTTAATTTGAAAATGTCCTAAGAACAACCATATACCAGTATGCACATTTTAATGTCATATATGGTAATAGGGCCATTAGCTTAATGGAGTATTAAGGTCTGATATTTCCTCTGATTGGGTAGATATCCACAGTGTGGAAATAATGTTCTTAGTCTGAGCACTTATGAAGAAATAAAAAATGCTAATTATTTTTCTGAAGTATTTATTTTGGTGGTTCCTCAAGAAATGGTCCAGAGTTTCTGCTCTCCTGGAGAATCATTCACCCCATTACCCTTTTGGCATTACTGATCTCAACTCTTGAAACGAAGAAAGAGAGAATGTGTGAGTGTATAGGAAAAATGGCTTCAAGTGACAAAGTAAACGCTTTTGTGACTCAGTTGGACCAGGTAAGTATTTATTTCGGCCTTAGTGTTTCACACTAAGTCTGGGCGAATGTGTTTGATAAGCCACCAAGGAAAAGATGGCCTTTGTTGTTATACTTGAGTGCTATTATGCCATACAAACAAACAAATCACACACCACCCTCCCCCCTAAAAAAATAAAGATAGAGAAAAGGAAAGGAAAAAACTCCACAGCTTAATTTAAAGATTTTGTAAGTGTTTGGCTGTTTTATGATTTCTCAGTTGAAACTACCGGGTTTTTTTTCCTCTTTCTACTTTTACACACAGCCCAGAAGATGGACATTTGGTGAATCATAATAGACTGCTCCTTTCCCAGGTATCTCCTGTTTGTTTCCTTTATCTGTGAATAGGAAATGGCTTAAAGGCACCTGTGTGATGAAGGTCCCAGGGGCAGCTGCCTGACTAGTGAATGCCTGATTATGTGTTAACATGCTTTGTCAGATATTGGCAGAATCTGTTCTCTTCTTTTGCCTTTTCAGCAAGGGTACCATTGACAGCCTGGCTACCCATTTATAGAAATGTTGTCCATCAAACTGTGAGGAAGGACAATAGTGTTTTTCTGTGGCCAGTGACTGTGGGAAACTTTTCTTTGGCTATTCAGGCAATTTTTGTAGCTTGCTCTGAAGAGGAGAGACTGATGAGTGCAAAAAGTACAATTAAGCAAAGCCAGACTTCAATTGAAGGCTGTAGTGTAGTCTGCTGTTCTCATTTTTTTTTTAGAGGGGGAAAAAACCCTATGGGTTTTCACGTTGCTGTGTGGCATTCAGCAGGGGGCTATTACAATCCTAAATTTTTTTTTCTAGACCACCTAATTCTAAGTTAAAATTAAATGTAATGAGAGCCACTTGGAGTTCTGAATATTTTAAAGCATAATTCCCACAGAAGGGATTCGACCTAAACTGCAGTGAGCATCAGTTGGCTAATTATAGCTGCATTTTATATTACAGCAGGTGTCAGATGCAGTCATCTCAATAAAGTCCACATAATACTCTGGGAAATAACAAAGACTTTTCTTTGAATGTGGGTACTAATTTCTTCTAGGTGTCATATGAGCCTTGATACTTCTTATTGGCATTAACAAGAGCACTGCAGCACTCAGAAATGCTTTTTGCTTGGGATGAATTGATACTGTAAAGCACTTACCAGTCAGAGTTGGCAGATGTCAGTAGTTAATACTAGTGTTGCAGAGGTTGGAATATAATGCAAAGAGTCTTATGTAAATACTCTTAGATGATGGGCTGGTTTTGAGAAGGCGACTGAGCACTGCACCAACTCACTTAACGAAAGTTAAATAGATAGCAGTGGGGTATCTGCATTTACTTTGGCTCCTGCTTTATTGAAAGTCCTCCAGAAGTAAAGGGCAGATGGTACGGCAGTAAACTAGGTGAACAAAATATCCTGGACTTGGATAAGGACTTGTTATGTTCACAGTGCTTTCCTTGAACTTGTGTAGGTGATTCAAATTACTGAAGTGATAGCAAGTACAAAAGCATGCCTGGAGATAAGGACTCCTTATAGTATTAAAAAATAAATTTAATTTAGAACATATGTCTTCACTTGAAATGCAACTGGACAATGGGTTAGGCAAAAAGAATGTTACTTTAAAATCATGACATTTGTTCTACACTGCTCCATTCTTCTAGGAGAGTGACATTTTATCCAACCTATTGTAGTCACATTAGTTCATAGCAGATGAGATCAAAATGAAAGATCTATTAAAAATCATATTGTGGAATACCAACTAAGATACAACAAATGTGAACTCTTTACACATATTCCATTCTGGAATCAACTCTGGGTTTTTTGTTTGTTTGTTTTTCCTTTTAAATCTAATGCACAGCCAGCAAAGCAAAGATGGGTTGCCCTTAATTTTGATCCCCAGAAGCAGCTCTGGGTTCTCATTTTGGCAGATTGCAATTTATATACATCTCATAGCAAACCCTGTAGGGTGTTGTCAGCAATTAGCTCTGACATCAAGGAGTTTAACAGTCATTCAACATTGATCCAATGATTGAACACTGGTAGGCACAAAGCACCGTTAAGCCCAGCAGTGAAATTTAAGATGAGAAAGATAACAAAGTGTCTGTCCCCAGAGTGCTGACTATCTATTCACAAGAGTAATGTCCCTAATAGCTCTTTTGCAGATTGCTGTTAATTTTTGTTTCGATCAGATGTCCATGGATTTTGATAAAGCCTAGGACAGAATTGTGAAATAGTGTGAAAAGTCACAGAGAAATCACTCCAAAGGAGCATAGGTAATCTGCTAATGACAAATTGTTTCTGCATAGTACCCATTCTTAGTAATGTTCAAGTATTTTGAACACCAAAAGTCTCAATTGTGAATAATTTTTATTTCTTATTTTTCTTACGTAAATGTAAGATTTGTTTTTTATAGAACATTTAGGAAACATATAAAATACAAAAAAGAAAATCCATATTTCTACTACCTAGGCTCAAATCACTTTATTCATATTTTTGTGTGTATCGTGGTTACTTTTTCTCCATTTATATACATATAAAATCCCATTTAAGCAATGGGATTTTACTGTTTTATAATCTTTTACAACAAACCTTATGATATATTTATAATATCTTTTTAGTATATGTTCTTCCTCAACATCAATTTCAGTGATTTCATAATATTCTAGTACATGGACATGCCATACTTTATTTTTGTCATATTTTAGAATCTCCTATTAGTGCACATTTATCTTTTAATTTTTTGCTACTGTAAATGACACTGTGATGAATATGCATGTAGCTAGATTTTTTTCCCAAGTCTATGATTATTTATTTGCTTGTCACTGCTAGTGGAAATGCTGCATCAAATGACCTTTGCAATTTTAAATGAAGCTACAGATTCTAAGAATTTTCATAAAGAAGGAAAATACCTTTAGCATGAAATTTTTAATTCTTTTCATCTAGGTCTGATATTTTGTTAATAGACTGAATTAAAAGTCAAGAGTTTCATGGAAAATACTAAATTGTGAGTAAAACAAGATCTTTCAGTCTAGGAAATCAATCAGTTTTTATCTGATAAAAAACAGATGGCTTCTGTAGCATAAGATTTTTGGTATAAATAGGATCTATACACTGCACTTAAAATATGCAGTGCCTGGGCTGGGTGCAGTGGCTCATGCCTGTAATCCCAGCACTTTGGGAGGCCGAGGTGGGTGGATCACTTGAGACCAGCCTGGACAACATGGTAAAACCCTGCCTCTACTAAAAATACAAAAAATTAGCCTAGCATGGTGGTGGACGCCTGTAATCCCAGCTACTCTTGAGGATGAGGCAGGGGAATCACTTGAACCTGGGAGGCAGAGGTTGCAGTGAGCCAAGATCGTGCCACTGCTCTCCAGCCTGGGCGACAGAGCAAAACTCCAGCTCCAAAAAAATGCAGTGCCTGGCAGCACAGTGTAAATATCTAAGATTACTGGGGCCATTATTTAGACCCTTATGTGAAAAGAGTTCTGGTATATATTTAAATGTTATACATGTAAAGAGTCCTGATGTACATTTAAGTATTAAGTGTATATTTTAAAACCAGTACTATGCCATATTAAATGTGAATTCATTTAAAAAGTGAAAGGCCATTAGACTTTAACTGTTTCCAGTTTAAGCCATCCAGTTTCAATTGGCCTTCGCTGTGACTTAGGATTCCTTTGGTACATCAATTCTTACCATGCTTCACGCAATAATTAATCTAAAGTCTTCGTTCTTTCCCAGGCTAATCCAAGAAGACTCTAGAATTAGAGAGACTAAAGACATTCATTTCTGCTTTGCATTGATAATAAAATATGAAACATTTTTGCTTTAATAGAAAATCGGGGATAGTAAGTAATGTTGGAAATATTGTTGGGCTTTACCTTCTTTCTGAGTAGGGTACTATAACCATAATCATTAATCTTAAAAACTTGGAGAGGTTAACGGATCATATAAATCCTGCATCTAACCCACACAGCGAACTGAGACATTTCAACTTTGGGATATTTTCAATTAAGCCTCTGTGTCCTGCCTTAGTAATTCCGTAATTTAATATAGGCTCTAACTTCCCAAATCTAAGTTATTTCATATAGTAAGCACAAATTGAGCTGATTGCTTGACACTTGGCATTTCTGCAACAGCCTGACTGGGCTATCTGTCACTTGTCTTGGGGGGAACCACTTCTTCCCCACCTCTAGACATTAGTGGAGTTTAACATCTGAGTGCGGTCATGGCAAGAGTGACTGTGGGCATACCCTGAGGTGTGCTCCCTGAAGAGCAACATCAGAATTTGAACACTGGGGCATGGAAGGGAAAGAATTCACTAAAATAATCTAGCCAGTCCAAATGAAGAAGAAAATAACAACAACAAAACCCAGAGAAGGGAGACAAGTACGTATCTTATGTGATCCTCCTTCTTAGACATGATGGTTGATCTGGAGATGGGCAAAATACCAAAGCAGGGCCCAAAAAAGCCTTCCCTGACATGTTTTATGATGGGATATGTTGGGTAAGATTTCTCTCCTCTCTTTTTGAGAGGATCTGGGGATGTGAGCTTAGGGCTGCTGGCAGCCATGTCGCCCACCCTACACAGAAACTTCCTGCAGTGGGAAAGAACAAAGCCGACATGCAGGAGAGAAATAGAGCAAGAGGCAAAGGGTGAGGAGCAAGACCAAGAGAGAAAGCATGCAAGAAACAGCTGGGCTCTGCTGTTTGTAGATGGACACAAATTCTAGTTTGGGATAACCTGATTCTAGTTATCCCAAAGGCCAGCTTCAGTGCCTCTCTTCTTGTGTTAAAGCTACATAAGCCAAGCACATCTCCTTTTTTCTGTTACATAAACTAATTAGAATTGAGGTTCTATTACTTTCATACAAAGTCCTAGCTTTAAAACATTCTATTTCTTATTTGTCTAGCCTCAGAAAAATCTCTAGTGTTTACAGTGAAAAAATAGAACTTTCTCTTCCTAGAGCTCTTGTGAGCCAAAAATACTGACAGAGCTCACATGTGAGAGTCCACAAAACATTCTAATTTTTGTTTTAATGACTGTGTAATTCTCATTTTTATTTTAGTTCTCAAATGAGTGAATTCCATCATTCATCATATAATCATTTATTGATGTTTTTCCATGTTTAAGGAGCAGAAGTAAATAAAATAACTCCCCTTAACTTCAAGAGGCTTACAATTTAGTATAACCATGCTAGCAAATGCATGTCAGGGCATTGTCCTAAGCTTAACTTGTCAATTCCTTTAATGCCCACAACAATCCTGTAAAACAGGCATAATTATTGCCTTCTTTTTATGAAGGATGAGACCAAGCCACAGAGACTGTGCATAGCTTGTCCACTGTCCCACAGCTCAAGAATGATGGAGCTAGGGTGTAAAACCTGAGATGTGAGGCCCTAGAGCCCAAGCACTAAACCTCTGCTGCTTTTTCTAGTACTAAAGACTCAAACTTTATAATAAGGAGTCTTTATATAAGAAAATATTTGAGGTGATGGATATCCTAATACCCTGATTTGATCATTACACATTGCATGCATATATCAAAATATCACATGTACTTCATAAATATGTATAATTTTTATGTATCAAAAAATTAAAGAGAAAGTATAGTCATCATACTTAATATATCATATTAAATTCTTTATATAGTAAGTTTCAGAAGTACTAGATCCACTTAATTGTACCTGTATAAAATGAATCTACAAGTTGTTAAGATATTTACATATGGAGAAACATCCATAACATGGCAGTAAATAGGTTTATTTACATGTTTAGCAATTAAAGCTTCTTCTCATGAACACAAGGCTCCTTAGTGTTTTCTAACACTTAACCACTATTTTTTCTGATTCCAGAGAAGATACATTTATTTTAAATATACAAAAAATACAGAAAGTTTTAAATTACTCATAATTCCATCATCTACATATATCCATTGATAATATTTATTATCCATTTCATGTTATAATCTTATCATTTTAATTTATGTTAGGTAGAACAGTAATACCAGCAAGTTATATTTCTCTATTTCAAATATGAGAATGTTGATTTTAATACATTATAGAGTTTCTATTCCAATTTAGATTCACAGAGATGCTTTTCAGTATATTATTGGGTTTTTTTCTATAATTTCCATTGAGATTGGTTGATGCAACACCAAGCTACATTAACATAATTCCTAGAAACTAAGAGTGAGCACTAATTGTATATTTTACAGCTATTATACCTCATTTAATTTAATTGCTGGATACCCATAAGCAGGGAAAATAGGCCACTGCTTATTTAAGAAGCATCAATCAAATTCCTTTTCTTCAAAAAATAATTCTCCTTACCTCCTGTCTGAAATACAACTTAAAAAAAAATAGACTCACCTGAAATTTAAAGGGACTTGATTCTTAAGATTGTGTTATTAAAATGTGAGTACTCTGAAATCTTAATAACCCTAACTAATATCAACCAAAGTCAACATGTAAACTGGAAATAGTTGAGTTAGTGGTCTGAAAAAGAAACCAGTTTCTGGGAGTGAGGAGAATGAGAATGAAAGTTTAATAGTCAAGTGCCTGGGTTCACATCCTGCCTCTACCATGGTCTGATTGTATTTAACTTCTCTGTACCTCAGTTTCCATGTCTGAGGAGCAGGAAACATTATTAATAATTATTTTCATTGATTGTTGTTACTATTAGTGATCATAGGTCAGCATTAGATGAGTTAATACATGTAAGATGCCAAGAATGTTATCTTATTGAATATATTTTTAGTGCCCACTATGTGCAGGGCACTTAAAGGTGCTAAGGATTCAGCAGTGAGCAAAAGAGATTAGGGGAAAAAAGCCTCTGACCAAACACAGTTTGTATTCTGCTGGAGTGAGAAAGACAATAACCAAATAAGTAAATATATAGTATCATAGATAGTGATGAATATTGTGGAACGGGGGAAAAAAACGAAAGAGGATAAGAGTGCCAGTTTGAAAATAGAGTTCAATGTTAAATAGGGTGTTAAGGGAAAGCCTTGCTAAAAAGATGATTCTTGAGCAATCATGTGAAGGAGGAGGAGAGAGTAAGCCCTGTGACTATCCAGGGAAAGGGAATTCTATGCAGAGAGAAGGGACAATGCAAAGGTCTGAAAAAGCTGCAATTGTGGATAATACAAAATAACTCTGATATTTAGAAACTCTGAAATGTATATGGGCTATGGGCCATGCCTGTTCAAAAAGAATGTAGCCAGTTAAGAAGGTAAGCATTGAGTTAGGGAAATCAACCGGCATGATAGCATGAGGAGCTTTGCTGACCCACTTTTCAGTGAAACTGGTTAAAATTTTAAAGACAAAACAAAAAATCAACCATTCAAAATATCTGGAAATGGTCCTAAGGGCAAGTGGCAAGTGAAGAAACAAATATTCAATAAACTCTATAGTTATTTCTTATCTTTTGCTACCTTTGGGATTTGTTTGCTCTTGGTTCTCTAGTTCTGTTAGTTGCGATGTTAATTTTTTTTTCTATTAAAAATGATTTATTGAGCATCTGCTACGCACAAAATGAAAGAAGCAAGGTTTCAAAAACACTCACATGTCCAACGAGCATGGCTGAGCTCCTCCCATTGCCAGGTATATATGCTGGAGTCTGCAGAAATAAAGAAAATCATTCCCGGTGACTACACTAAATCCCACCAAGACGACAAATCCAAAAAACAATTAAAATACAACAACATAGTACATTGTGAATCATGCAGTGATAGAGGCAGGTCTAAGTGTTACGAAAACACTCTGAGTAGGGCAATCATTTAACTCATCATTAAACCAGAACGCTTTGAAAGTAGAAGGCGGCATTATCAATAATTGTACTGTGACAATGGGCATAAACTGGGACTGTTCCTGGACAAACCAGGATGAATATCATCCTAGTTGTAAGGAATAAAACTGGAAAGAGGCCAGGCATGGTGGCTAATGCCTGTAATCCCAGCACTTTATTTATTTATTTTGTATTATTATACTTTAAGTTCTAGGGTATATGTACACAATGTGCAGGCTTGTTACATATGTATACATGTGCCATGTTGGTGTGCTGCACCCATTAACTTGTCATTTACATTAGGTATATCTCCTAATGCTATCCCTCCCCCCTCCCCCAACCCCACAACAGGCCCTGGTGTGTGATGTTCCCCTTCCTATGTCCAAGTGTTGTTATTGTTCAATTCCCACCTATGAGTGAGAACATGCAGTGTTTGGTTTTTTGCCCTTGTGATAGTTTGCTGAGAATGATGGTTTCCAGCTTCATCAATGTCCCTACAAAGGACATGAACTCATCCTTTTTTATGGCTGCATAGTATTCCATGGCGTATATGTGCCACATTTTCTTAATCCAGTCTATCATTGATGGACATTTGGGTTGGTTCCAAGTCTTTGCTATTGTGAATAGTGCTGCAATAAACATACGTGTGCATGTGTCTTTATAGCAGCATGATTTATAATCCTTTGGGTATATACCCAGTAATGGGATGGCTGGGTCAAATGGTATTTCTAGTTCTAGATCCTTGAGGAATCGCCACACTGTCTTCCACAATGGTTGAACTAGTTTACAGTCCCACCAACAGTGTAAAAGTGTTCCTATTTCTCTACATCCTCTCCAGCACCTGTTGTTTCCTGACTTTTTAATGATCACCATTCTAACTGGTGTGAGATGGTATCTCATTGTGGTTTTGATTTGCATTTCTCTGATGGCCAGTGATGATGAGCATTTTTTCATCTGTCTGTTGGCTGAATAAATGTCTTCTTTAGAGAAGTGTCTGTTCATATCCTTTGCCCACTTTTTGATGGGGTTGTTTGTTTTTTTCTTGTAAATTTGTTTGAGTTCTTTGTAGATTCTGGATATTAGCCCTTTGTCAGATGAGTAGATTGCAAAAATTTTCTCCCATTCTGTAGGTTGCCTGTTCACTCTGATGATAGTTTCTTTTGCTTTGCAGAAGCTCTTTAGTTTAATTAGATCCCATTTTTCAATTTTGGCTTTTGTTGTCATTGCTTTTGGTGTTTTAGACATGAAGTCCTTGCCCATGCCTATGTCCTGAATGGTATTGCCTAGGTTTTCTTCTAGGGTTTTTAGACATGAAGTCCTTGCCCATGCCTATGTCCTGAATGGTATTGCCTAGGTTTTCTTCTAGGGTTTTTATGGTTTTAGGTCTAACATTTAAGTCTTTGATCCATCTTGAGTTAATTTTTGTATAAGGTATAAGGAAGGGATCCAGTTTCAGCTTTCTACATATGGCTAGCCAGTTTTCCCTCAATAGATGCAGAAAAGGCCTTTGACAAAATTCAACAGCCCTTCATGCTAAAAACTCTCAATAAATTAAGTATTGATTGGACGTATCTCAAAATAATAAGAGCTATTTATGACAAACCCACAGCCAATATCATACTGAATGGGCAAAAACTGGAAGCATTCCCTTTGAAAACTGGCACAAGACAGGGATATCCTCTCTCACCACTCCTATTCAACATAGTGTTGGAAGTTATGGCCAGGGCAATCAGGCAGGAGAAAGAAATAAAGGGTATTCGATTAGGAAAAGAGGAAGTCAAATTGTCCCTGTTTGCAGATGACATGATTGTATATTTAGAAAACCCCCTCGTCTCAGCCCAAAATCTCCTTAAGCTGATAAGCAACTTCAGCAAAGTCTCAGAATACAAAATAAGTGTGCAAAAATCGCAAGCATTCTTATACAACAATAACAGACAAACAGAGAGCCAAATCATGAGTGAACTCCCATTCACAATTGCTTCAAAGAGAATAAAATACCTAGGACTCCAACTTACAAGGGATGTGAAGGACCTCTTCAAGGAGAACTATAAACCACTGCTCAACGAAATAAAAGAGGACAGAAACAAATGGAAAAACATTCCATGTTAATTTGTTAACTTGAGATCTTCCTAACTTTTTGATGTGGGCATTTAGTGCTATAAGTTTCCCTGCTAACACTGCCTTAGCTGTGTTCCAGAGACTGTGGTACGTTGTATCTTTGTTTTCACTGGTTTCTAATAAATTCTTGATTTCTGCCTTAATTTCATTATTTACACAAAAGTTACACAGGAGCAGGTTATTCAGTTTCCACGTAATTGTATGATTTTGAGTGAATTGCAGCACTATTCATAACAGCAAAGATATGGAATCAACCTAAATGTCCATCAGTGATAGACCTGATAAAGAAAATATGGTACATATACACCATGGAATACTATGCAGCCATAAAAAAGAACAAGATCATGTCCTTTGTAGGGACATGGTTGGAGCTGGAGGTCATTATCCTCAGCACACTAACACAGGAACAGAAAACCAAATATTACATCTTCTTTCTTATATGTAGGGGCTAAATGTTGAGAACACTGGACACATCAAGTGGAACAACACACACTGGGGCCTTTTGGAAGGTGGAGAGTGGTAGGAGGCAGAGGATCAGGAAAAATAATGGTTACTAGGCTTAATACCTGGGTGATGAAATAATCTGTACAGCAATCCCCCATGACCCAAGTTTATCAATTTAACACACCTGCACATGTACCCCTGAACTTAAAAGTTAAAAAAAAGAATACATTGAAATAAAATAAAGGTGCAACGATGGTCAAGAAAAATGAATAAATCTATGAAAAGTAGGTAAGAAGGTGAGAGTCTGTGTATTTGAACAGACTGCTCCCTCCTTCTCCTCTCTTTAATCAGTGACCAGAGACCCTACTCCAGCCAAGAACACAGGGCTCTCTGTCTCCATTGGGTCTCAGATAGAGTGCTTCCATCCTGAGAGGAGCAGGATTTGGGCATTTCTCATCCTTCCCCCGGCAGCTGTTGCTGAGACTAAGTTCTAGGAATGCAGTTTACAGTTGGACTTTCTCTTACAGACGGAGACTCTACTTTGTGTGTGACATGCTGAGACTACTGGGACCCTGATAGCCCTACTCCTGGCTCCTGAAGTGGTGGTCCCATGCCAGACAAGTTGAGAGGACCTCAGGCAGACCCCCAACACCAAGCACTCAGCTCCTACAGCAGGAGTGTAAAGCAGAGAGAAGCACTATTCTCCCTGCCTTCAGTTCCAAAGTCCTGTTTCAGATATTTTGCCTGAGAGTTAGATCCATAAACCAGATTGTTCATAAATTCTTCCCAAAGGAACTGACTTTATTTGCAAGAGAGTGTGAAAAATTTAACCTACACATGATCTGAAGATCAGGAGAGATTGTGGTAAAAGGTAATGAGGAGATTTGTTAAACTAATGAAGGTATGAAGGTATAACAAGACTATAGGCTGACGAGTTTGTAGGAGAAAAGGATGAAAAAGACAGCCAAGAGGAGACCTCCTAGGCTCAAAATTAATATAAAATTCTGACAAAAAATATTTCAACGTAGCTATTATAAAAATGTTCACAGAGCTAATGGAAAGCATGATTAAAGAAGCGAAAGGAGGTGTGATGACAATGTCACATCAAGTTGAAAATATCAATAAAGAAATTATAAAAAAAATAGCCAAATAAATTCTGGAGTTGAAAAATATAATAATAGAAATTTAAAGAAGGGCTCAGAAGTAGATCTGAATTTGAGTTGGTAGAGGATAGAATTTGTGAACTTGTATATAGATTAATAGAGATTATGCAGACTGAAGAACAGAGAAAAAAGGAGAAAAATGAGTAGGTCTTCAAAGAAATGTGGAACACTATTAGGCATGCCAACGTAAAAGTAATGAGAATATCAGGAGATGAGAAAAAAGAGAAGAAAAAATATTCCAAAGAATAATAGCTGAAAACTCTCTCAATTTATTGAAAAATAATAACCTGTGCATCCAGGAAGCTCAGCAATCTCCAAGTAAGATAAATGCAAAGAGATTCACAAACAGACCCATTACAGTAAAAATGCTGAAAGTTAAACATGAGAGAAAATCTTGGAAGCAGCAAGATAAAATAAATGAATCAATTACATGGGAGCTGATAATAAGATTATCAGCTGATTCGTCAGCAGAAACAATGGAGGCCAAAAGGCAATAAGATAACATATTTCAAGTGCTCAAAAAAAAAATCCTGTCAACCATGAATTTTATATTCAGCAAATGTATCTTTCAAAGTTCAAGGTAAAATAGACTTTCCAAAATAAACAAAAACACAGAGAATTTGTTGCTAGCAAATCACCCTGTAAAAAATACTAAAAGAAGTTCTTCATGCTGAAAGTAAGTGACCTCACACTGTAATTTAAAACACATGAAAAAATGCTCATCATCACTGGCCATCAGAGAAATGCAAATGAAAACCACAATGAGGTACCATCTCACACCAGTTAGAATGGCAATCATTAAAAAGTCGGGAAACAACAGGTGCTGGAGAAGATGTGGAGAAATAGGAACACTTTTACACTGTTGGTGGGACGTAAACTAGTTCAACCATTGTGGAAGTCAGTGTGGCGATTCCTCAGGGATCTAGAACTAGAAATACCATTTGACCCAGCCATCCCATTACTGGGTGTATACCCAAAGGACTATAAATCATGCTGCTATAAAGACACATGCACACATATGTTTATTGCAGCACTATTCACAATAGCAAAGACTTGGAATCAACCCAAATGTCCAACAATGATAGACTGGATTAAGAAAATGTGGCACATATACACCATGGAATACTATGCAGCCATAAAAAGGATGAGTTCATGTCCTTTGTAGGGACATGGATGAAATTGGAAATCATCATTCTCAGTAAACTATCGCAAGAACAAAAAACCAAACACCGCATATTCTCACTCATAGGTGGGAATTGAACAATGAGATCACATGGACACAGGAAGGGGCACATCACACTCTGGAGACTGTTGTGGGGTGGGGGGAGGGGGGAGGGATAGCATTGGGAGATATACCTAATGCTAGATGATGAGTTAGTGGGTGCAGCGCACCAGCATGGCACATGTATACATATGCAACTAACCTGCACATTGTGCACATGTACCCTAAAACTTAAAGTATAATAATAAAAGAAAAAATAAATAAATAAATAAATCCACACAAAGAGCAAGGGCTCCTTGGATTAATGTGTCTGAACATAGGAATTGCTCAAAGAATGATAGAGATGTGTTAAAGAACACACAAGCCAAACTGAAGGGACTTCCACTGGATAAATTGGGGATAAGTTGGGCACCAAAATAAAAATATTGATTAATTGATTATAAACTATTAAATAGTAAACCATGAGCAAACACTGATTAAATACATAAATTTATTGACTGATTGGAAGTGTGATGAGGAATGGGATATTAACAGTTTTAAGGCATATTTCCACCAAACATTTATTAATTACATAAAGAAAATGAGTAAACCCTGGTAGATAATACTTAATTTAAATAATAGATATGAACTCCATAATAGGGCAAACTGAAATTACAAGCCACCATACAGTGTGAAGAACTAAACATCTTTTTGTGGTATTCTGGAAAAAGAATCTTTACCTGGGCATGAGGAATCATGAGAAAACATTGGACAAAGCCAAATGGAGAAACATTTTACAAAAACCCAAATTAAGGAAGTTTCTAGAAGGTAATATTCAAAAATGTCAAGACCACTATAGTGGATAAAATCTAAGATGATCAGTCTTCCCTCCCTCTCACCTCCCTGACCCCACCCATTGATCCCTGCCCTTTGATGTTCATGCCTTTGTATAATCTCCTATCCTTCGGTTTGGGCAGGATCTGTGACTTGCTTTTAACCAATAAGATATGGCATAGGTGATGAAATGTCACTCCCATAATTACATTATGATTTTTATATATGTAAAATCATATAAAAAGTTATATATACATATATATGTCTATAAATATGTGTGTGTGTGTGTGTGTGTATATATATATATATATATAAACTCTAGCTTACTAACAGAGGTGCTAGAGAGACAATTCCTTACTGTCCTTGAAGAAATAAGCTGCTGAAGTAAGTGGCTATGTTGGAGAAGCCCACATGACAAAGAAATGTGGACAGGTTCTAGGAGTTGAGGGTGGTGTCCAGAAGGAAACTAAAACTTCAGTCCTGAACCAGCAAAGAAGGAGCTTGGAAGCAGATCTTTTTAAAGCCAAGGCTCTGGTGAGACCACAGGGACTTCAGCCTGGTGAGACATAAAACCCTGTCAAGCCTGATCCACAGAAATTTTAGATAATAAATGTGTGTTAAATTTTATCTTAAATAAATTTTAAGATAATACATTTAAGCTGCGAAATTTATGGTAATTTGTTATGAAGTATAGAAAATTAATAGAGTTAGAAAGTCAATGAAAGACGAGAAGCTGTTCCAATTAAACAAAACTACAGTAATATGACAAGTAAATGCATTTAATTATTCTGAACTGGATCCTTGGGACAGTTGGAAAAACTTGAATGGGGTCTGAGAATTAGATGGTGGCAGTATATTAATGTTATTTTCTTGATTTTGATGGTTGTTTTGCAATTATGTAGAGGAAAATGTGATAGGAAGTAATATAAAAGTATTCAAGAATGAAAAATATGTAGTGAAAGCGTTGTTTTTTCCTACACTTTGCCCAAAATGATTGACCGTTTTTCTGATTAATTTAAGAAATAACGTGGTGTCCTGTAGACAGAGCTAATTAAGCATTGGTTCCTTTTGCCTTCCTTCGAATGGTTAGAGAAGGGGATAAGATAGTGGGAATTAATATTTGGTGATCAGTTACTGTGTGCCACAACTGTAATATCCATGTTACATGACTTATCTAGTTCAATCCTCACAACACATGCTAAAATAAATATAACTATCCCTCCTTTATAGATCAAGTAGATAAGATTCTCATCCTCAATTCTTCACTGCCTCCCTTTGCCATGTGATTTTTCAGTATTTCCCACAAGAGAAAGCAGAGGCCATTTCTTCATTGCATTGATGTTGAGATTGGTCATGTAACTTACTTTGACTAAGTATATGTGGGCAGACATGATGTGAACCATAGGTTACATGTTTGTGTGGATTAGCTTCTTTCATCCTATGCTTCTGCTATTCACCATTTAAAGAATTTACCTGTATTGCTAGTATTTTGAGGAGAATAACGAAAAATGTGGAGTAGACCTAAACTTAATTCAGAGACTGAAGCCAAGCCAAACCAACCCAATCCAAGCTGAGCCCAGAACTACAATCCGCCCAAAGACTTGGTGAATGAGTAATATATGCTTATTGTCACAAGCCATTGAAATTTTGGAGTTGTTATGCAACATTATTGCAGCAATAGCTGACTGATAAACTGGCTTAAAAATCATACTCTCAGTTAATTGGTCTGTTTCACTTTAAAACTTGTCCTCTTTATTACTTACTACACTACTATAACACAATTCAGTCTACAGTTATGAAAAATATTAGTGTTAATTGAAATCTTTTCAGTGTCTTGATTAACTTATTTTTGCTTCCTACGTTACGTATTTATATATAAATATATATTTATACATGTATATATTTTTATGTGTATATATGTATATATGTGTTTATAAATATGTATAAAATATATACATATGTATTTTAAACCATCATCTTTTAATAGTGTCCTTGGGCATTTATCATAAAATCTAATGAACTTGGCATATCCATACTGGTAACTTTAGGACTGAGCTATCTTGGTATAGGATATAGTTCTTACACTTTTTAAATGAGAAAGAGATAGTATTAGCACTCCAGGAGAATTATTTAGGATATTGCCAAAGAGTTACACTCCAAATAATTAAATCCCTAGGTGGTTCATGGGGATTTGAAAATTTTTCGGGTTAAATTCATTTGGTATAAGAGAAGCCTCTGGTACTTCATGTTGTATCCTCTCAGCTTATTTCTGATTACAGCCATGACTGTGGTGGACAGTTGATGCAAGTTTAGTCTTAGTCTGATAGTGTCCCACTTCAAGCATGCACTGTGTGTTTTTCAGCCTTCTGCCCCAGCGTCTTCTCCAAAGATACAGGAGCTTGCTGGACCCACTTGCAAGGGAAGCCTGGAAGTTGGGGAGTTAATGTCTTCACGGCACTCTCAATCAGTGAGGCATGAGGTTAGTGGACAAATGCTCTACCTTTCTGCCATTGGGTGGGCCATTCTGGAAGGCATTCTACTTATTTCTCAAAGGTCCAGGTGTAATTTCTCAAAGGTCCAGCCACCTTTGCCGAGCAAATGCCTTGATAACCTTTTATTGATAGCTTTTATTTTCCTGCCCTGCTCTCTTTACTCTCACTCCTACCTCCCAGGGTCATCTCCCAAGTAAGCTATCTGCACCCAAATACTTCTTAGGCAGGAACCGAAACTAAGACAGAGGCATTTCCTAGAAGTTTAGGAACAAATACTTCCCTTTTAAACCCCTGTCATGGCAGGGGAGATTAGAAAGGCAAGCTTAGAGCTCACTGGGTATGCCCTCATGTTTTGTTACTTGCATCACATTGCCAGATGTCCATTTGGCACTAGGACTGCACCAGTGCCACACACTGATCTTTAAAAGGATCTGGACCACATTCCCAGTTATTGGCATGTACTTACCTTTGTTTTTTATTGAGGGGACATGTTGCTGTGACACAGAACAGCAATGAGGAGGAATGACCTTTAGTGCTCAAAGCCTGACTCTATGACTCAGCAGATACCTTTGGGCCTGTTACTAAACCTCAGTTTACACTTCTGGAAAGTGAGGATAATAATACCAACCTCATTAATTTGTTGTGAAGATAAAATGAAAATCATATAAATGTAAGGTTTTATAGATTGTAAAAGACCTTAAAAAATATTGGAGTCCCCGTTGCATATTCATTATGAACATCAGGAGTAAAACTACTTGAGTCCAACTTACTAGTTATGTAACTTTGGGCAGGTTACTCTTTGTACCTATTTCCTCTTCTTTCAATGGAGATAATGACAGTACCTACTTCAGAGGGTTCTTGAGAAGATAAAATGAGATGATAAAATTCATGTAAAGAATTTAAATGGTACCTGAAACATGGTTAATAAACATTAAGTATTATTATTAATAAATGTTAAGTATTATTAAATGTTGTGTAAACAAGTTATTGAGTGCCTGAAGTAGGCAAAGTTCTGTGCAGGAAACAATATTGTTGTGTTGTATTGTGTATTGTATTGTAAGCATCTGATGTTACTTACCTTGATAAATATAGCCCTTTTTCAAATATGTACAATACCAAGCAGTCTGTACAGAAAACTGATGGAAGGCTAGAGTTGAGCAGAGCAGGCACTGAAGGATGGTTACTATTTTGACATATGGAGATGCAGACTGGGTGTTTTGGTCAGCAAGAGGTACAAAAGCAAAGGCACAGACATAGGAATGTCATGGGATTTAAGGCTAGAGAAGTGTGTTGGGTCTAGATTGTAGAGTTCAGAATTGCAGGCCCTGGAGTCTGGATTCTCTCTGGAGAGCAGGAGAGAGCCAGTGAAGGACTTTTGAGCAATGTGATGTGAACAGACCACCACTTAAGAAAATTAACCTGATGGCGGCTTGTGTAAAAGAACAGCCGAGGGAAGGCCTAGACACCAAGAGATCAGTTGAAGGAAATGTGCAGTACTCTAGAGGTGAAGTGATAAGGGCCTGAACCAAACTAGGGCAGTGGTAGCAGAAAAGTCAAGACAGATGTGAGAGGCATATTGTTAAACAAGCCAAGAGGATGATAGGTTCTTTACTGGGTACTCAGAACAGAGCTTACCTACCTGGTTCACCTCAACAGATAGCATAGTCAATATACAAATAACCAGGGACTCATACACAGGTGCACAGCACATTCATACTTATGGTATGCTTTTGTGGGGTTCACAAAAGGTAACCTTTCCACCACGAGGCTTATGCTTTATCATGCTGAAGTCCTTTGAAAGGTGACACTGGAAACATTTAAAGAGGAATTAACAATAGGTAGTAGCAAGTGTACACATTTCTTGAGCAGTAACTATTCCTGCTGATGAATTATTCATGACGTTAGGTTGACCCTGTAAACATTACTGCAGAGTCGCTGTTGAATATTATTAGTATTATTATCCTTATTTTACAATTAAGAACATAATGGTTCAAAATGAGAACCTTATAAGCTCTCAAATCCTGCCCATCCTTTCAATGTTTTCACAAATGTCATTTCCTTCCTGAGGAATTTTCAGAGCTGGGAGCAATCTGAACTCACTGAATGCTTATATTCTTTCATCACATATAGAGCTTGCGTTAGAGTCATTTGTGTGTATGTGTTATCTCATGTATTAGACTGTAAGTTTCTTTAAGATAGAGGCTTTTGTATTCCTTTTTGTATTCCCCATAGAATCCTAGTGCCTGACACATAGTAGGGGGCTCAATAAATGTTTGTAGAATTGATTAAAGTGTGAACACTAAAAAGCCCGAGTCTGCTGTGGATATGTTTATTTGGATGTATAATTGGCAGTTTCCCCATGGATCCCTTCAAGAGTGTGTTGATACCTTAGCAGCTCTTTGAAGTTATGGTGCATTTAATTAAATGTGTTATCTTTTTAGAGATCTTGTACCAAGAAAATAGATTGCATATTATAATGTATTCATTGTTCATTCCAAAAAAAGACCTATGCATCTGTTTAAGTATTCAGTTAACAAAGATACCAGAGATGAGAAATAACAGGTGTTCCAAGTAATTACCAATTCTAGTCAACCAAAAATTAGATGTTTTAAAATCTTCTCTTTTCTATTTCATATTCTTTTTTTTTTTTCCTTTTGATCAGAAGTGATTCCTTCCTAGATAATTCCACATGGTTCTGTTTTTCCTATTGTCTTGACATTGTGTAAGAATTTGAAAAAGAATGTTGCAATCTGTTTCTCTGAACTGTGGTTTATCAAGAGGATCTGTTTTAAGCCAAAGAGAGTTTCCTTGTATGGGATCATGCTAGGAGGTTGTGCGCGCCTTGCAGGCAAATGGAGGACTGCAGCCTCATGGAATTGTGCTGCTGTGGGGGCTGTAGGCTCCTGGCCCTCTTGGAGGGTGGATACTCCATGCCTTGTATCATATAGCTTTTAGCTGCCAGCATCTGCTAGGCTTTGGAATACCCAACTCTGATTTTCTGGGAGGCTTTTATGGTATTACGGCACTGTTTCTCAAATAGGGTTGATCATAAGACCCACTTTGGTTGCTTGTAAAAATGTTAAATCTCAGGCCTTACTCTAGAAAGAAACTGCAGGAGAGGGGCCTAGAATGTCTGTTTTTTGTTTTTGTTTTTGTTTTTGTCAAGTACCTTAGACAAGTCTTATGATCAGGCAAATTGAAGCACTTTCATATACTGGCTTAAAATAACTGGCTGCAGTAACTTATACTTAACTGGCCATGTGAATCTTTTTTCTTTTTCTTTTTTTTTTTTGAGAACGGTCTCACTCTTGTCACCCAGGCTGGAGTGCAGTGGTGCTCACTGCAACCTCTACTTTCCAGGCTCAAGCAATCCTCCCACCTCAGCCTCCCAAGTAGCTGGAACTATAGGTGCATGACACCACACTTGGCTAATTTTTATAGCAACAAGGTCTCACTATATTGCCCAGGCTGGTCTCAAACCCTTGGGTTCAAGTGACCCTCCTGCTTTGGCTGCCAAAGTGTTAGGATTTCAGGTGTGAACCACTGTGCCCAGCCCCATGTGAGTCTTAAGCAACTTAAATCCCCTCTCTAATTTAGTTTCCTCAACTGAAAAATGGGGATAATTATAGTACCTACCTATTGTTAGGATTTTAGAGAGGATTAAAGTAAATGATAATGTATGTTAAATACTTAGCAAAGCACCTGGGACAGAGTAAGCACTCAATAAATGTCAGCTATATAGTGAACTCTTCTCCCCTATTATTATATCAGCAATCTTGCCTTCTAGAGGATGTTTATATACATCCCTAGTTCACTTTACTCAGCAGGAAATCTTTCCTGTCTAGTTTGAAAAGATTCTTTGAGGATCCCCTGGGAGATCACAGTATTTTAGAATTGGAAAGGACTTAGATGCCTTATAATCCGGTACCCCAATTTTGTTTGCTCATTTTTGGTCTACTCCCTCTTCATTTTCAGTTAACTTCCAATTCATGTGTAGTTGAAGCTTGTCCTTCAAGGACAATCACCCTTCTACCAGCTACCTAGACTGGGAACATGGATAACCTTCCAGACAGAGCCCTCTCATGCCCAGAAAAGGCCCTGCTCTGCTGTTCCTTTGATGGTTAGAAGGTTTGCCCTTCCGGCAAACATAGCCGCTTTGCCTCCCTTGCCCAAAGAGAAGTTCTATGAATGCTTGTCCTGAATTTTAAAAACCAGCATGTTTTCCTCACTATTAGCCATCTAAGAGTTAGTCTTACTAAGTTTTTGTTATGTTTGTCTAGTTCTCTGTCTACTTAGATAAACCTGAATCAGTGTTATCTTTATTAGACCATGTATTCTTGAAAGTCAAAGATTTCCATTTTTTCCATTGCCTTCTGGAAAAATTCTGTCTAATTACATAATAAAGGCACAAAAACATGATGCCGATGCTGATCATAAATACTCAGACTATTATAATGTCTTTGTCTCAGTAAAATTCTTTTGGTCCTGTGATTCCATCTCATTTTAAGGACAATTTAATGCACGATTAATCTTTGTCCCCTGCATTTCTCCAATTTTAAGAACCACTTCTTTGTGTGTGCTAATTTGTCAAGCAAAACTTTAACAAACACCTCCTGGAAATTTAGAATAGAGAATTTTGAGGCATTCATTTGATTTTCTTGGCATTTACTTCCTTAAAGAAGTCAAAAAATTATTGAAGCATGACTTTTTCATTCCAGAGACTGCATTGGCTATCCTTAATCAAGCTGTGCTTTTCTCAGTGTTCCCCATTTAATCTCCTAAAATACTTCCTAAGACTTTGCCCCCTACAATGGAATCAAAACTAAATGGTCTGTAATTTCCTCAAGTGTTCCCAGATCCTGTTGTAAATAATGACATTGTGCTGGCCACTTTCCAGTCTGAATGAAGTGACCTTGTAAAAATGTCTGCTTACTCTTCTATAACGTCTTTTTCTACTTTCTGTAGGGCTCTTGCATACAGCTTGGCAAACAATACCTATTCCAAGAAACACCATTCTTCACCTCAGTCGTGTTATTTGCTTCATATAGGCAGTACCGTATCCAGAGCTAAAAGACTTATGCTTAAAAGTTAATTAGTATTTTAAAATAAGGAATTATAGGTACACTGTGGTAGGAGGCCAGCCTGTATGACCTATGAATATTTGAATTGACAGGAAGAAAATCTATTGTGGTTTGTAAACTCTTCAAAAAAATGTTGAACTTCCATTCAATCATTAGATAGCTTTTATTGTATTCATGTTCAATATCTTTTTTTAATAAAAAAGAAAACATTTCCTACTTTATAACACAAAACATTTAAAATTAGTTATTCCAAGCTGGCAGTTAGAAAAGAAGTATTTCACCCTCTTGGTAGAGACAGTTGTTCTTTCTGAGCAATTACATTGTATTCAAATGAGAAATATGTGATTTCTGGTTATACCAATGCTTTCCCCCTCTTCACCCCAAAGAGGATCAGGACATCTGGCATTGCCTAGGAAAAAGCAGCTAAACTCACTGAAGGGGCAGGGTACTTCTCACATGAAGACAGACTAAAAATACAAAAACCTATTAGTGTGAAATAACAAAAGCTTACAGGGGAGAAATAACTAGGACCTCTGAATCCTAAGCTATGTGGGACCACCGGCTAGACAAGCTAATTAAACTTTGCAACCCCCATTTGTTATGGCCCACATGGGCATATGAGTTTTATGAATTAGATACAAGTTACTGCAACTAAAAGAAGTTAAATAGATGGAGATATTGGTAGTGTTCAACCCAATGACAGTGATTTTATTATTTTCTTTAAGAAAAACCAAAGGGTAATAAATTTATGGGAGCATTTTGGACTTGATAAATCAAATCAAAATTTAAAAACATTCTTGGAAGTTATAAAGCTAACAAATAGACCAGCAAAATTTTTTCTTCGTAAAATAAGAGCAAAATAACTATTTAAAAAATGACTGTTTCTGATTTTTGGCAAAGTGATTACCTTTGCTTGTGCTTTCATAAGTATAAACATTACATGCATTTGTGGGGGCCAGTGTGTACTCTTTTACCTTCCCTTGGCATTGCTCATCTCTATCAAACACCTACAACACAGTGTGCTCCATTATAGGAGACTGGCAGCACGGTTCTATTTAATTAACTAATTGGATGACTCATCCTACACCTAAATTAGCATTATTAGGTCTTTTATAATGATTGTTGAAGCATTGTAAATTAATTTTCTTACTGGCTATAACCATTATTTGCTGCTATCACAATATTAAGAGATAATCCATGCACAGTGGGAAATCTCTATGGGCAGAAAATGAATGTGGTCATCCTTGGATCACCAATTAGGAAACCTATTGTGTGGCAAAAACATGATTTCTATGCTGTAATATGATCAAATAACCATTAATTACCTTCACTAGTAAGAATTACCTTCTTTGTTGGAGAAGTATTGCATTACATATTATAGTTCAAAAATGTCAGGAGAAACCAGCAACAAAAACATCAATTTCTAAAAATGATACATGTAATCTAAATCATATTAACCTAACATGCTACATGTCAGGTTAAATTAGCATAAGCTTTGTTACAGAACCTGAATAATATAGCTTATCTCTTAGCCCTTAGATGTATTGATTAAATAGGTCATCCTCACCTGTCTACAAATACAAATATAATCAAACTGCACTGTTCTCTAGGGAACTGAATGGCAAAAAAACTCTAGTAAGCGTCCAATCCAGGCCTGTTTCCTTGCCTAATACAGAGATGACAGAATGAAGATAAGCAAGTCCCTGCAGCCCAGTGTGTGACTGTGTGTGTGCATGTGTGTGTTTGTGTCTATATGCGTAAATATGCATACTTCCTATGGACAGAGTCCAGGAGCTTTCATGAGATTCTAAAGGGGATCTGTGACAGACACCTTGCCCCTCCAAAGTGCGCTGACTTAAAAGGTTTATGGAAGCAGCCACTGTGCCAGACTGCTTCTGCATGATTTCACCGTTCAGCAGCCATGAATGATTGCGAGTGCCAACCTGAGGTCTGTCTTGCTTAGCTTGGCCGTTACAGCCTCCCTGGGCAGAGGTGTGGTGTGATGGTCAAGAGAGGGAGCCCTACATTAGACTCTAGGGCGTGTTCCTAACTCCTACCCTTTATAAGCTGTGCCACCTTAGGCAAGTTACCCTAGCTTCTTTATGGCTCAATTTTAAGACATTACTCACCTCAAAACTTTGTCATGACTATATATATTCTCAGAGTGAATATAAACCAGAAACCATAAAATGAAAGTCTAATAAATTTGACTACACAAAATTAAAATCGCTGCAGGACTATAATGATCATAGATAAAAATGATTCAAAATGATATATTTATTTTGAAATAATTCAGCAGGGCAGCAGAAGAGAAGCAGTGTGGTGGGGGTGGGGGATGGGTATTAAATGAATTAAGTTTTTTATGTATTTTGATAATGCTGGGTAGGTATTTGGACCATAAGAATTTATTAAGCTATTCTTTCTATTCTGTATATGTTTGAAATTTTCTGACTAAAATATTTAAAAGTAAAAATAAAACATTAAAAGACCATAGACAATATCAGAAGAATAATGACAAATTAAGGAAAAAGATATAAGATATATAACACCTAAGGGACTAATTTCCCTAATATATAATGAAGCCAACAAATCAATAGGAAAAAGAACAACAAAGCGACATTTTAAAAAGAGAAAATGGCTAGGCACAATGGCCTTTTTCTGTATTGCCAACACTTTGGCAGGCCAAGGCAGGAGGATCACTTGAGGCCAGGAGTTCAAGACCAGCTTGGGCAACATAGCAAGACCCTATATCTGAAAAAAATAAAAATAAGTTAGCTGGGCATGGTGTCTCAAGTCTATAGTCCTAGCTACCTGGAGGCTGAGGCTGGAAGACTGCTCGAACCCAGAAGGTTCAAGCTTCAGTGAGTCATGACCACACCACTACGCTCCAGCCTGGATGACAGAGTGAAACCCTGTCTCTAAAAAAGTTTAAATTAAATTAAAATTTTAAAAATAAAAATAAAAACAAAAGAAGTGCAGTCAATTTACAGAAAAGAGGAAAACTACATCAAGTAATGCTTATTTTATTTTTATTATTTTAATAAGATTTAGATAGTTTCTTTTAATTTAAATACATATATTTATTATAAATTTTTATTTATATTTTTATGAACTGAAATTTTATTGTATTTAAAATACATTAAGTAATGATCATTTTATTCATAACAGGAGAAATACAAATTAAAACAACAGTGAAAGTTCACTTTTGACTGATCAAATTGACAAAGATCAGAAAATTTGATAGTACATTGTAGGTGAGTATAAAGTAGCACAACTTTTTTGGAGAGCAATTTTATAATATCTGTGAAAAGTTAAAAAGCACATTCCTATTAACTCATAAATTCCATTTCTGGGAATTAGCTTTCATATATACTTACACATGAATTCAAAGCAAAACATATATGGATATTCGATACAGTTGGTTGTAACAGTAAAAGATCTGCAACATTCTAAGTGTCTGTTAGGAGGGAACTGGTTAAATAGATTATAGCGCATCTGTAGAATGGAATACTAAGAAGCAGTTTTTAAAAATGAAGCAGCTCTATAATAGCAGTATGAGCTGATCTCTAATACATTGAAAATGAAAAAAGCAAGAAGTATAACGGCATATTAGTACATGGTCATTTGTGTAAAAACATATACATGTATATGTTTGCATATGCACAGAATATGATGTATCCCTAGAAGGATATACAAAAAGTATAGCAGTAGTTGCCTTAGGAAAGGGGAAATGAGATATGGAAAGATATAGGCATGGGAGGGAGTCTTACCTTTCACTCCATATGCTTCTGTTCTTTTAAATTTTTTTTACATGGTTATATATTAGCTATTTGTAAATGTATTTTTTACATTTAAGTACTTAGAATAGTGTTGGTATGTATCAAATACTCAATAAATGTTATCTACTCTTGTTATTATTATTCCACTGTTACTCCAACCACCATTTCTGGCCTTATCTTTCACTACATCACTGCAAAACCTTTTTACGACCATTAAAGTGAATAATAACCAGTCCCCAAATATTCCATATGGTTTGCTATTTCCATGCTTATATTCATGTGCTTACTTCTACTTGGAAGGCCATTTTTCCATCTTTACCTGTTGAAATTCTACTTATTCTTCAGGGTCCAATTCAAATAACACCTCCTCCTGAATTATATACTAGCCCTATAACCTTGAAATATTTATGTAATTGTGTCTCAGTTTTCTTATCTGTTAAATGAGATATAATAGAAACTGTAAAGATTAAGTGTGATAAGGTGAGTAAACCTACTCATGCATTTATTCAACATCTATTTCTTGGCTGGGCATGGTGGCTCATGCCTGTATTCCCAGCACTTTGGGAAACTGAGGCAGGAAGATCACTTGAGTCCAGGAGTTCGAGACCAGCCTGGGCAGCATCTTGAGACCTTGTCTCTACAAAAAGTATAAAAATTAGCCAGGCAGTATTCAGGAGGCTGAGGTGGGAAGATCACTTGAGCCTGGGATGTTGAGGCTGCAGTGAGCCTTGATCACACCACTGCACTCCAACCTGGGCAAGAGAGTGAGACCCTGTCTCAAAAGAAAACATACACACATGCACACCCCCATATATTTCTTGACCAACTATTTTATATAGGGATTACAGTATTCACTAGGGCTAGAACCACAGAAAAGTTGACAGTATCTCTGTCCTCATGAAGCTCACAGTCTAGAAAGGAAATTTGAATACAGTTGATAAATGCTATGGCAGCTGTAAGCATAGGGTATGGAAATACAGAGGAGGGGCATCTAACCAAAAAAAAAAAAAAAAAAAAAAAAAAGCAAACCCATGGGAGAAATAGTTGGGTTGGAAAGAAAGTCAGAAACAAAATCAGATTTGTTTTGCTTCAGAACTTTGAGTGATCTTAAAGAATTTATTTACAAGCAGGAAGCAGCAGAAAATTTAGAAAGATTAGTCTTGATACCTCTCAGGGTCATTGGTCTCTGTGCTTCTGATAATCTAAGGAAATTCACCGAAAACCTCCAGTAGCCACCTGCTCTTTGCCCTGACAGTTCTCAAGGAAGTGGTCCTCCTGCTGCCCCAAGCCTGTCAGCCTCCATGAAACCAAGCCTTCCACACTATAATACAGAAAAGTAAAGTCTTTGCTTTCCGGGCTACCTTGTAGCAATTTGAGGCTCTGTCATCAGTTTCTGCTACGTTTCAAAGATCCAGGAGAAGCTTAGTGTTGTGTCAAGACGCCGATGGACCCATCACAGTTTAATCCAACCTACAACCCAGGGTCTCCACAAATGCTCACCGAAGAAAATTCCCGGGACGATTCAGGGGCCTCTCAAATCTCCTCCGAGACGTTGATAAAGAACCTTAGTAACTTGACTATCAACGCTAGTAGCGAATCTGTTTCCCCTCTATTGGAAGCTTTACTCCGTCGAGAGTCTGTGGGGGCAGCAGTCCTCAGGGAAATCGAAGATGAGTGGCTTTACAGCAGGAGAGGAGTAAGAACACTGCTGTCTGTGCAGAGAGAAAAGATGGCAAGATTGAGATACATGTTACTGGGCGGAGTTCGTACGCATGAAAGAAGACCAACAAACAAGGAGCCTAAGGGAGTTAAGAAGGAATCAAGACCATTCAAATGTCCCTGCAGTTTCTGCGTGTCTAATGGATGGGATCCTTCTGAGAATGCTAGAATAGAGAATCAAGACACCAAGCCACTTCAGCCATAAATCTTATTCTTGCACCTTTTTTTCTTGCTAGTAATTTTATATAGCAGGTTGAGAAAGCTACTCTATGCTAGTATAGACTATACACCAATAATTTTGATAATGAGTTCTAGGATGTATTTTTCTTGTATCTTTTTCTTCCTACTATGATACTAGTAATTCATAAGGGATCTGTGTAATCTGAATGTATTTCAATAACTTTAGCTCTACTGTTTGATTTGACCCAAAGAAGCCAAGACGATATAAGTATTCCCATGTGTCTTAGAAGCCCAAAGTCAGTGAGATGAAACCCAACATCAAGAAATTGAAGCAAAGTTACTTGTGGATAAAGAAAGCATTAGGTAGTTTGGCTATAGCATAATTAGATTTTCTGGCTTTCAAAAATTTGGATTGCAATCACAGCAAACTTTGTTATTTTTACAGTTTTCAGTACAAAAGTGTTTATATAGAAACAATAAAGTTGACATTTGAGTACCTTTAAAAAAAAAAAAAAGAAAAGTAAAGTCTTTGACTGAAGAATCAGGCAGATCTCTAGGTAGTGTAGCTAGGAGAAATAAAAGTTGAACTTAGCTGTTCCTTTGTAAGAACCAAGGGACAGGGCCTTCCAGTATTAGGAGTTCCAACAGATACCCCTCCTCAGCCCTCCAACCTGCCCACTTTTACCAGAGGTGCCCTCCTCATCTGAGCTCCCTTTCCTCCTTCTGGTCTCCCCACCCCTCCTCATCCCAGATCTGTCTTTAAGTTCTCAGTTAGGTGACCCCAGTGCTCTCTGGAAGAAACCCTACCCCATTCCTCAGGAGGGAGCTACTTCCTGTGGCTCCTTCTCATACTTGCAAACTCAAGCAGGGCTTTAGGTTTGGCCCAGATGTGAGTTGAAGTTCCCCACTCAGTCTGTAGCATCCAGAAGACTATTTTCATTCCCTTAAGAAAATTTACAGAATTTCATAAAATCTGCCTGCCCCACAAGTGTACAACTGATAAGCTGTAATACATTTGAGCACTGAATTTTTCAGGAACACGTCTCCCCTCAGTGCCAATCCCTTAGGGCCATCAGGTTTGGCAAACAAGCACGTTGAAGATGGAGTATGAAGTTTGTTTTTTATTAAATAGAACATTGTTGGCATTTTCTTCCAAGAAAAAATTGCTACATAACTAGATATGTCAACTAACAAAGATGGAGATAACAGAACATAAGGTGATATGGTTTGGGTCTGTGTCCCCATCCAAATCTCATATTGAATTGTAATCCCTAGTGTTGGATGTGGAGCCTGGTGGGAGGCGATTAAATCATGGGAGTGGTTTCTAATGGTTTATCACCATCTCCCTAGTGCTGTCTTGTGATAGAGTTCTCAAGAGATCTGGTAGTTCAAAAGTGTGTGGCACCTTCCCCTCCCCTCTCTCTCTCCCTCTCTGCCATGTGAAGAAGGTGCTCACTTACACTTTGCCTTCTGCCATGAGTGTAAGTTTCCTGAGGCCTCCCCAGCCATGCTTCCTGTACAGCCTTTGGAACTGTGAGTCAATTAAACCTTTTCTTCATAAATTAAAAAAAAAGAAAGAAAGAAAATTTAATGACAGTCTAGGCTCCCCATTAGTGAGACATGTCCTCAGTGAAGTAAGTGCAACTTGTAACAACAATAATTCATCTTCCTAGACTCCATAAAGGAAAGAACATTGCTTTTAGCTTGGTTTTGACCTTCACCTTTAGGGACCACCACTACCATCAGCCCCTGCCATCATTATGCCAAGAAACATTTTCCTCTTACAACTGAGACCTCACAGCTTTACAGAAGCACCAAGTTAAGCTTGTTGAAAGAATGGGTACTAGTTCACATAGAGTAGCTCCGATGAGATCCTTGTGACTCTAGAGATCCTTCTGGTGGAGGTGAAGAGAAAGTTTTGCCAGTTCATACAGCTACAAGTTGAATAATTTATCTTTCAAGTATTTAAGTTTGGTTTGCCTTTTTGCGGGGAGGGGAGTAGAGTTTAAAAAAAAAAAACAAAAGAAAATACAAACAAACAAAAACCCGCAAAACAAATACCTCTGAGCCAAAAATGAACTTCTGTGATTCTGCAAAAAGTCCTGGAGTAGGCTCAGGTATCTCCCCATGGCCTCTGCAACCATGCCCAGCTGAAACAATAGGCAAGAGAAGCTCGTATTAGTTTTGATCAAGAAGCCATGAGCTGGAGATATGATCTGGTTCAACAGCATGCACAATCACATGGCGTCCCAGTGGCACTTGTCAGACACACCCCCGGTTTCCAGTCTGCCTTTCATTAAGTGTGAAGCCCAAAGCCTCTCTGAGCATGTGCAAGGCAACAGATTTATGCTGCCCTCTGCTGGTGAGCAGCTCTACTGCAAATCTTTTACAAGGAGGACTGAGCCTGGGCTGGTTGACTTCTTCCCTTCTCCCAGCCCCACCTCCTAGTAGACTCAAAGATAAATAACCCTGCTAGACTTAGAAGTTGAGTTCTGAGTGGGGCTGAGGTGAGAGTAGAGTGGTGGAGAATATAGATCAGGAGAAGTAGAAAGACCACAAACCAGGGATGTGTCACTATTAGAATCCAATATAGCCTAGGGGGCTCATCTGTGTATTTGCTTTGTTGGGGGAAATTTTCATTCGAACTCTCTCATGACATTTGAGTTACTTAGTACTGAATGCATTTTGTGATGTATTCAGAAAATGCATTTCACTAATGTTTCCCTAATTCATGGGGGCTGCTGTTTTACCAGTCACCATGATCCTTAATCAGTGGAGTTGTATAGCATGTAGTCTGTAAAAGTGCTTAATAAAAATCATTTAATTCTAAATTACATGAGTGCACTTAACCCTAAAGATATTAAAACTGATTGTTTGATGTATTGCCATGAGTAGGTAGAAATTCAAAAATAAAAGCTTCCTGCACTTAAATCAAAGAGCACCAAGCTCATAGTCACTCGGTACAAGCACATGCATCAGTGTCATGAAGCTGGGCTATGATAAACTAACCCATTTTGGGCTTTTAAACTGTAAATATGAAGTACTTGAACTTGATCAGAGATGAGATACATAAGTGAGTTTTTCTGAGCAAAGTACTGTGTGTGACCTGATAGCTTGCTAAAAGCCTGTGGAGATCACCTGCCACTTATTTGCAGACTTGGTGAGGGTGGCAGTGGGGCTAGCTGCTGATGTTTGGCAGGGTTAATGTGCACTGCTAGCCTAGACTCTAGGCTAGAGGCAGGCCTAGTGTGAGCAAATAGGAGAGAGGGGATTTTCATTGACTGAATTGTTATCCTTGGGTTCTCATTGTAGCTACATTCACACTTGCTTAACTTGCTCAGTACAGCCCTCAACACGATGCCATGTCCATGAGGAAACTTAAATCAGTCTTGATTATGGATCACAATAAATTTTGGAGGGATATGTCTGTTAAATTTGAGGAAATCTCAATAATTTCCATGGTTTAATGAGTGTGGTAAGAAAGATTATAAAATGCATACAATCTCTCATTCTCTCTCTCTCTTTCTCTTTCTGTTCTAGATATTAAGTATGCTTACACTGAAGCATTGAAGTTTTTTTCACAGTTAAGAGACTAGCTTTCTGGGTTTTTTAAATAAAAGCCTTCTTCTAAGTGGTTAACCATAGATGAAAAGAAAAGGAGTATCTTCTTTTCTCCTTCCCTCCATGTTAGCAATGCTTTATGTTTGACTTTCAAGGCTTCTGTGAATCCTTGAAAGAAAGGCGGAGATTTCTAGAAATATCAGGGACAATATATGGATCCCATACATCCCATTGAGAACCAAGCACAGAGTTGGCTAATAAAGTAGCCATTGTGAGTTATCTATGCAGTACCTGTTGAGTGCACTATAATATGGCAGGTAGTAATGGAAGGCATCAATAAAGAAATAGAAAATAAGATACTATATTTTTGGAGAATGCACTCTAACAGGTCTAATTCTGCTAGAAAACAAACACTCTGTTAAATTATCCTATAAGTACATTACTTTTATTACTCAACTGACTATCTAAGGCAGTTTCTTTGGAAACAGACCGAATTGAAGATTGTGGGCAGGAGGTTTGTTGGGAGAGTATAGGAAGTGAGAGAAGCAAGACTGGGCGGAGAAAGAAGTTGAGCTACATTGCAGTTGCAATAGAGGTCTCATCCGGTCTGTTGGGGAGCTCTGGGGCCAGGATGGTCTTTCAGAGTGGTCTCAAGTTGAGGCAGATGAGCCTGGATTTTGTACTTCCCTGCCTTGACTGGTCATTGGATGCAGGCTTCCCCATGGAGGGAGCATAGTCTTGAGTGAGACAGTTCCCTTTGGCCCAGGGAAATTTCCAGAGAGAGAGAGTCAGCCTTGAGGCTTCAGCAAGCAACACTCCGAGCAGTTGCAGGAAATGAGGGCTGTGGTTCTGAAAGGTTTCTAGGTGGTGCATGATAGCAGCAATCCCCAACCTTTTGGCATCAGGGTCCAGTTTCATGGAAGACAATTTTTCCACAAACCAGGGAGTAGGGAGGATGGTTTGGGGATGATTCAAGTGTATTACATTTATTGTGCACTTTATTTCTATTATTATTACATTGTAATATATAATGAAATAATTATACAACTCACCATAATGTAGTATCAGTGGGAACCCTGGGCTTGTTTTCTTGCAACTACATGGTCCCATCTCGAGGTGATGGGAGACAGTGACAGGTCATCAGGCATTAGATTCTCATAAAGAACACACAACCTAGATCCATCTCATGCAAAATTCACAATAGGGTTCACACCTCTATGGGAATCTAATGCCTCTGCTGATCTGACAGGAGACGGAGCTCAGGCGGTAATGTGAGCAATGGGGAGTCGCTATAAATACAGATGAAGCTTCACTTGCTTACCTGCTGCTCACCTCCTGCTGTGCGACCCGGTTCCTAACAGGCCACTGAATGGTACCAGTCCATGGCCTGGGGACTGGGGACCCTTGCACTATAGCATCCACAGTAGTCCAACCTGTGTGCTTCTTGGATTCACTTGCTTCTTACAGTAAGTTTACTTTATGTGGAAACAGCCTCTCCAGGTTTCTGGTTGGTGTTGCTTCTTGGGTATACTTACAGAAGGAAAATAGGGAAAAAAATGGCAGTTCCTGCTGCAGCAGCTGGTCTCAAGGATCATATCTGATACTCATTGTCTTCCTCCTCTATTACCCATTCTAGATTCCTTTCACCCTTGGCTAGCACCTCTGCTGGTCTAGGGAACTTAGTTGGTGGAATAATCTAAACTCTCAACCCTGTGGGGTATGAGCCCCTGGTCACCATGCACTTCTCAGGCCATCGCTGCTGCATGTGTCCTTGTCCTTTTGCTGTCAAAACTGGGCAGGGGAATTCAAAAATACACCACTGCCCCTGCATCCTTTATGCCATTCTCTCCAGGATATGATCATGCTGTTGATTAATTGGCAGGTATGGAAACAGATTCAAAGGCTTCCACTTGGCCTTCCCACCTATAATAGCTCTTACTCCACAGAAGAATGAACCAAAGTGAGAGTTCTAACTACCAAATACGTTCATTGCAAATGAGCATTCAAAGACTTGCAGGCTAGGTGCAGTGGTTCATGCCTATAATCCCAGCACTTTGGGAGGCCAAGGCAGGCAGATCACTTGAGGTCAGGAGTTCGAGACCAGCCTGGCCAACATGGGGAACCCCATCTTTACTAAAAATACAAAAAATGAGCCAGGTGTGGTGGCACACACCTGTAGTCCCAGCTACTTGGGAGACTGAGGCACGAGAATCACTTGAGCCCGGGGGGGCAGAGGTTGCAGTGAGCTGAGATTGCACCACTTTATTCTAGCCTGGGTGACAGAGCAAGACCCTGTTTCCAAAACAAAACAAACAAACAACAACAACAACAAAAAGACTGGCAAAATGACCACTAGCTAGGTCAGTCTCAGTGGTCCCAGAGTGAGCTAGTCAGGACCCCATTTCTTATCTAGTCCCAACACATTCCCCAGTAACAAAAGGGTTATTCAGGTATTTCAGATCTCAGTTATCAGTGTCAACACAAACCCCATGCCTAACTGTCATCAGAATGTCTGGGTATTCCGCATATCTGCTCTGCAACTACCTTAGTATTGATATATGGTCTTAAGTCCCATTGGGGAAGAACTAGGGGAGTCGTTACTGTATGTACCAGCTGCAATGCTGCAGGGTCATTGCCCCTCATTTAACAAATGGACTTCAAAGTCTGAGAACTGGCTCATGTCTAGAAACTAGACAGGGGATCGTGGTTTTTTTTTTATTGGGGTGGTTACCCTGAGCTTCTTGGTCATTCATCCTTGATTTCTTCTGAGGGTATAAGTTAAGTAATATATTAGTCAGCTGCTCATCTATTGGGCCTCTGAGAGCACCATGTTCTGTTAACTGTCTCCTTAATTCTCTGACCACCCTGGTTGCCACTCTAACATAACTGTTCATTATAAGAACTGTGTTCACCTTGCTTTTGACAGCTAAGTGCTACCACCTAGCCTCTGCACTTTCAGGATATTATCAGCCCCATTCTACCATTGCCAGTTTTGTAATAAATTTCCTACCATGAGCCATGGCCTACAGAAGATGGCCATAATCTCTGAGAGTCTCAGCAATGCTAGCCTTCCATCTCACCAGCACATTCCTTATCACTTTGGCAAACAGAGCGCCCTCCAGGCCATCCCATAACACATTGTCTATTGGTGCTTATTTCTGGCCCTTTGGAGTATGGCTGCTGTGACATGTCCCTTTCTCTGTGCTTTTTGAACCTATCCTCCACCAACTGTCATGGACTTCTCACTTAATGTGGGCAATTGCTTTTTCCCAGATTCCCACAGCACACTAGTGAGGTCCTTGTCAGAAATTAAATCCTGTGTCCTAGGTGAGTGTTCCCATAGTGATACATTCTCCTTCATACAACTTTACCTTCCACCCTTCTTTATCCAGAATCTTCAGGATCCAATCCTATAATACCGTCCTGGCTTCTGCAAGTACATTTTTTCTAGGTTGCAAAGATCCTTAGCATATAGGCTTTCCTTTCTTATCGGCCCAGCACTTCCTCAGCCGGGTTATGTTGTGACTTGATCCTAGTTATTGATCTGGTGGTCAGGAGGGAAGCTCAGGTTAGACCCTGAGCAGAATTTGTGTGATCTGGCAAGCAGAGGCCTGCATCATCTTCAGTGTGGGGTGAGGGCGCACTGGCCATTAGTGGGGAGGAATGGTCTCCTGCAGGCCTACATGGTTCAGGCTGATCTGTTTTTAATGCTCTTGAGAACAATGGCCCAGGAAGTTCCAAGATCCCACTCCTCAATCAATCTTAGTGTAGGAGACTTGGTGAGGTTCAGAAGTTAACCTTCTCAGGGACTTTTCCACCCTTAAAACTGAGTGCTGGTCCTGATCCTCAGCATTGTCTGCCCTCCAGCTGTAGGAAATGAGAAACTATATATGGCCAAGGAGACCCTCTGACTTTTACACTTTGCCTTTAGTTGGTGATTAATTACCCCTCTGTTTTTCATTGTCTTTCTTAGATATATTGATAATACCCAGCACCAATCAACTGGTTTCCATAGTCCTTATAAGTAATACTTTTCCTGTACCTCTCAAACACCTAAGATTTTGTACCAGTCAGTACATCCCCTTCCACTGACATCTTATCTTACTCACTACCTGTAAAAGTTCTAACAATTGCATGGATACAGCATGCCAGGGCCTACCAGTACCTCACTTACCACCAGTTATGGTGTCCTTATTACCGGTTGGACAGTGGGTCACGCAGCCAATTAAAAGCCTCAAAATTCTATTCTACAGGAAGTCCTAGCCGGAGCAATCAGGCAAGAGAAAGAAAGAAAGAGCATCCAAACTGGAAAATAGGAAGTCAAACTATTGCTGTTTGCCAATGATATGATCTTATACCTAGAAAACCCTGAAGACTCTTCTAGAAGACTCCTGGATCCGATACATGAATTCAGTAAAGTCTCAGGTTACAAAATCAATGTACATAAATGAGTAACACTGCTATACACCAATAATGACGAAGCTGATTATCAAATCAACTCAGTCCCTTCTACAACAGCTACAAAAAATAAAATAAAATACCTAGGAATGTAATTAACCAAGGAAGTGAAAGATCTCTACAAGGAAAACTACAAAACACTGCTGAAAGAAATCATAGATGACACAAACAAATGGAAATACATCCCATGCTCATGAATTGAAAGAATCAATATTGTGAAAATGACCATACTGCCTAAAGCAATCTCCAGATTCAATGCAATTCCTATCAAATACCAACCTCATTTTTCACAGAATTAGAAAAAAAAAATCCTAAAATTCACAGGCAACCAAAAAAGAATCTGAATAGCCAGAGCAATCCTAAGAAAAAAAAAATCCTGGGGGCATCATACTACTTGACTTCAAATTATACTGCAAGCCTATAGGAAACAAAACAGCATGGTGCTGGTATAAAAGTAGATACATAGGCCAATGGAACAGAATAGAGAATCCACAAATAAAGACAAATACTTATAACTAACTAATCTTTGACAAAGCACAAAAACATAAGTTGGGGAAAGGACACCCTATTCAATAAATGCTGCTGGGAAAATTGGATCGCCACATGTAGAAGAATGAAACTAGATTCCTATCTCTCACCATATACAAAAATTAACTAAAAATGGACTAAAGACTTAAATATAAGACCTGAAACCATAAAAATTTTTGAAGAAAACCTAGAAAAATATCTTCTGGCATTGGCCTAGCCGAATAATTTATGACTAAGACTCCAAAAGCAAGTGCAACAAAAACAAAAATAAATAAATGATACCTAATTAAACTACAAAGCTTCTGCACAGCAAAAGAAGTAATCACCAAACTAAACAGACAACCTACATAATGGGAAAAATATTTGCAAATTATGCATCCAACAAAGAACTCATATCCAGAATCTACAAGGAACTCAAACAAGTCAGCAAGAAAAAAAAATCCCATCAAAAAGTGGGCTAATGACATGAATAGACATTTCTCAAAAGAAGATATACAAATGGCTAACAAACATATGACAAAATGCTCAACATCACTAATAATCAGAGGAATGTAAATTAAAACCACAATGAGATACCACCTTACCCCAGCCAGAATGGCCATTATTAAAAAGTCAGAAAACAATCGATGTTGGCATGGGTGTGATAAAAAGGGAACACTTATACACTACTGGTGAGAATGTAAATTAGTACAACCTCTATGGAGAACAGTATAGAAATTTCTCAAAGAAGTAAAAGTAGATCTGCCATTTGATTTAGCAATCCCACTACTGGGTGTCTACCCAAAGGAAAGTCAGTCACTATATAAAAAGACACCTGTGTGCATATGTTTATCATAGCACAATCACAATTGCAAAGATATGGAATCAACATAAGTGCCCATCAATGGATAAAGAAAGAAAATGTGGTTATCTATCTATATACCTATCTACTCTGCCTATCATCTGTATACAATTGAATACTACTCATCCATAAAAAAGAATGAAATAATGTCTTTTGTAGCAACTTGGATGAAACTGGAGGCCATTATTCTAAGTGAAGTAACTCAGGAATCAAAAACCAAATACCACATATACTCACTTATAAGTGGGAGCTAAGTTATGGGTGTCCAAAGGTATGGAGTGATATAATGGGCATTGGAGACTCAGAAAGAGGGAGGTTGCGAGGGGGTTGTGGGGTGAATAATTACCTATCGGGTACAATGTACACTATTTGGATGCTGGGTGCACTAAAATCCCAGACTTAACCACTATACAAGTTATCCATGTAACCAAAACCCACTTGTACCCCTAACGCTATTAAAATACAATTTTTTTAAATTCTATTTTATGATCAGCATCCTAGGACCATTCTTGGTGCCAGCTGTCTTAGATCAAGTTTCAGGAAATAGACTCTGAGACAAATAGTTGCTTGCAGGATGTTTATTGGAGAAATTATTGAAACAACACCTGTTAGAAAGTAAGGGAAGCAGGATCGGGCAGAGGGAGAAGCTGAACTCCAATGTGCTTGCAATAGAGACATCAGCCAATCCCATAAAAAATGCTGGTGCTGGGACGGCACTTCTGAGTTATCCCAAACTGAGCCAAGGGGGCCATGTTTTTGTACCTCTGCACTAGATGTGGACTGGCCCTGGGGAGGGAGTGTGACATTGGGCAAGACAGCTTCCTTTGGCTAAATCAGGGTTTCTCCACAAAATACTATTGACATTTTGGACCAGACAGTTCTTTCTTGGAGGAAGGAGGCTGTCCTGTGCATTATAGGACATATATCAGCATCTCAGCCTCCACCTACTACATTTCAGTAGCATTCCCCCTTGATAATCAAAATATCTCCAGATATCGCCCCGTGTGTGTGTGTGTGTGTGTGTGTGTGTGTGTGTGTGTGTTTCCTTGCCAAGTGAGGACACATAAAGAAGTGTCCCTCTGCAAGTTAGGAAGAGGGCCCTCACCAGAATCAGCCACCACCTTGATCTTGGACTTCGCAGTCTTCAGAATTGTGAGGCATACATTTCTGTTGTTTAAGCCACCCAGGCTGTGGTATTTTTGTTGTAGCAGCCCAAATTGACTAAGGCAGACCTTCATCATTTTTCACCTTGATAATTGAAATAGCTGACACTCTCTACAGCTTCAGGAGACCACTCCCCATACATCTTCCTTATGTTCTCAGAGTATCTTTCATAAATGCAGGCATGAGCATGTCACTGCTGAACTAAACACCTCTCACCTGAAGTAACATTTTCCAAAGTGGGGTCTGCATCTAGTATGCTTTTCAAAAATGCTGATTCCAAGGCCTAACTCATCAGGCTCAAAGTCTCTGGGTGTATGGCACTTAAAAATTACAGTTAGACAACCTAAATTCCTTTTTATTCTAAGTGCAAACTCCTTTTCATGGCACAGGGTGCCCTTCAGAAACTGAAATCTCAGCCTATCTTCTTGACTTCATCTCCACCATTGACTCTCCTGTTTGTACTAAAAGCTGCGCCCAGCTGAACTACTTGTGTTTTGTTGAAACATGCCACGCATGTCCCAATATCTGTACCTCTTCACACATTTCTGCCTTCTTTTCCTCTAACTGCTAAAATTCCTGTGTGTTTTAAAACTCAGCTTCTCCTTGAAGCCTTCCATGATTATGTTCTTCACCAGTGTCTTCCTTTCCTTGGGGCTTCCATAGCACTCACCCTGTTATTCTGCATGTTATTCTGTTCCGGCCCTCACCCCTGGGCTATTCCCCTGTAGATAGCTGCCTCTCTCCTGGAATGGCGGCCTTCTGAGAGCACAGCCTGGGTCTTTATTCTAGCACGTTAGTCACTCAATAAACACTGACTGAGGGAATGAATGAGCATTGTGATACTCACTCTGGGTCAGTACTGCCTAATCGAAGTATAATGTGAAACACTTATGTAATTTTAGATTTTCTGGCAGCCACAATAAAAAGAGAAAGAGAAACAAGTGAAATTAATTCTAATCATGTTTTTATTTAACCCAATCTATCCAAAATATTATCATTACAACACGCAACTCATACAAAAAAGTATTGATATATTTTACATTATCTTTTCCTACTAAGTCTTTAGAATTCTAGTATGCTTTCATACTGAACACATTTCAAACCAGACTGGCCATAATTCACATGCTCAGTAGCCACATGTGGCTAGCGAGTACCATACTGGAATCACTAAACAGCATGATTCTATACTAGAGAGAATGCTATTGAGATATATGTGAGAGCTTTTGCCTATAAAGTAAGCAGTAGTCTAGTCCAGGGTTCATACTTGGTGGTTACATGGCACTTGAGTGGTTTTTACCAAGACCATGTTAACCTTGGTCTCCTTTGTGTGCTGCATGTAGATGCGAGAGCAGGTCTGACTGAGAGAGTCCTGCGTGTGAGCTATGCACGGCCTACAGAAAGTCAGCAGGACTGTCAGCAGCTAACAAACCTACTTCTCAACCAGGCAGTTGGAGCTGAAATGCACAAACAAACTACCTCTTTAGGGAACATTAAAGGCATTAAATGAGAATGCGACATTCTTTGGCACGCAAAGCCGCACCCTTCAAAGCCATCATCACTGAGGTTCTACTTAGCGAAAGAAAAAGCCACAGAAATGTAAATACAGATCATTTGTAGATGCCTTGGTAGAGGTGTATCCATGCCCTCTAGGGACATCATTCCATCTAAGGGAGGAGATAAAGAACATTTCTTAAGCAGGAAACTTAGAACCATTTCAAGATGTGAACTGTTTGTCTTGCTCAGGCCTGTCTGCTGGCTCCATCTAACTCAGACAGCAGTGAGTGTTTGCTGGGCCCAACCTCTACTCTCTTGGAGTCAGAACTAAAAAAAGAAAGTGATTCTCCAACTCCCAGCCCCACACTCGGTGACCTCAACTGAGAAGCCTGGTGCCAACTGGCACCAAGCATAGGGTGGAACTGAGAGATGACTTGGCATTCTCAGCCTGGCACCCTCTTGGTGGGCAGGAACCCAAAGCAGCCTTTCCTTCTGCTTCTGCTCCCTTAGAGCAAGAGGCCTCAGTTTCAGTCAAAACAGTCAGATACACAAATTAGCATCAGAACCAAAATGGTTTCCTGGGAAACTAATGACAAAAATTCCAGTTTTAAAACATTTTCTTTGCATCCTAGAGAGAGAAGCCATGTTTTTCACAAGGACAAAAGTCCTGTGCCAAAGAACTCCATCTCATATAAAGAAGTGTCATTGACCAAAGACTCTGGAATAGATGAAAAGTGCTATTTGAGGCTTTCAGCACATGCTTTATGTATTTTTCTATACCTTGTTCCCATATAATCCTGACCCATTCACTCATGCCTGTTTTTACAGAAGTGACACATTTCCTCATTAATTTCTTTTCCCAGCTGTCCTTTGTCCTATAAGAAGTTGAGCTTTTTAGCATGAAGCAGCTGGAGAACAAGTCAGAGATTTTTAAAAATTATTGGTAGAGAAGACTTAGAATATCATACCTCTACCCATCAAAACCTATCCCTTGGAAATTATCTAAGAAAATAATTCGCATTCCAATGATAATAATATACATTTGTAGAGTGGTTCATAGTTTACAAAATGCCTTCACATATATTTCCTCAATTCAACTTCTCAATAGTTTGAGTAGAAATACAAGGTCTAATCTTTATGTTCTGTCTCCTAGGAGCATTCATTCAACTGACAAACACATACTGAGAGCCTTCTCTGTGCCTGGCCTTGAGAAATGCACTGGGGAACAGAGCCATCTGACATCCTCCCTTCTGGGATGAGCTGAGTCTTGGGAAAATAGAAAGCAATTAAAATTCATTAAAATTCAGAGGTATATACAACATGCTGCAGGAACAAATAAGAAGGGCCCTCAATGCAGCATTTTAATATTGAGTAATCTCTTAATCTGAAGAAATTAAACTCCTTAAGGATGGAATTTCTGGTATCCTAAAAAACCAATAAGGGAGGTATTGGCAGGGAAGCCTTCCCAAGGCCCTCTAAATCACACAACACTGGCAGTGTCTTACCTGAGGGTATAACAATGGTATGTGTATAATATGTGCATCAGGCACACCCCCTTTTATTGTGCTTCACTTTATTGCATGTCACAGATATTGTGGTTTTTACAAATTGAAGGTTGTGGCAACCTTGCATCCAGAAAGTCTACTGGTGCCATTTTTCTAGTAGCATGTGCTCACTTCCAGTCTCTGTGTCCACTTTGGTAATTCTGTTAATATGTCAAACTTTTTCATTATTACATCTGTTATGGTGGTCTATGATCAGTGATCTTTGATGTTACTATTGTAGTTGTTTTGGGGCACCATGAACTGTGCCCATATAAAATGGCATTCTGACTGCCCCATCGACCAGCCTTTCCACATCTCTCTCCTTCTCCTCAGGCATCCCTATTCCCTGGGACACAATATTGAAATTAGGCTGACTAATAACCCCTACAATGGCCTCTTAGTATTCAAGTATTCTCACTTTAAATCAGAAGTTAGGAATTATTAAGCTTAATGAGGAAAACATGTTGAAAGCTGAGACAGGCCAAAAGCTAGTCCTCTTGTACCAAACAGCCAAGTTGTGAATGCAAAGGAAAAGTTCTTGAAGGAAATTAAAAGTGTTACTCCAGTGAACACATGAATTATAAGAAAGTGAAACAGCCTTATTGCTGATATGGAGAATGTTTCAGTGGTCTGGATAGAAGATCATACCAGCCACAATATTCATTTAAACCAAATCTTAATCAACAGCAAGGCCCTAATTCTCTTTAATTCTATGAAGGTGGAGAGATGTTAGGAAGCTGCAGAAGAAAGTTGGAAGCTAGCGGAGTTTAGTTCAGGAAGTTTAAAGAAAGAAGCCATCTCTATAACATTAAAGTACAAGGTGAAGCAGCAAGAGCTGATGGAGAAGCTATAGGAAGTTATCCAGAAGATCTAGCTAGGATCACTGAGGGAGATGGCCACACTAAACAACAGATTTTCCATGTAGACAAAACAGCCTTATATCGGAATAAGATGCCATCTAGAATTTTTATCACTAGAGAGAAGTCAGTGCCTGGCTTCCAAGCTTCAAAGGACAGGCTGACACTCTTATGAGGGGCTAATGCAGCTGGTGACTTTAAGTTAAAGCCAATGTTTCATCATTATGGAAATTGTAGCACTCTTAAGAATTATGCTAAATCTACTCTGCCTACGCTCTATAAATGGAATAACAAAGCCTGGGTGATAGCACGTCTATTTACAGTATGGTTTACTGAATATTTTAAGCCTACTCTTGAGACCTATTGCTCAGAAAAAAAAAGATTACCTTCAAAATATTACTGCTCTTTGACATGGTACTTTGTCATTCAAGAGCTCTGGTGGAAATGTACAAGAAGATGAATGCTGTTTTCATGCCTGCTAACACAACATTTATTCTGCAGCCCATGGATTGAGCAGTAATTTTGACCTCAAGTCTTATTATTTAAGATAGGGATATTACTGCCATAGATAATGATTCCTCTGATGGATCTGGGCAAAGTCAATTGAAAACCTTCTGGATAGGATCCACCATTCTAGATGCCGTTAACATTCAAGATTCATGGGAGGAGGTCAAAATATCAACATTGACAGTTTTGAAGAAGTTGATTACAACTCTCATGGATGATTTTTTTTGGGTTCAATATTTCAGTGGAGGAAGTCACTGCAAATGTCATGGAAATTGCAAAAGATCTATAATTAGAAGTGGAGCCTGAAGTTATACAATCCCATGACAAAACTTGAACAAATGAGTGGTTGCTTCTTATGGATGAGCAAAGAAAGTGGTTTCTTGGGATGGAATCTATTCCTGGTGAAGATGCTGTGAACCTTACTGAAATTACCACAAAGGATTTAGAATATTCTATAAACTTAATTGATAAAGCAATGGCAGGGTTTTAGAGGAGTGACTCCAATTTTGAAAGAAGTTCTACCGTGGGGGAAAATGCTATCAAACAGTATCACATGCTATAGAGAAATCTTTGTGAAAGGAAGAGCCAATCAATGCAGCAAACTTCATTGTTGTCTTATTTTAAGGAATTGCCACAACCACCCCAACCTTTAGCAACCACAACCCTGATCAGTCAGCAGCCATCAACATCAAGGCAAGATCCTCCATCAGCAAAAAGATTACAACTTGCTGAAGACTCAGATGATCATCAGCATTTTTTAACAGTAAAGTATTTTTAAAGTATGTACTTTTTTTAGACCTAATGCTACTGCATGCTTAATAGACTATAGTATAGTATAAACATACCTTTAGGTTCACTGGGAAATGAAAGCATTTATGTAACTCACTTTATTGCAATATTAGCTTTATTGTGGTGGTCTGGAAATGAACTGCAATATCTCCAAGTTATGTGTGTATTGTATATTAGAGTTACAGTATGAAACTAAAGTATGTTCAGTAGTCATAACTTTAGGTATGACTCTAAACTAATAGGCTTGATTTTTTTCATAATATATTAGGATCTATACGCTCTCCAAATGAGCATTGGACTCCAGTGTAGAGCAAGTACTTTTTTTTTTCTTTTTTTCTTTTTTTTTTTTCTGAGACGGAGTCTCTGTCGCCCAGGATGTAGTGCAGTGGCACGGTCTCGAGTTACTGCAACTCCACCTCCCAGGTTCAAGTGATTCTCCCTCAGCCTCCTGACTAGCTGGGATTACAGGCACTTGCCACCACACCCAGCTAATTTTTGTATTTTTAATAGAGACGGGGTTTCACCATGTAGGTCAGGCTGGTCTCGAACTCCTGACCTCATGATCTGCCCGCCTCAACCTCCCAAAGTGGTGGGATTTTAGGCGTGAGTCACTGCGCCCGGCCCAGCAACTACTTCTGAATGTAGATATTGCTTAAAACATTTTATAATACCCTTTTATTGGCATTCTCTTCAGAGTCTGGAGGTAGTCTTTCTCCTATTCTTTTTCTCTTGTTTTTTTAATTGCAAGAGTAATGCACATACATACTCATGTAAACAATTTATTATTACACAGATATATAATTTTAAAAATGAAAGTCTCACAATCATCTCCCCAAAAACAACAGTGTGTAATATGTCCTTTCATGGTTTAAACATGTCTGTGTTTACACATATTTTTTAGGGCAGAGTGGGACCACATTGCACAACTTCCTTAAGAGATATATAGCTCAATGCTTATCTTAAATATAGATATCTTTCTGTGTTGGTAAAGACATAATATTCTCTTAGATGACTATATATAGTCAGTCAATATATAAATGCACTATAATTTATTTAAGCAGTCTTCTACTGATGAACACTAGGTTTTTATAATTTTTCACTCTTATGAACAAAACTGTGATTAAAATCCTTATACATATTGATTTGGACATTAGTTTGAGTATTTCTAGAAAATAAATGTCTAGGACAAATTCCTAGCATATTCTTTATAGATCCTCAATGTAAAGCAAAGCTTTAAATTTAAGACTAGTAAGTCATTTAAAAGTATTTTTGGTCAAAACAAAACTTGACAGTAAGTGGGGTGACTAGGGACTAGGCATATTGAGCAGCTAAGTTGCCTATACCTATCATGCTGCTAGAAACTAGCATTATCTCATTACTCCTGGAAATTCTGACAATTGTGGCATTACTGTTCCCATTTTAGAAATGAAGAAATTGAGACAGTGAGAGGCTAAGCTTTTCCAAGGTTATGCAGTTAGCAAATGGCAGAGCAAAGATTGGACGTAGGTCTTTCCAATTCTTTTGACTATAGCACCTGCCTCTCAGTAGTATAAAACCATGTTCCTGGTTTCTTGGTTTAAATTCCAACTGTCTCTAAAGAAACTATCAAAAGTGTTTTAGTCAATTTCAGAAATGCTGAAATAAATGTAATCTTTCCAAATCTATATATAAAAAATACTTTGCATTTGAATACATAAATTTTGCTATGTTAATTATAAAATGTCTTATAGTTTAGTCACGTCATCTCCCTTTTCTTACTGAATAACAGTGCTGTACTATAAAAAAACAGTGCCCCCAAATACATACATTTCTTTATTCTAAAATGTTTCAGGTCTGGATTTATACAAATTCTATTGTTCAAAATGGATAGTAAAGAAGCAAACTCATTATGAAGTCAATTTGGCTGCCAGCTTCATTGTATTTAGAACTAACCCATCATCTGAGAGTCTGTTCCTTGCTGTTTAATTACCTCTTTGCTTTCAAGCCCCTTTTGAAAATTCACCAGTTCTATAGTATTTTTTAGTTTCTCTCTAGGAACAGGCTCCTCTGGAAACAAAGTACAGATACCGTGAGAAAAGGTGGGTTAAAAAAAGTAGGGAAACTAGGAGGCTGAAAGAACAATATTCAAATGCTACTCTTCAGAATGGTTGTGTTTCAGTTGCTTCATCTTGGATTGTCAACTCACAAGGCAATACTAATGTTTTCCAATGAAATGGTTTAATTGTATATGATGTGCTCATTAGCACTGAGTTCCCCCTTTGTCCTAGTGTCTTTCCTGGTACCTCATGTGCTCCCATAGCACGCCCTGTATGCACTCATCACATCATTGACCACAGTTTCCCATCCTCCTTCCTCATTAGACTGAGAGTTTCTGGATAACATAAACCACGTTTCTGTTATCATTACGTTCTTAGTTCATAGCACAGCATCCAGCTCCTGATAGTTGCTCATTTCATTTGTTGCTCAAAAAAATGTCAGAAAATTTAAGGGCAGCTTTCCCCAGATGTGGTCTCTGTTTCTGCCTTTCACCAATATTAACACAAAGCTCAACACACTTTACATTCCCCCAAAAACAATTCATTCACACCATGACTATTAGTGAGCAATGTGGATTTTGCTGAAGATCTTGTAGGCATATTAGGGGAGGGTGAGCCATGTAAAACTCTAGATCTGACATATTTGTTTCCTGCAGTTGTTTTTCCCCATTGTGCTTCCACCTCACAGGCTTCCTCCTTCTACTAGACAGAACAACTCACTGCTTTCCCAAACTCTTCCTCCAAACTCACATACCCATGCCTAGCAGAGCCCATGGTAGACACATGCCTTTAGAAGTGGTGGATGGCTGTGTTACAAAAACAAAAAAACAAAAAAACATTTTTTCCCTATTACATCAGCATTTGCAGCTATTAATACTTAGATTTTCCAAACAGTTTTATGGTATCTAATGTAAGCAAAATCATGCCTCTTCCAGGCACACCATTTTGAAAGTCACCCTCCACCTCTCCAATCCAAAGAGGAAGGAGTCATTTCTAGCTAATGACCTTCCTCTTATGACAAGTGAGGTCCTTCCTGCTGGGCCCTCAGCTTGTGTTCACCTCTGCTACCCCCAGTGCTTCGTGGTTCCTGGTCTCCAGGGAAGAAGGCCTTCTCACTGGGGCCCTGAGCTCACCATGCCAGCAGAGGCAGAAACCTCTCACCTTACGACTGGTGTTTCCCTCTCTGTGACCTCTAGGAAATCTTCTTTTCTCTTATTAATTATAATTAATTAAATTTATATATAATTATATTAAATTATGTCATTTAATATATATTTAATTATATTAAATCCATTGTTATATTAAGTATAATTATTAGATTTAATAATATATTATGCTGCAAATTTACTAATCTGCTGCTATGTGCCAGACACTGTGTGCAGCACTTATTTATGTTACCTCATTTAGTCGCTAGGGCAACCCTGTAGATGGTTACTACTACTCCTGTTTCACAGATAACAAAACGTAGGTTAAGGAAAATTAAGTCATTTGCCTAAAGGTGTTTCACTCATGTGGAATTTGAACACAGTGTGTCTGCAACACCTGTGTGTGCTTTGATCCCTCACTGCCTGAATAGACCCAGGATTACATCCCTGCTACAAGCACAATCTGAGTGTTCCCTTCCCCTTTTCTATCTTTTGTGTATCTAAGAACCTTGCCCTGCCCTGCAGGCCACCTCTGCCATGGTCAGCTGTCTTGCTGTTAACTCGGGCTGTGTCTCCCCTCAGGATGTGGTTTCCTCCCTAGCCATTGTCATAGCCAGCTCTGAACTCTTCTTTATCCTTTTTTTTTTTTTTTTTTTAATGCTATGGCCTTGGCTGATTTGCTTTCATCCTTTTTTTCTTCCTCTTCAATATTTCTACCAGTTACTGGATCCCTCCTGAGAAAGATTTCTCGCTCTATTCACATCCAGCCGAGCCCCAAGAAACTTCCCAATTTTCCTTTGTTATAGCATCTTGGAAAGTTCCCTGCAGTTCTTAAAGGTCTCCCAGTATTTAGTCTTATGGTTCCTAAAGAAGAATAATTTTTATCAAAAGTTTAGTAACTAAGAAAAGATCTGCAAGTCGTATTATTAAGTGAGAAAAACAAAATGCAGAAAAGTAACTATGATGTGCTACCAACCACATACAAAGGATAGAAAAACTACCTGTTTTGGGTAGTTGTGGAGTGAGATGATTTTTACTGAGCAGATGAAGAATTGGAGCAGAAGGAGATTTCACTGTATATCTTTTACAGTTGACGTTTGGACCATATGAATATATTACCAATGTCAAAACTAGATGAGTGATTTCTTTTCCTAAAGAAATGCAAGTAATTTTCCTGATGGGCAGGAGAGGGCATTTTGCTACAGTAGTTTATGAAAAATAATAAATGAAAAAATAGTTTTGATAAGGAAGACAAACAACTTGTTCCAGAAGAATGTTCAGGTCAGTGAATATTTCACGTAAATCTGGTAATCCAAAACACCCAGCATTATGGGTAATTTGGACAATGGTCTAAAAGCAATCAGTTGGTAATGGAAAGTACCAATCCAACTATATGTGTCCTGTTTCTTGCACTGTACACGCCTAGGGGTTAGGAGGTTTCCTCTCTCACACAGCTAGAACTCAGTAAATGTTTAGTGTTAACAGGGAAAAATTGCCCCACAGAATCCCTTCAATACTAAGAGGAACAAGAAGCCATTTCAGTGTGATTTGTTGAGTCCTAAAAAAACAACAGAAACTTTTTTTTTTTTTTTTTTTTTTTTTCAGAATGAGTCTCGCTCTGCTGCCCAGGCTGGAGTGCAGTGGTGCAATCTTGGCTCACGGCAAGCTCCACCTCCTGGGTTCACTCCATTCTCCTGCCTCAGCCTCCGGAGCAGCTGGGACTACAGGCGCCCGCTACCACACTCAGCTAAATTTTTTGTATTTTTAGTAGAGACAGAGTTTCACCTTGTTAGCCAGGATGGTCTCAATCTCCTGACCTCGTGATCCGCCCGCCTCGGCCTCCCAGAGTGCTGGGATTACAGCTGTGAGCCACTGCGCCCGGCCACAACAGAAAATTTTAAGCACAGTCAAGTTGACGTCAATTCAATCTCTGCTTAATAGCATAAAATACAGGGAAGCTGAGTAAGCAACTGTGCCCTCGCTCACATTCCTAACCCTAGTCTTGGAGAATGCATAATAACCATGCACTAGCCCAATCCCACATAGTAACCAATGCATGTGATTGAGGAAGCCAGGGTCAGTTCTCAAGAGCCTGAAGACTACTAGCATTCACTTCTTACCTCCAAATACTCTTGACCACATCTGAGGATAGAATAAATCCCCAAAGCCATCCCCCAAAATGACTGGACTTCTTAGTTTTCCTTGGTTTGGAGATGACCAAGGGTTGACCTCCACCCTGAGATTGGAATAGATTGGACATGGCTCCAGGCCTTTTCTGCATTTAGATCCATCTTCCTGGGAGCAGGATAAATGGCAGCCTATTCCTGTCACATTATTCTTCTAGCAGATGGGATTTCATCCAGATAGTATTTTTTTTCCTAAGCAAGGGAAAAAATTCCTACTTTTGTTCATACCATAGGTGCAATTTACACTAAATTGGAAAAGAACAGGGATGCCTCAGCCTTTTATTTTTAAAAAGTTTTAATTGAAAAATAACAATTATCATATATATTTATTGCATGCAACTGGTTGTTTTGAAGTGTGTATACATTGTGAAATGGCTAAATTGAGCTAAATTAACATATGCATTACCTCAAATACTTATCATTTGTGTGGTGAGAGCACTTAAAATCTACTTTCAGCGATGTTCAAGAATACAATACATTGTCAGTAGCTATAGTCATCACGTTGTATAATAGATCTCTTGAACTTATTATTCCTAACTGAAATTTGTATGCTTTGACTAACATCAAAGAGAGATGTTGGGCAGATAGTGTTAAGCCTTATTTTAGACACCTTGAAATGACTGAAAACAATAGAAGCTATGTGGGTAGAAAGCTAACTTTCAACTTTCCCTAATCCTGAGAATTGTAGACAAAGTCTAATGAATTAATAGAGACCCAAGTCATTCCAGACTAGGAACACATGGGAAATTGCCAATGGATAGTTGGATCCTCTCATTACAGAAACCTAACTCTGAGATAGTCATTGAAATGTCTAATCACCAATCTGATTTTTTTTTAAATAAGAAGACTTTAAAACAGTTCTACAAAATCTATATGAGGTTGTGTGCACAGAGTTTATTGTAGGGATGCTGTCAGTAATAGTACCTATAAGGGAGTGAGGGAGGCAGGATGGGGCAGAAGGAGAAGTTGAACTATAATTCAGTCACAACAGAGACTTTATCTGATCCCTTGGGAGGCTCTGAACCTGATATGACCCTTCAGAGCTTTCCAAAATTGAGATAAGGGGGTGTGCCTTGTACCACTCGATAGACCAATCATTGGATATGAGCTGCCAAAGAAAGTGGGTATAACCTTGTGTAAGGCAGCTCCCTTAGGCTGAAGGCAAATCCTGGGGAGGGACTCAGCTGCAGTTCTTCCCCAGGCAGTGCTCCCGGTAGCTGTGAGAGTAAGCTGGTAGCTTGATCCTCATTGGGGACCTTGGCAGTGTGCAACAGCATCCACTCCATAATCAAATGCCAAAATGAATACCAAACAAAGGCATTCTGGTTTTGAAAGTAGCATGCAGTTAGCCCAGAAAATACAGTAGTATGAAATTCGATGGAGTAGTTCCCTGGCTAAATATGTTAGTAAAATTCTTGAAGCCATAATTATCTGTGTATGATTACCTTCTGACTGAAATTGCCAGTTCAGTAAGCAAAAGGAGGCTGATTAAAAGTCATGTCTATTCTAAAACCCTCAAAGGCGGGGCCTCTCAGGAACAATTCAAAAGGATCATTCTCACTACAGATTCTTCCATATTTTTTTCCAGTTCTGTGTATTCCATGGGCAGGTGGTCACTACCTGCAGCTGATAATTACAAGCTTTCTGTATGCTGCATTATGAAAGGAACCTGTTTATGCTGCCAGGGCTGACAGGGAAGCATGCAGCATATGTTTGACCCTGTAAAAGGGGGGAGACTCTTCTTTTGTTATGGGCCATAGAGTTTTCAAGGCTGCTATCCATGGCAAATGTTCACCATGTTCAAGGGCTAAGGGCCAAGCACACGACCTTTTAAGAGCTTGTCAGCAGAAATTCCTTTCACTGAAAGCCTTGGCTGTCCCACACAATCAGCTAGTAATCAGAGCTACATTGTGCACCCTCTTTGTAAGAAGGCAAAAGTTCTATAGCTTCCACCACTGAAAATATTTAATATTGCACCTTTAATTTTCAATAATAATAACAACAATAATAGATAAAATGCTACCATGGACTTCATAGATACAAATGGAGGTGTTGATCTTCAGTGAAACATTTCCTCTTCTAGAATGGAGCAAAGCAACCATTTTGACAATAGCTAAGAAAATTACATAGACGTTCTGGGCAGGAACGTTGTGAAAATGCCACTGAGGCTGGGCGTGGTGGCTCACGCCTGTAATCCCAGGACTTTGGGAGGCCAAGGCAGGTGGATCACCAGGTCAGGAGTTCAAGACCAGCCTGGCCAACATGGTGAAACCCCGTCTCTACTAAAAACTATAAAATTAGCCGGGCGTGATGGCAGGTGCCTGTAATCCCAGTTACTTGGGAGGCTGAGGCAGGAGAATCGCTTGAACCTAGGTGGCAAAGGTTGCAGTGAGCCAAGATCGCACCACTGCACTCCAGCCTGGGTGACAGAGTGAGACTCCATCTCGAAAAAAAAAAAAAAAGAAAGTGTCATTGAAGCTATAAGAACAATTAAAGAACTGGTCCCAACCTGGGTAGTTATGTCTTCCCCTCTCACTCCACCACTGCACTCCAGCCTGGGTGACAGAGTGAGACTCCATCTCGAAAAAAAAAAAAAAAAAAAAGAAAGTGTCATTGAAGCTATAAGAACAATTAAAGAACTGGTCCCAACCTGGGTAGTTATGTCTTCCCCTCCCACTCCACTCCCAATTCACATCCACTGATAGCCATCAAACTGACGTTTATTTATTATGTGTACTGAACAATATTGCATTATTGTGTTATTATGATTAGAGTGTTTTATTCAGTATTAATAATCAGATCATTTATAATAAGATGCTAAATTAGGTCACAAATTGATAATAGGGAAAAGTAGAGTGAGTGTTTTCTACTGTGACAGCAATAATTTTGTTCTTTCTGATTTCTAAAATGATTACTTGAAAATATGAGAATGTGCTGAAAAATCACATTATTTATTCAATCATATGAATATTGGGGGGTTTAAGACAAAATTGTGAAATTTTAGACTTATAGGTTACCCTTGAGATTACTAGGTACAAGTCCATCTTTTAAAAATGAGGAAAGAGGGTTTGAATTGCCCAGGTTTCTATTCTCAGGACAATGATCCAGGCCTCTAGTTCCCTGGCAGTCTTATTTCCACGGGAAGAAACATTTGCTCTGGTTATTAATATTGTATGTACATGTTAGTGGAACATTTTCATTGGCTAAAAAAAAAAACAGAAAAGGAAGGCTTAGATGCCTTTTGACTAGACCAGGTTCAGAGAAAACTCAGACAGTGTGAATTTCAGATTGATTTGACCCTTAGGCACACCTGATTACTACCTTGACTCAGTGAAGCTCATTGACATGTGACTCCCAGCATACAGGCCAGAAATTTCAGCATTTCTGGCTTTCACATCCCAGTGCCCAGAATCCTTGCGGACCTTAGAGGGTGATTATGGCAGCAGCACCTAGTGAGACTTCTAAAACTTCTAATAGGTACCAATGTATGTGGAGATTCCTGTGTCTCATTTTATTTAGATTCCCACATAATGGTAAGCATTCATTCCACCATGGCTTGGATGGTTTCTTCTACCAAGAATCTATCATTCTGCTATCATTGTGTTCTGCTGAGGCTAACCCTACAGATCTGGCTCTGTATACTCCAATGTCTAGAATGGTGGAAAAGACAGCCAGAAAGGTCAGGATGCAAGTAACTTGTATGAAAAAGCTCCCATCTTTAGTGTATAGCCTTGAAAGTGGTACAGAGACCTTCAAAATAAAGCACTAACCTTGAGAGCATATTTCTTACTTTTTATTTCACAGGACTTTTCCGTAACTGCTAAGTTCCCAGTTCTCTGTATGTCTTGAAAAGTCCAGTTTGGGAGGTGAAGGTGAGCATGAGATTCAGGCATTTCCTCTAGAATGATATGCAATTCATCCTAACTAATCCACCTGCTCTGCAATACTGGATGATAGTACATGCTGATTTGTAAGCAATTTGCATATTTCTTTAAATGAGGGAGTTGCAGATTTGTGTTACCAGAGACAGATGACAAAATCTAACAGCTGATGGATGGTGCAGTACCAGTTGAATTTGTGTTAAGTCTGCAAATACTGACTTAATGTGCCTGTATCTTCTGACAGGCTGCAGTTTCTCACAAATATCCCTTTCTTTCCCTTTCCTTCCTGCTTGTTCCAGGGTCTCTATCATGAAAAAGAGGGATCCCTGACAGAGCCTTCTGACTTGCAAGTGTGAACTACAGCCCAGAACATTTCAGCCATCCTGAGCTTCACATGAAGTTGGGATCTTGGCATTAGGGTTTGTAGTAGGTTCCTAGTACTGCTGTAATAAAGTACCACAAATGCAGTGGCTTAAACAACAGAAATCACTTGTCTCACCATTCTGGAAGCTAGAAGTCCAAAATCAAAGTGTTGGCAGGATTGATCCCTTCTGAGAGCTGTGAGGGAGAAACTCTTTCATGCCCCTCTCCTAGCTTCTGGTGATTTCCTGGTAATCTTTGTCATTCTTGGCCTGTAGATACATCACCCCAATCTCTGCCTTCATCTTCACATGGCATTCTCCCTGTATGTGTGTCTGTTTCTGGGTCCAAATTCCACCTTTTTGTAATGATACAGCCAATTGGATTAGGCCCAATGCTAATCACCTCATTTGAACTTGATTATATGCAAAGCCCTTATTTCCAAATAAGATCACATTCACAGATTGGGAGCTAGGACATTAACATCTTTTGGGGGGACATAATTCAGCCCATAACAGGGCTTCTAATGTAGGTCCAAGGAAACCTGTAATTATCAGCCATTGGATTGTGTAGATTCAGCCTTAATCTCCCACTTTCATGCCCTGCCAGGTGTTTCTTCTTTCTCTACCCCCACCCAGCCATCCCATGGATGGGCTTTCCCAAATGAAGCCTCCTATTGGCTTAGGCTAGAGGGGAGCTTCCCTCTGTCTACTGAGGCCTTGGGCCTGTTGCCCATATTCTAGGCCTGGATTCTGGCTCTGCTAATACCCAGCCTCTGCCTATGCTGCTGACGTGTAGTGGTGTGGATGAATTGTCTCTTCTCCTGGCCTTTTTCATCTAAACTTATAGATGACATAATATAACCTAGGAGCTAAGAACATGGACTCTGAAGCCAGCATCTCGGCTCTGAAACTTCCTAGATGTGTGACCTTGGACAAGTTCCTTAAGCTGTTTGTCCTGCTTCCTTATCTGTAAACCCATCACCTCAAAGATTTGTTAGGATGATAAAATGAAATAATTCATATAAAGCAGTTTGAACAGTGCCTGACACATAATAAGCACTCTCTAAAGTTAGCTGATATTATTATTAGCTTTTCCCTGACCCAATGAATTAACACTAGTCCTTGGAAGGACAGGCCAGGTAAGGAGAACAGGGGAAGTGGGATGAGCAATGAAGAAGATGAGCCCCGTTAGGGCAGGCATCTAGAGTGAGGATTAGAGGAGGCCAGGCCTTAGCAGTGAAGGAGTAGAGAGGGCAGCAGGGCTCAGGATCCTTCTGCACAGTGGACTCCCAGAGGTAGTTAAGCAAAGAATCTGGGGAAACTCCCCAGGACTTCTTGTCTGCTTCCTTACTGCAAACAGAATGACCTCAAATTGTGGGCAAGCTTGGGCCTCAGCAGACACACGTGGAGGTAGATCAGTAGCACAGGTATGTGTGTGTATGTGCATGTGCGTGTGTGTGTGTGCAGAAGTCACCAGGATGTTCTTTGTCCCATTACCCTATTACCTCAAGTACTGTCCTGTATTCTGTACTTACAGTTTAAGAAGACTTTGGGGACCATCCTCACCCTTTGAGCTTTCCCTTCACTCTCCTCAGTGTCAAACCCATGTCTTTCCTTCAGAACAGCTACCACCCTGGGCTGCTGCTGCCAACAGAGGTGCACTGCTTGCAAAATCCTCTGTTTGGTTGTCACTGTTTGGTTATTACTCTACTGCAAAGGAACAACTCAACAAATGACTTTAAACTATTCACTTTTCAAATATTAGGTTAAGGCTATCTGAAGTTTGATCAAGATATGGTGGATAAGAAATCACTGCCCCTCCTAAAAATTTAGGTTACGACTCAAGTGCTCTTTTAAGAGGCATTTCAGAATGTTGACTGTATGCATTATCTCAGTGCCCAGCAACCGTGGCATAGCTACATTTAGGCAGTCTTTTGTGATGAGACATGTATATAAGTGAAGCATTTGGTCTTTCAAAAATGCTCCAAACTTCCCCTGACCCTGCTGTTCCCTTAAGGTACCACCCTACCTCTCACTTTCCGTCTACTCCCCAAATTGTCAACTAGTCCATACTTGCTGTTTCCACTGCCTCCCTAACCACAATCACACTGGACTATATAATTCTTAACTCTGCATTCTCATCCCCCAGGTATAATTGCTCTTTGGAGGTGGTCTTTACCTGTCTCATCACCAAATCCAGTGGCTACACAATAATCTTTAGGCTTCCTAACTACTCTGTTCCTTTAAAAATCCTCTCATCCCAAGGCTTCAGTGACCCCAAGGCTTCAGTGACCCCAAGCCACCCCAGGCTTCCTGTCTTCCTGGCAGTTCCTTCCCTGGATCCTTCTTTAGCTATTCTTCCTTCTTCCTCCTAAATGCAGGTACATCCAAAGGGTGTGTCCTCATGACCTTCTTCCCTCTCCTTCTACCATCTTCCTAACTATGTTTAGTTTACTGGATATGGAAGCTCTCCCCCAACAGTGAGCTATTGGAAACACAGACTATCCAAAGTCAGATATGTTTAGCCATGAGACTTTGCAGAATCTCCTACCAGGAAACGAGAGTAGGCACTGGCCCAAACACCAAAGCAGAAGAATCCAGCATAACAGTGCAGCCCTGGGGCACCATGCTGGATGCAGCTTAGGACAGGGGATGGGCACCAAGGGGTTTGACCATAGAATAAAGGAGAGGTCCAAAGCCGTAGGTCAGTCAGTGTGCTTGAAGAAGCATTATTTCTAATGCTTGTACATAGTAGGTTTAACAGTGTTCCCCAATCTCTTCACAGGGGTTAGGTATCCCTCTTGTACTTCTCCATCATGTCCTTTATCACACTGGATGCAGGGTATTGTATATTTGCTAGTCTATATCCACCTCTAGACTATAAGATCTGGAGGGCAAAGACCATATATATCTTTATCACCGTATTTCCAACACCTAGACTAATGCTTGTCCCAGAGAGGGTGCTAAATAAATTTTTATTGGAAGAGTGAATGAACAGGATTTTTAAATTTGGAAATTAAGTTAGTGGGAAGCATGGGAAAGAAAACATATGTAAACCAAGATGAAATTTGTACAAAGTGCATACCATACAGTCATGTATTATTGCTAGAGGTAGACTGCAAATTTCACTCTAAACTGCCTACCAGTCAAAGCAAAGAAAAAAAAATCAGTGATAAAATTTATAGTGACTGTAGGATTTTAAAAGATAAGTTGCTCCCGATGAAGTGTAAGTATCACTGTGTTGACTTAAGAGAAATGTCTCCATGGATCCCAACAGAGTGTTACTGGCTGGGCCACAGACAATGTCTAACAGGCCATCTTTATAATAGTGAATTCTATAGGGCTGTTTTTTACAATGTCCTTCAATATAGGCTAATCACATACTACAAATTTAAAGTAATTCTATGAGAAGGGAGACCAGAGTAAAGTAACCAAGTGCCCAGAATGCTGATGACCTAGCATAAAATTTAGAATATCCAGTAGTACGAGGTGTGTCCTGAAGCACATGAGTATTTTCTTTCTTTCTTCCTCTTTTTTTTTTTTATGAGACAGAGTCTTGCTCTGTCACCCAGGCTGGAGTGCAGTGGTGTGATCCCAGCTCACTGCAACCTCTACCTCCCAGGTTCAAGCGATTCTCCTGCCTCAGCCTCCTGAGTAGCTGGGATTATAGGCGTGTGCCACCATGCCCAGCTAATTTTTGTATTTTTAGTAGATACAGGGTTTCACCATGTTGGCCAGGCTGGTTTTGAACTCCTGACCTCAAGTGATCCACCCACCTCAGTTTCCCAAAGTGTTGGGATTACAGGCATGAGCCACCACGCCTGGCTACACATGTATATTTCTCATAATATTATCTAAGAGCTCTGTGATCAAGTACATTTGAGAAATACTGCCTACTCAAATTCTTATTTCTTGGATATTTACATGTACATTGACATACACTAATGTTTAAAGAAGTTCTTCAGTAAAGAAACTTTGTCTAATCTAGAGTGTTACCAAAACAATTTGATCATTTTATCATATACTACCTGTTTACATTTCAGGGAAATTTAAGGATGACACTTTGGGAAACAATCTTCTAGGGAAATTATGGACTGCATGTCTACAGGCAACCCTGTGTGAATGTTGTTTCTCACAATTAAGTTCTTGATAAGAATCTGTCCACAGAGTGTTCCAAGTGACAATCACTTGGCAAGAACTTGGAGTGCAGATAATCTGTGCTGTTATTTACAAATAACAGTTTGACAGTTAACTGAATGGCAGGTCATCTGAGGAAATTAACAGCTTCTATTCAATCTTTGTGTCCATATCCTTCCCAGGGAGATCCCAAGGGAAGCTGAGTATTATGTTAGAAAACAGTCATGACTCCATTCTACTTAAACCCAGTAAAACCATCTGAATCAACTTAGTAGAGAACAATCTGAAAATCTAAGCTAGTCTGAACTGCAGTAATAGCATTCTTCCCAAGAACTTCCAAGTGCTTCTAGAAGTGGTGAAGAACACACTACTGTTGTTATTGAAAATAACATCTATTGATTATCTTAATCAATGACTATTCTCCATGGGTTTATGTGCCAATAATTTAGGCTGCTCAGTTTTCTCCATTGAAACTTAAGATTTAAATCACTAGATCATAAAAAAACCATACAATGCATTGCCCCTTCTATCTGGGCAGGCATGCTTCAGATGAACAACAGTGGGAAAATATAATTTCTATGGCAAGAGGAAGGAGAAACAAAGTTTATGTCCTGGTATATTCCTTCCTTCTAACTAGCTGACAACTTCCCTCTGTAATAGGTCAGAAAACCGTCAGCTAAATGAGGAACCAGAGAAACACAGTCCAGATAATCTGAGCTCTTAAGAAAGAGGAGAAAGATCTAATCTTCATTTTTTTTCTATTACCAATCTCCTTGAAACTTCTAAAATATTTTCTGCTCTAACTTACTAGGCTTCATAGAATCAAGAAAGGTAAAGCATCATATAAAAGTATCAGATAAGTTAGCTAAAAACATTTTACATTTCACTCTAGAGTTCATTATATTTTTGGCAGGAAATTTATCTTCCTAATTATGTTTTACTTATGTTGACATTAAGTTTAATTGGTATTTCCTGTGAACACACTCAGTAGAAAGCAGGAAAGCCTGGCTAAGATTAAAAATTGGCCTTGGATAATCCAAAATCCACACTCACTCTGAGCGATCACATCTGTGCCCACAATTTCACCTATTCCTGATGCTCTGAGGACTTCCACATCAACATCGCTCCTCCATTGTCTCTCCTGAGCTATGCAGTGCATTTGAACAGACTCTCAGGCAACTTCACCTATATGTTGACATATGCAATGTGAATTCATCATCTTTCTGGCCATTTCTTACCTCTGTTCCTCTCTCCCTATAATCCCAGCCTCAATGATTAGATCTGCCTTCCACCCAACTGCCCAAGTCAAAATCTAGAAGCTGCTCTAGACTCCTTATTCCTACTCACCACCTTTCTTGGGACTAAAATCCAAATCCCTTAGCATGACATTGAAAGGCCTTCACAATCTTCATGTTTCCCAATGAAAGCCCTATTGGCAATTAGGGCGCAACAGTTCTTCTGTTTGCAGGCTTGTCCTTCTCATTTCTAGTCCCACCCACTAAATGCCAGCAACAATCCCCATTCACCATCATAAGTGGAAAACAAATAAACAAATTTAAAAAGATCATCTACATTTCCTAATGCTACTTGTAAGGTAATACAGCCTCTAGCTGAGAATCACAAGTCTAACTTTGCCTACCTTTCCAGCCCCATCTCCCCCTACATTCCTCCATAGACTTGACATTCCAGCCACACTGAATGATTTGCACTTCCTGTGTGTGCTGTGCTGTCTCAAGCCAAGCCTCTGTGCCTTTGCACATGCCGTTTTCTCTGTCCCTTCTGTCAGCCCTCTCCTTACTGAGTGTGACGGCTAATTTTATGTGTCAACTGGACTGAGCTAAGGGATGCCCAGAGAGTGGTAAATCATTCTTTCTGGGTGTATCTGGAAGATGTTAGTCTCTCTGAGTAGAGAGCAGGCTGAGTAAAGAAGATCCACCCTCACCAATGGGGGTGGGCATAATCCAATCTGTTGAGAGCCCAGACAGAACAAAAAGGTGAAGGAGGGGCACATTCTGTCTCTCTTCTTGAGTTGAGACATACATCTTTTTCTGCTAATGGATGTCAGAGCTCCTCATTCTCAGGCCTTTGGACTCTGAAACTTACATCAGCAGCACCCTCTCCTCTCAATTCTCAGAACTTTGGTCTTGGACTGGGAGTTATATCATCAGCTCCCCTGGTTAAGATTTGGTCTGAAAGACACCACCAACTTTCCTGGTTCTCTAGCTGGCAGATGGCAGATGGTGGGACCTCTTGGCCTTCATAATCATGTGAGCCAATTCCCATAATAAACTGGTTTTGTTTCTCTGGAGAATCCTGACTAATACACTGGGCCAACGAAAAATCTATACCTCAAGATTCAGTTCAAACTCTTTTGTCCTGGGAAGTCCCCTGCCCACCCTCCACCACAGTAACCTCTTGTCCCTGTAAACTGTAGCTCCACTTTGGACTGACCTAGGCAGACCAAGCTTCAAAATACCTGCCATAGGCCGGGTGCGCTGGCACACACCTGTAATCCCAGCACTTTGGGAGGCCAAGACATGGGAGATCACTTGAGGTCAGGAGTTCGAGACCAGCCTGGCCAACATGGTGAAATCCCATCTCTACTAAAATTACAAAAACTAGCCAGGTGTGGTGGTGCATGCCTGTAATCCCAGCTACTCAGGAGGTTGAGGCAGGAGAGTCACTTGAACCCAGGAGGCAGAGGCTGCAGTGAACCAAGATCATGCCACTGCCCTCCACGCTCCAGCCTGGGCAACAGAGAGAGACTCTGTCTCAAAAAACAAAAACAAACAACGAAATACCTGCCATGCCCACATCCCACTTTGGGAGAAACTGCCCTCACTGTAGCCCTGCCCTATGTAGATCAGCCCTTTGTAAATACTGTGATAGCCTCACAGCTGATGGACCAGGAGTTGTACCTGAAGCAAGGGTGGCCCACCCATAGGCCAGTGCCCTATGAAGTGCCCTAGCTTGAAAAGATGAACTGGGCCCATCAGATTTTCTTTCTCTTTCTCTCTCTCGGGAATTTCTAGGAAGAAACACAAATAGTATGAGTCAATTGTCAGGAGCTGCTATTACTGAGGAAAGGGCCCCAACTCAAGAGTCTATGTGGGCCATGAGAGTATGGGGAGACCAGCAGTGTCACACAGGTAGCATGCGGACTGGATTCCTCTCCTCTGTTGCCTCACCAGTCCATGGAAACACTGCCAGTAGTATTGGGGGACCCCAAGGAGAAGGACAGAAAGAAAGCCAGGCACCAGGAGAACTGAGCAGCAGAGAGTGAGCCCTCTGCATAGAGAAAACACTTGTCCCCAATCTGCCTCCAAAGAGCCTCCCAAACCCAAATGTGATAGGGCTTTATTGCACTGTACTGACCCACAGAGGAAAAAATAGGCTGAAGGGGAAAGCTGTTTCCTAGTTCTGCTCCCACCAGTTTCAAACCCCATGGCCTCAGGCAAGTGTTCTGAAGCACCTTTTCTGATCTGTAAAATGGAGATTGTAGTTTCTTCTCTGCCTTAAGTCCTGTTCAGTGATTAATTAACTGTATGACCTTGGGCAAGTCATTTGGCCTCTATGAGGCCAGTTCCTGCAATTTTAAAATAAAATCAGTAGATTTCACTTTACAAAGAGGTTGCAGTAATCAACATAGATAATGTATATAGAAAGTGTCTTGTAAACTGATCGTTACTGTATATAAGGTTATTATTACTATGACTTCTTTTTCCAAGCATTGCAAAAATCGTAGAAGACATTTTTGTTGGTATCTATAGTTATAAATATGTATATATAGTATATTGATTAGATTATTCTAAAATCTTATTCAAGTCTACTAATTTGATGTTACTTAAATCTTAAACCAGTTACAGCTCTTCTAGAATTTGTCCAGCAGTTCTCCTGGATTTTACAGGAAAACCCCACACACCAAAAAACAAACAAAAAAAAACAAAAAAACCCACCTTAAACCTACTTTTACACTATTCTGTAACTGAAGAATTATCATTTCAGTTGAGCAATCTCAAACAAGGGATTGCTATACTTCTAAAAACCATTTATCACTTGCTTTTTATTGCAACACTTTGAAAACCTTCTGCAGGCTATAAATTAGTGCTCTTTTTTCTGCTTACTACCTACTGTTTCAGTTTTACTATTAATAATAGCTTTAAACCCTTAAAATAGCTGTGGAACAATTTTTCTGAAACTGCTTATTACATGATTTCCATTAGCAACAATTGATTTTTTTTCCAATCCTTTTGGACACCTAGAACTCTGAGAGTCCCTGAAGCCTGGGGACTCTTGAGCTTTCTCTTTCCCACCATCCAATCAATTATCAAGACCTGTTTTGCCTGTTTTAAAAATATCCCTAAATGAGTGCACCACTATTCACCTAGGCCCAGACCACCAGTACCTCTCACTTGAATGCTTACAGTGGTTCCCTGACTGGTCTCCCTACACTCAGTCTCTCATGAAGGTGCTCTGGATATGTCAGTGAGTAACACAGGCAAGGTATGAATTTCCAATGCCATGGAGCTTTTTTATACTAGTGAGAGAAAGACAAAAAGGGGTTCCCCAAGAAAACCCCAACTTGCAAATTGTCATGAGTGCTATATAGGAAATAAGCAAAGTGCTGAAATAGAGAATATGGGGAGAGGGCATTGTAATTATGAGGTGGTCAGGGAGGGCCTCTCTAAGGAGGTGACTTTCAAGGTAAGACTGCAAGAGCAAGAATGAGTCAACCAAGAGAGGAGTATGAGCACTGCAGGCAGACGCAAAGGACCCAGGAGGAAAGGCATGTCTTTGTGACTCTAAGAGAAGCCCTGTGTAGCCAACTTATTCTCTATGGCAATGAGCAGGGTCAGCACCCCTCCACCCTTCAGCACAGACAACAAATGTGTGGAAATGAGAGGAAGCATCCCATCTACATGGATGAATGCCTTTTCTACAATATAAATGTGATTAGGCACTTAAAGAGCTTCATGATTTCCCATAATCCTTAAATGTTCAAGCAATTTAATTTGTAAGAACCTTCACGCTCAGGTCCCTACCACTTTCCCACCCTTATCCATACCCATTTTCCTTGTCACCCTGCACTGATCACCTTTTGGTTCCTTGAATGCACCATGCTTTTCTGTGTTCAGTACTTGCCTCCTCTGTCCCACTGACTGAACATGATTCCCCTTCCCTTCACTGATGGATCCTTTCTTACTTCACCTTTGAAGCCTCAGCTTAAACATCACTTCTTCCGACAATGCCTCTCACAGCACTGTGTGTCTAATTCCAGTCATGCATTAACTTTAGATCTCTGGGAAGGAAGTTCATGGTGTCTTATTACGACTGCCCCTGGTGTGGTTCGCATTATATTCATCAACTATTCTTTGGCCCAAACTGCTCTATGACCAACTCATTGTTTTTAAAACCCTTTTAGAATGCATGATGAAGTACACTGTAGCTTGCCATTACAATATTCAGAATGGCATCTCTATCTAGGCTCTAATCCAAGGTGGTTACAGACATACCAGAAGAACACCCTCTTTAAGTCAACCCAGGGACAGAGTATGGCTAGAATAGCTTAAAATTAGCAACGTCTGTTCAGAGGTTGCAGGCAGTGGAAGGAAGAGAAATTTATCCAGGTTTCTAAGATCACATTCCCAAGCTAAATACAGAAAAAAAATATTCTAACATTCACTTCTGATGGCAACCTTTTACAGATAGAATCCAAAGGCTAGGGAGGTGGATTTTAGCTGCTTAAAGTCTTGCTATAGTGAAGTAATGCTTCATATTAATTTTCTTTCACTAAAATTTATATGCAACTAGCCCTCTTCTAAAGCAACTGGTTATCAGAAATATGACAGCATGTTTATATGCCCACATCTTTTTTTTTTTAACCCACTTGGCTTTAGATTGCTTGAGACTAAACCTTGAAATAATATAGAATGTTTATAGTTCTGAGCAGAAATGCCATAAAGTAATGCAAATTAATCATTTATTAGTCAATCAGTACCTCATGCCTAACAGTTTGCTATATAGCATATGCAGAAAAGACAAATGAGAGTATGATGATATGTAGCTGCCTTAGGGGACTCACATGATCTGAGAAGCCTGCCTCCCATCACTCTGGTAGGAAGCCACTTCCATGTTAAATTCCAGAGGTGGCTTATAAAAGATTTTCCTACTGAAATGTCAAACTTCCTACACTGGTTCTAAAGCCATCAATCGTATGAACCCTACTTATTTTATGTATATATGACTTGTTATAAGAAAGAAGAAGATATATGTGTATGTGTGCAACAAGATCAAAAGTAAAATAAATAAGAAGAGGCAGAGATAATGGAGGGTAGAAAACTACAATGAAGCTGGGAATGAGGCATCATATTATTTCCATGTCTTAAGTTTCACAACTATTTGGCAGATTAATTTATATATATATATATATATATATTTATATATATATGTAATGAGATTTGTTATTATTTCCACATTATATATACCCTTAAAAAAAGCAGAAACAAAACCAAAAAACCCTCTTTTTAGAATTTATCACTGGATGCAGTGGCTCACACCTGTAATCCCAGCAATTTGGGAGGCCAAGGTGGGTGGATCATTTGAGGTCCAGAGTTTGAGACCAGCTTGGCCACCATGGTGAAACCCTGTCTCTACCAAAAATACAAAAATTACCCAGGTGTGGTGGCGCCCACCTGTAATCCCAGCTACGCAGGAGGCTGAGGCAGGAGAATCACTTGAACCTGGGAGGAAGAGGTTTCAATGAGCCAAGATCACACCACTGCACTCCAGCCTGGGGCACAGAACAAGACTCTATCTCAAAACAAACAAACAAACCAATAGAATTTATCCACATCTTTTTCTCAAATTTTGTTTGTAAGCACCTAAAAGTAGACTCTCACTGATTCTACTATCAGCATTTGGTTCATCTAGAGCAACCTTTTTTTCCAAATTCCTCTCTATATAATAATATGGTCAGTGAATGTAATATTGGTAATATTTTGATAGTACTCTCAATCACCTGAATGACATTCCCTGTTAAGGGGAAAATAAATGAGACACTGTTAGTCAGATAGTTCGTTTCTCCAAACAAAACCCCAAAGCTCCCAATTTGTGACAGGTGGACATCAACCCTAGGGAGAACAGACAACTTCAATGCTGCCTACAGTGTGGCATCATGTGCTCTATTTCCCAACAAGCAGAAGCTCAAAATTGTGGCCAGGTTTAAAGGCACCATAATGACAATTTCCTAGAAAGCCACTAGGTGGAAGGGATTTTTATTATGTCTTCTTTCACAAAGACCTTTGTTCTCTCAACCAAAGCGATCCCCTCCAGCGTACAAGAGTTTTAAATTAAGTATTTCTTCTGATTTTTTGGTCACTGCATTTTCCAAATACATTTATTTTTTTCTATTACAAAGAGACTTGTTCTTTGTAAGGAGCATGTCAGCACTTTCTCACCAGTTACCCTGAAAGAGGAAACATACTTGAAATGAGAAGCAGTAATTATTGAGATCTGTCTGCTTCTCACATGCTAGGGCTGTGTTCAGGATGCTCTGTTGGTTAAAGAACAGCAGTCAGGTTGCATGTGACCCAGGAAGGTGGAGTCCTCATGGCCATGGAAACAGGTGATTCTAGAAGCAATGGAAAATTGCTTGAGGGTATTAAGAGTGTGTTTGATAACACTGCCTGATGTGAATAGTATTAAATAGCAATATGAGGACAAAACAAAAGGAAATGATGAAAGCATTTACACTTTAACTATAGGAAAGAAGAAAAGAAAGATGTTGTTCCTCCTTCGTATCCCAACCCCTGTCAATATCAAGACCCATGAGGCAAGCATGCAGGCCTTAGGGTAACAGTCTTGGATTGCAGGATTTGGTTCATTGAGCTAAGGAGGCCTTCAGAGATTCCATGGTTCATTTGGGGGTGTTTAATCCTAGCCTAGGGAAGTCTTGTCTAACTGGCTCAAAATACAGGCATTTTCCCCAAGTTCTGCTCTACATCCTTACTTTCATATTAATTGTGCTCAGCCTACACATTTGAAAAAGGTGATGAGCAAGTCCGCTCCAAGATGGCCAAATAGGAACAGCTCCAGTTTGCAGCTCCCAGCATGATCAACACAGAAGACAGGTGATTTCTGCATTTCCAACTGAGATACCTAGTTCTTCTCATTGGTTCTGGTTGGACAGTGGGTGCAGCCCATGGAGGGTGAGCCAAAGCAGGGAGGGCCATCGCCTCACCTGGCAAGCACAAGGGGTCAGGGGATTTCCCTTCCCTAGCCAAGGGAAGCTGTGACAGACTGTACCTGGAAAAACGGGACACTTCTGCCCAAATACTCTGCTTTTCCCACAGTCTTAGCAGCCGGCAGACGGCAGGTCCTACACCCACAGAGCCTTGCTCACTGCTAGTGCAGCAGTTTGAGATCAACCTGTGAGGCTACAGCCTGGTGAGGGGAGGGGTGTCCGCCATTGCTGAGGCTTGAGTAGGTAAACAAAGTGGCCAGGAAGCTCAAACTGGGCAGAGCATACCGCAGCTCAGCAAGGCCTACTGCATCTATAGACTCCACCTCTGTGGGCAAGGCATAGCTGAACAAAAGGCAGCAGAAACTTCTGCAGACTTAAACCTCCCTGTCTGACAACTCTGAAGAGAGCAGTGGTTCTCCCAGCACAGCATTTCAGCTCTGAGAACAGACAGACTGCCTCTTCAAGTGGGTCCCTGACCCCAGTGTAGCCTAACTGGGAGACACCTCCCAGTAGGGGCCAACAGACACCTCATACAGGCAGGTGCCCCTCTGGGACAAAGCTTTCAGAAGAAGGATCAGGCAGCAATATTTGCTGTTCTGCAATATTTACTGTTCTGCAGCCTTCACTGGTGATACCCAGGCAAACAGGATCTGGAGTGGACCTCCATGAAACTCCAACAGACCTGCAGCTGAGGGCCCTGACTGTTAAAAGGAAAACTAACAAACAGAAAGGAATAGCATCAACATCAACAAAAAGGACATCCACACCAAAACCCCATCTGTAGGTCACCAACATCAAAGTTAGATAAAACCACAAAGATGGGGAGAAACCAGATCAGAAAAGCTGAAAATTCTAAAAACCAGAGCACCTCTTCTCCTCCAAAGGATTGCAGCTCCTCACTAGCAATGAAACAAAGCTGGATGGAGAATGACTTTGACGAGTTGACAGGAGCAGGTTTTAGAAGGTTGGTAATTACAGACTTCTCAGAGCTAAAGGAGGATGTTCAAACCCATCACAAGGAAGCTAAAAACCTTGAAAAAAGATTAGAAAAATGGGTAACTAGAATAAACAGTGAAGAGAAGACCTTAAATTACCTGATGGAGCTGAAAACCATGGCACAAGAACTATGTGATGCATGCACAAGCTTCAGTAGCCAATTTGATCAAGTGGAAGAAAGGGTATCAGTGATTGAAGATCAAATTAACAAAATGAAGCTAGTAGAGAAGTTCAGAGAAAAAAGAGTAAAAAGAAACGAACAAAGCCTCCAAGAAATACAGAACTATGTGAAAAGACCAAATCTACATTTGATTGGTGTACCTGAAAGTGATGGGGAGAATCAAACCAAGCTGGAAAACACTCTGCAGGATATTATCCAGGAGAACTTCCCCAACCTAGCAAGGCAGGCCAACATTCAAATTCAGGAAATACAGAGAACACCACAAAGATGCTCCTCAAGAAGAGCAACTCCAAGACACATAATTATCAGGTTCACCAAGGTTGAAATGAAGGAAAAAATGTTAAGGGCAGCCAGAGAGAAAGGTCGGGTTACCCACAAAGGGAAGCCCATAAGACTAACAGCTGATCTCTCGGCAGAAACTCTACAAACCAGAAGAGAGTGGGGGCCAATATTCAACATTCTTAAAGAAAGAATTTTCAACCCAGAATTTCATGTCCAGCCAAACTAAGCTTCAGAAGTGAAGGAGAAATAAAATCCATTACAGACAAGCAAATGCTGAGAGATTTTATCACCACCAGGCCTGCCTTACAAGAGCTCCTGAAGGAAGCACTAAACATGGAAAGGAACAACTGGTACCAGCCACTGCAAAAACATGCCAAATTGTAAAGACTATTGAGGCTAGGAAGAAACCGCATCAACTAACAAGCAAAATAACCAGCTAACATCATAATGACAGGATCAAATTCACATATAACAATATTAACCTTAAATGTAAATGAGCTAAATGCTCCAATTAGAAGACACAGACTGGCAAATTGGATAAAGAGTCAAGACCCATCAGTGTGCTGTATTCAGGAAACCCATCTCACATGCAAATACACACATAAGCTCAAAATAAAGGGATGGACGAAGATCTACCAAGCAAATGGAAAGCAAAAAACAGCAGGCGTTGGGTGGAGCCAAGATGGCTGAATAGGAACAGCTCCAGTCTACAGCTCCCAGCATGAGTGACGCAGAAGATGAATGATTTCTGCATTTCCAACTGAGGTACCAGGTGCATCTCACTGGGGATTGTCGGACAGTGGGTGCAGCGCACTGAGCATGAGCTGAAGCAGGGCAAGGCATCTCCTCACCCGGGAAGTGCAAGGGGTCGGGGAATTCCCTTTCCTAGCCAAGGAAAGGGGTGACGGACAGCACCTGGAAAATCGGGTCACTCCCACCCTAATACTGCGCTTTTCCGATGGTCTTAGCAAACGGCACACCAGGAGATTATATCCCGTGCCTGGCTCAGAGGGTCCTACGCCCACGGAGCCTCGCTTATTGCTAGCACAGCAGTCTGAGATCGAACTGCAAGGCAGCAGCGAGGCTGGGGGAGGGGCGCCAGCCATTGCCGAGGCTTGAGTAGGTAAACAAAGCGGCCAGGAAGCTCGAACTCGGTGGAGCCCACCTCAGCTCAAGGAAGCCTGCCCGTCTCTGTAGACTTCACCTCTGGGGGCAGGGCACAGCCAAACAAAAGGCAGCAGAATCCTCTGCAGACTTAAATGTCCCTATCTGACAGCTTTGAAGAGAGTAGTGGTTCTCCCAGCATGCAGCTGGAGATCTGAGAATGGACAGACTGCCTCCTTAAGTGGGTCCCTGACCCCCGAGTAGCCTAACTGGGAGGTACCACCAAGTAGGGGCAGACTGACACCTCACACGGCCGGGTACTCCTCTGAGACAAAAGTTCCAGAGGAACAATCAGGCAGCAACCTTTTCTGTTCACCAATATCCACTGTTCTGCAGCCTCTGCTGCTGATACCCAGGCAAATAGGGTCTGGAGTGGACCTCCAACAAACTCCAACAGACCTGCGGCTGAGGGTCCTGACTGTTAGAAGGAAAACTAACAAACAGAAAGGACATCTGCACCAGAACTCCATCTGTACATCACCATCATCAAAGACCAAAGGTAGATAAAACCAAAAAGATGGGGAAAAAACAATTAGAAAAACTGAAAAATATAAAAATCAGAGCACCTCTCCTCCTCCAAAGGAACGCAGCTCCTCACCAGCAATGGAACAAAGCTCGACGGAGAATGACTTTGACAAGTTGAGAGAAGAAGGCTTCAGACGATCAAACTACTCTGAGCTAAAGGAGGAAGTGCGAACCCATGGCAAAGAAGATAAAAACCTTGAAAAAAGATTAGATGAATGGCGAACTACAACAACCAATGCAGAGAAGTCCTTAAAGGACCTGATGGAGCTGAAAACCATGGCACAAGAACTATGTGACGAATGCACAAGCCTTAGTAGCTGATTCGATCAACTGGAAGAAAGGGTATCAGTGATGGAAGATCAGATGAATGAAATGAAGCAAGAAGAGAAGTTTAGAGAAAAAAGAATAAAAAGAAATGAACAAAGCCTCCAAGAAATATGGGACTATGTGAAAAGACCAAATCTACGTCTGACTGGTGTACCTGAAAGTAATGGGGAGAATGGAACCATGTTGCAAAACACTCTGCAGGATATTATCCAGCAGAACTTCCCCAATCTAGCAAGGCAGGCCAACATTCAAATTCAGGAAATACAGAGAACGCCACAAAGATACTCCTCGAGAAGAGCAACTCCAAGACACATAATTGTCAGATTCACCAAAGTTGAAATGAAGGAAAAAATGTTAAGGGCAGCCAGAGAGAAAGGTCGGGTTACCCACAAAGGGAAGCCCATAAGACTAACAGCTGATCTCTCGGCAGAAACTCTACAAACCAGAAGAGAGTGGGGGCCAATATTCAACATTCTTAAAGAAAGAATTTTCAACCCAGAATTTCATATCCAGCCAAACTAAGCTTCAGAAGTGAAGGAGAAATAAAATCCATTACAGACAAGCAAATGCTGAGAGATTTTATCACCACCAGGCCTGCCTTACAAGAGCTCCTGAAGGAAGCACTAAACATGGAAAGGAACAACTGGTACCAGCCACTGCAAAAACATGCCAAATTGTAAAGACTATTGAGGCTAGGAAGAAACCGCATCAACTAACAAGCAAAATAACCAGCTAACGTCATAATGACAGGATCAAATTCACATATAACAATATTAACCTTAAATGTAAATGAGCTAAATGCTCCAATTAGAAGACACAGACTGGCAAATTGGATAAAGAGTCAAGACCCATCAGTGTGCTGTATTCAGGAAACCCATCTCACATGCAAATACACACATAGGCTCAAAATAAAGGGATGGAGGAAGACCTACCAAGCAAATGGAAAACAAAAAAAGGTAGGGGTTGCAATCCTAGTCTCTGATAAAACAGACTTTAAACCAACAAAGATCAAAAGAGACAAAGAAGGCCATTACATAATGGTAAAGGGATCAATTCAACAAGAAGAGCTAACTATCCTAAATATATATGCACCCAATACAGGAGCACCCAGATTCATAAATCAAGTCCTTAGAGACCTACAAAGAGACTTAGACTCCCACACAATAATAATGGGAGACTTTAACACCTCACTGTCAACATTAGACAGATCAATGAGACAGAAAGTTAACAAGGTTATCCAGGACTTGAACCCAGCTCTGCACCAAGCAGACCTAATAGACATCTACAGAACTCTCCACCCCAAATCGATAGAATATACATTCTTTTCAGCACACCACACCTATTCCAAAATTGACCACATATTTGGAAGTAAAGCACTCCTCAGCAAATGTAAAAGAACAGAAATTATAACAAACTGTCTCTCAGACCACAGTGCAATCAAACTAGAACTCAGGATTAAGAAACTCACTCAAAACTGATCAACTACATGGAAACTGAACAACCTGCTCCTGAATGAATACTGGTTACACAACAAAATAAAGGCAAAAATAAAGATGTTCTTTGAAACCAATGAGAACAAAGACATAACATACCAGAATCTCTGGGACACATTCAAAGCAGTGTGTAGAGGGAAATTTATAGCACTAAATGCCCACAAGAGAAAGCAGGAAAGATCTAAAATTGACACCCTAACATCACAATTAAAAGAACTAGAGAAGCAAGAGCAAACACATTCAAAAGCTAGCAGAAGGCAAGAAATAACTAAGATCAGAGAAGAACTGAAGGAAATAAAGACTCAAAAAACCCTTCAAATAATCAATGAATCCAGGAGCTGGTTTTTTGAAAAGATCAACAAAATTGATAGACCACTAGCAAGACTAATAAAGAAGAAAAGAGAGAAGAATCAAATAGATGCAATAAAAAATGATAAAGGGGATATCACCACCGATCCCACAAAAATACAAACTACCATCAGAGAATACTATAAACACTTCTATGCAAATAAACTAGAAAATCTAGAAGAAATGGATAAATTCCTGGACACATACACCCTCCCAAGACTAAACCAGGAAGAAGTTGAATCTCTGAATAGACCAATAACAGGCTCTGAAATTGAGGCAATAATTAATAGCTTACCAACCAAACAAAGTCCAGGACCAGACGGATTCACAGCCGAATTCTACTGGAGGTACAAGGTGGAGCTGGTACCATTCCTTCTGAAACTATTCCAATCAATAGAAAAAGAGGGAATCCTCCCTAACTCATTTTATGAGGCCAACATCATCCTGATATCAAAGCCTGGCAGAGACACAACAAAAAAGAGAATTTTAGACCAATATCCCTGATGAACATCAATGCAAAAATCCTCATAAAATACTGGCAAACCGAATCCAGCAGCACATCAAAAAGCTTTTCCACCATGATCAAGTTGGCTTCATCCCTGGAATGCAAGGCTGGTTCCACATACACAAATCAATAAACGTAATCCATCACATAAACAGAACCAATGGCAAAAACCACATGATTATCTCAATAGATGCAGAAAAGGCCTTTGACAAAATTCAATAGCCCTTCATGCTAAAAACTCTCAGTAAACTAGGTATTGATGGGACATATCTCAAAATAATAAGAGCTATTTATGACAAACCCACAGCCAATATTATACTGAATGTGCAAAAACTGGAAGCATTCCCTTTGAAAACTGGCACAAGACAAGGATGCCCTCTCTCACCGCTCCTATTCAACATAGTGTTGGAAGTTCTGGCCAGAGAAATCAGGCAAGAGAAAGAAATAAAGGGTATTCAGTTAGGAAAAGAGGAAGTCAAATTGTCCCTGTTTGCAGATGACATGATTGTACATTTGGAAAACTCCATTGTCTCAGCCCAAAATCTCCTTAAGCTGATAAGCAACTTCAGCAAAGTCTCAGGATACAAAATCAATGTGCAAAAATCACAGGCATTCCTATATACCAATAACAGACAAACAGAGCCAAATCATCAGTGAACTCCCATTCACAATTGCTACAAAAGGAATAAAACACCTAGGAATCTAACTTACAACAGATGTAAAGGACCTCTTCCAGGAGAACTACAAACCACTGCTCAACAAAATAAAAGAGGACACAAACAAATGGAAGAACATTCCAGGCTCATGGATAGGAAGAATCAATATCTTGAAAATGGCCATACTGCCCAAGGTAATTTATAGATTCAATGCCATCCTCATCAAGCTACAAATGACTTTCTTCACAGAACTGGAAAAAACTACTTTAAAGTTCGTATGGAACCAAAAAAGAGCCCACATTGCCAAGACAATCCTAAGCAAAAAGAACAAAGCTGGAGGCATCATGCTACCTGACTTCAAACTATACTACAAGGCTACAGTAATCAAAACAGCATGGTACTGGTACCAAAACAGATATATAGACCAATGGAATAGTACAGAGGCCTCAGAAATAACACCACACATCTACAACCATCTGATCTTTGACAATCCTGACAAAAAGAAGAAATGCAGAAAGGATTCCCTATTTAATAAATGATGCTGGGAAAACTGGCTAGCCATATGTAGAAAGCTGAAACTGGATCCCTTCCTTACATCTTATACAAAAATTAATTCAAAATGGATTAAAGACTTAAATTTAGACCTAAAACCATAAAAACACTAGAAGAAAACCTAGGCAACACCATTCAGCACATAGGCATGGGCAAGGACTTCATGAATAAAACACCAAAAGCAATGGCAACAAAAGCCAAAATAGACAAATGGGATCTAATTAAACTAAAGAGCTTCTGCACGGCAAAAGAAACTACCATGAGAGTGAACAGACAACTTACAGAATGGGAGAAAAATTTTGCAATCTTCCCATCTGACAAAGGGCTAATATCCAGAATCTACAAAGAACTTAAACAAATTTTCAAGAAAAAAACAAACAACCACATCAAAAAGTGGGCAAAGTGTATGAACAGACACTTCTCAAAAGAAGACATTTATGCAGCCAAAAGACACATGAAAAAATGCTCATCATCACTGATCATCAGAGAAATGCAAATCAAAACCACAATGAGATACCATCTCACGCCAGTTAGAATGGCAATCATTAAAAAGTCAGGAAACACCAGATGCTGGAGAGGATGTGGAGAAATAGGAACGCTTTTGCACGGTTGGTGGAAGTGTAAATTAGTTCAACCATTGTGGAAGACAGTGTGGTGATTCCTCAGGGATCTAGAACTAGAAATACCATTTGACCCAGCCATCCCATTACTGGGTATATACCCAAAGGATTATAAATCATGCTGCTATAAAGACACATGCACATGTATGTTTATTGTGGCACTATTCACAATAGCAAAGACTTGGAACCAACTCAAATATCCATCAATGATAGAATGGATTAAGAAAATGTGGCACATATACACTATGGAATACTATGCAGCCATAAAAAAGGATGAGTTCATGTCCTTTGCAGGGACATGGATGAAGCTGGAAACCATCATTCTCAGCAAACTATCACAAGGACAGAAAACCAAACACCTCATGTTTTCACTCGTGGGTGGGAATTGTACGATCAGAACACTTGGACACAGGGTGGGGAACATTACACACCAGGGCCTGTTGTGGGGTGGGGACTGGAGGAGGGACAACATTAGGAGAAATACCTAATGATGGGTGCAGCAAACCAACATGGCACATGTATACCTATGTAACAAACCTGCAAGTTGTGCACATGTACCCTAGAACTTAAAGTATAATTTAAAAAAAAGAAAAAGGGGATGAGTGGAAAAAGGATGCCAAGGTTGAGAATTGTTCAGATTAAAGATATTTTGCTACCTGAAAGCTACTGATGCTTTTCTTAAAAATCCACAGCCTCTCAGTTTACCTGACTGACTGAATGAGACATGACTGAGGATTAAAAATTCACTGGTGTGAACAGGGTACCCAAGCCAACCAAGACAAGTTTTGGGTTGGGACTTATCAGGACGTCTGATATGTGAAAAGCTATTGTAAAACCCTTGTTGAATCAGAGAAGCTTGAATCCTTTAGCTTCAGATTCAGAAATATGACAAGTCAAATGAGCTTGGACACAAAGTCTGAGGCCCACTTTATTGTATGCCCCTGGGTATAACAAAAAGCAATCCCCTTTTCTTTCTCCCTCCAGGTATGGGAAGTATATTTCACAAGTTACAGGAGGCTGTAAGGAAGCAGGGGAAGGGAGGGAGTGGATGGGAGTCTCCACTTGGAGGTGAGGTCCATGTAGGGGAACAGCTAGAGCTGTGCTACTGAAGGCTTTCTTACTGTCAGATCCACTGGCTGGTATGCCCTGTCTGACTCTCTCTGCCTCACCTCAGAGCAGGACTCACCTCACCTCAGGGTACAGGACTCCTACATTCTCACAGCCAGGAGCATCCAAAAGCTGATGGGGCCTCATCCCAGTTCTGGCTGCAGGACACTTCCCTCACAAGAGCATCGGCTATTTCAGTTTATTTTCATCTAACTATAAAGGGATATAGAAACAGCATAATAAAAAATGCTTGCGCTGTAGAATTTACAATCTAGCTAGTGATGTGGAATAGAGCACAGATGACAATCTATGGTCATGTAAAGTTAATGAGAACAGTACAGGCAGTCTAGTCCATACCTGCAAAGTACAATGAAGTCAATCAAGGAAGGTTTCTTGAAGGCATGAATTTTGGGTGCTGCTTTAGAGGGTGATTCTTATGGGAGCAGGGGATTCCTTGGGGGTCAAAATGGACATTGCCAAGGTCAAATGAGGGGAGTGAGGAGGCTCATCCTGCCATGGCACAGAGCAGCTGTTTCTGGGATGGTGGCAAAATGGGCTCTGGAAATACACTTCTAGCTTGGCTGGCCAAGTTCAAGACAGAAGTGGGAAAGACATCAAGTTCTAGGCAAGGTGGCTATCACCCAGTATGAACCCTGCATAATGCTGGCCTGGTTAGGGTAGGGGAGAAGTCTACATTGAGAAACAATAAAAGTATCAGTCACTGTGGAGGTTAGAAGGTTGGCCTGGCTAAATGAGTTTAGATTTCAAATGATTGACACTAGGAAGCCTATGGAAGTTCTTGAGAGAGAAGTGACATCATGCAAAGGGGTCTAAAGAAGCCAATTCTAATAACTGTGTCCAATGGGTTGAAGAGGAAAGAGACTATATGTGTATGAGGGTAGAAAGGGCACTAGCTCAGGGGGTGTCTTTGTAGCCCAGGAGCACAGTTGTCCATCTTACACTAAAGCAAGTGTTTGCTGATTTGGGACCAAACCAAGGATTAAGCTTTCTGGTGTATTATAGTAGGCATCAACTTTTCAAGTTAAAAAAAATTGATGCAATCTATTGGTCTCTTGCCTCAAGAAATAAGGTAGAAAAAAAAAACAACATTGAGATTGTGGCTGCTCAGGGTCATCCATTATGCCAAATAAAATGTTTTTATAGGGCCTGAAGTTTGCTAAACATGACTGCTAGTACTCTATCCCTGCTGAAATAGGATGTTTATCCAGAGGGGATAAATGACCTCACAAAAAGGTCAATTGCATTAATTAAGAGGGTTCTACTTTTGCTAGAGTTGGCCGTATTTTGGTAAAAAATAACACTATTTTAAAAATAAGCCCCAAGCAGTAAATTTACAGATCCAAGAAAGCAGCGACTATCTTCCATATATGCAATCAACCCATGTGTAGTCTTGTCACCACACTGTAGCATGCAGCTGATTGACACTCAGCAGGGCAAAAAAGCACAAGTGGAGCCAAAGATGTAATGATGAGGGCCTCCAGTGCCTGTTTTTGCTTAGACTAGTGATTCTCAGCCCTGGTAGGGCATCCTTATCTCCTGGGGAGCTTTTCAAAGATAAATGATGCTGGACCCTTGCCAAAATCTGAATCTCCAAGGATGGAGCCTAAATATATCTATGTGTATGTCATCTGCATACTGCTGGAGTTGTGAGCCACTGACTTAGATGGTGAAGCTGAAATGGTCTCCCACAAAATTGCATACACTTGAGTGCACACACACACACACACACACACACCTGGGATAGCCAATCAAGCTTGCCCATTTTTTCTTATAAACAGAAGTGTTTGTTCACAGATATTCTGGGAATATTGGGTTCTCAGAATCTTTACATTCTTCAACCATTTTAAGATCAGTCTCTAGGATTTTCTTAAACCTGAGTACTATTGCAACATAGGATTCCCAAACACCATGACCTTCTTACAGAGTTTTCCTGAGAGTAGATGAACCCTCCCTCACTGTCCTGTGGGATAACTGGAAGGACAACCCTTCATTTGCATTCTATCCTCCGCCCTGCAATATTCTCTGGAATCCACATTCCTTCCTGATCCCTCTTCCAAGAAATAAGAATCGGGGAAGGAAATAGTCTCTGAGGGAAGAATCTTTGTCCCAGGAACCAAGTTACAGAGGAGCCGCTGAATTCCCTGAGGTAATCTCCATTGAATCAAAACACAAAGAGGGAGGTTAATTCAATTAGCAAGTGATGCCTTCTCCTAGAATAAACTTCTTGGACTAATTTGGGGAGGGAGCCCCGAAGACTGGTGCCCACACTGCAAACAGAGAAAATATTGGAAATGCTTAGAGTCTGCCATCTACCCAGCCGTGGCTGTTCACCTTAATATTATTTCTTGAAAAATGGCCAATGTGTTAGACTCTCTAGGACACAGAGCTGTGGTCACAAGATAAAGTACACAGATAAGACATGGAGATATGGAAGGGATAAAAATACTCTTCAGGGAAATGGGGGTCTGCAGTACAAAGGTTGAGAGCTTTAAGGGAACATTTCACATTCTGGCTTTTAAGTACACTGAAAACACACTTCCTGAGAGAAATGCATCTTGAGAGTACACTCAGCGAGGAGGAAGAAATTCTTATAAGACAATTTTTGGGAGAAAAGGAAGGTTTTTTATTCAAGTCAACATGGTGTTTTGCATGTAATAGAACCAGAGAAATATTTGTTAAATTGAAAGTTATTTCAGTATAGATTGTGGTCATGTTTTCATCCTATAATTTGAAAAAGATCCTCAGAATATTAGAGATGAAAGGGATCTTGATATTGTCAAACATCTTATCCAGAGCCCCAGTACTTACTCGATTCAGGTGGGATGAGCATCTCACTGAGGGTCTGGGATCTTCCTGCTGGGTCTTCCTTCTGCAGTGGCCCCTGAGCAACCTTGAAGAAGCCCAAAGTCTTGGGTGATCATGGTTTGGAAGCCTTCAGTCTAGCACCTCAGTTTTTACAGATGACTAAACTAAATTCAAAATGTGTGAGAGTCAGAGCCAACTGCTCTTTTCACCATATCAAAATGAGGTTCTGCTAGAGGGACCCCTGTCCCTTTCTTTTCCACAGCTGTGGATATTTTGCCCTGGACTTGTGAAGCACAAATGCAGTGAAAAGAGTACGGGCTTGGGGATCAGTCAAACCTGGGTTTGAATGTTGGCTCTGCACTTATTTGCCCTGTATTCTGGGACAAATTATTTATTTATATTTTAGAGTATATATTTTTCTCTTTTTTAAAGCTTTTTTGAGGTACAGTTGATATACCAAAACTGCATGCATTTAATGCATACATCTTAATGAGTTTGGACAAATGCATACACCTGTGATACCATCACCACAACCAAAGTATTAAACATGTCCATCACTTTGAAAAATTTCCTTGTGTAACTTCTGTGTGTGTGTGTGTGTGTGTGTGTGTGTGTGGTTTTGTTTGCTTGTTTGGTAAGAACACTTAACATGAGATTTATCCTCTTAACATATTTTAAAGTGCACAATATTGTGTTGTTAACTATAGGTACTATATTATGTAACAGATCTCTAGAACTTATTCATCTTGCATAACAGAATCTTTATAATTTGGACAAATTATTTAATCTCACTGAGCCTTCACTTCGTTTATCAAGTGGGGATAAAATTCACATTTTAGGTCTTAGCAATGTATAAAAAGTGCCTGGTGTGTGATTTGGGCTCAGTATGCGTTAACACCCTCTTTCAGGCAGGCAACTGAGGATTTGAATATAGAGACAAGAGAGGTGGGGGTGCTGTCATAATAGTAGCAATAATAATGATACGTAATACTTAATACTATGCACCAGGTTCTACTCTTGGCATTTCACATAGTTTAGCTCATTTAATCTTCAGAACAACCCCACGCAGTAGGTACTATTCTTTAATCCCCATTTTACAAGGAATAACGCTGGGGCACAGATTGGTGAAACTGCTTGCTCAAGGTCACAAAGCTAACGAGTAGGGAAGTTGGAATCCTGATGTGGCTCTGAATCATACTCTCAATTAGCATATACCATTTCTGCAAAGGTGCAGATAGAAGGCAAGAGAGGGCCAAAGTAGGGGGGAAATGGAGATGATGCATGGTTGGTTTGGGTGAAAGGAACGTGTAGACTTGGCATTAAAAGGCATCTTTCCATGGACAGAAGTATCTACAGAGCAGGGAGTTCACAATTCTAAAGCAGAGAAAACGGCGACCTCTCTTTCTCTGTCTCTCTCCAAATATGTATTCAGTCATATGCTTCATAGCAATGGAATGCATATACAATGGTGGTCTCATAATGGAGCTGAAAAATTCCTATCACCTAGTGATATCATAGCTGTTGTAACATTGTAGTGCAATGCATTCCTTTTTTCCGTGTTTAGATACACAAATACTTAACCATTGTGTTATAATTGCCCAGAGTATTCAGTGTAGTAACGTGCTCTACAGTTTTATAGCTGAGCAGCAATAGGCTACACCATAGAGCCTCGGTGTGTAGTAAGCTACACCATCTAAGTTTGTGTAAGTGCACTCTACAATGTTCACATGATGAAGAAATCGCATAACAATGCATTTTTTAGAACATATTCCTGTTATTAAGCAGTACCTGATGGTACAGTTTATATATCTCTATCATTTATCTATCATCTATATTTCAATACATCAAACTATCATATATTGAGCACTTACTGTATGTCAGTACTTTCATGCATTCCCTTATTTAATCTTCACAACAGAATCCTGTGAGACAGGGCTTTTATCCAGATTTTAGGAGGTAAAATATCTTGCCCACCGCCACACACTTAATAAATAGTGGTGCTAGTATTTAAAGTAGCCAGTGGGCCTTTAATGCTGTGTGATCCCCAAGTGTTTTTTCCTATACTAGTTATGAAACTACTTTTCATACCCCTTCTTTACTTCCAAATTATTTTTATCTACCAACACTAAAATAGTGTATTTATGTCAATGGTTATATAAGTCTTCACTTGTGACCTCCCAGGCCCTATTCTAAGTTCACAAATGACATTTTAATATTGTCCTTTTCTAGGGAGAGCCTCTCCTAGCAGGCCACAGTCTCAAACTTCTTTAAACATATGACCTTTGCCCTATTGTCACTCTTTTGTACAGCACCACAGTGGGTCAAATTATCTCCCCTGTCCATAAACAACTGCACTTGTGAAGTAGAAATGACTATTAAAAAGAGTGGTGGGACCCCCTGTTGGGAACTCTAATAGGCTCGGCCAGGGACCAGAGAACATTACTATCACATCCATATGTGTCCTCTTACCAGGGTCAGCCTCATGGAAACAGGCACAATAATAGCTTCAGACAAAAGCCGGGGATGATATCGAACTGACTTTCCCAGGAGAATCCTTTCTCAGAAGGCCACGACATTCTTGATTAGAGGCAGCGAGTCAAAGAGGAGGAATGGATGTGAGGTTTTTTTTTTTCATATTTAAAGCTGGTGAAATTAATTCGTATATGCTCTCCCAGGGATCTTTATTTTTTTTAACTGAGCCTTTAGTTTGGTCACTCAAAGTGAGGGGCTCATCAAACACCAAGCCTGTTCCTTTCACTGTGAAGAGTGTAACAGAAAGTATGTTGTTATTGGTATCTGTTGTTTAAGCAAGACAGGCAAACTAAAAGCTCTGCAACATCAGCCACATCACCCACCTTCACTCTCATCATAGTTTTACAATTGCATGCTTTTTATTTGACTGATCAGAGGCCAGGTTTACAAAAACTTTTTAAAAGACAAAGCAGGTTATTTGCACCTGGATTAAAAAGACCATTTGTTTTAAGCTTAGGATGCTAATGATGATGGAAAATAGAAACATCTTTATTTCTATGGAACACACGAAGTAATTCTGCAAGGACATTTTCTGTGTGGATCCAGTTTTTTTTTTTCTGTTGCAATGAATGTAATTTTATTGTCGTGTGTCAAAGTTTATACTCCTGCTGTAAAGCATCTCTTCAACTTTAACAGCATAAGTGAAATCACCCAAGTGTATGGCCTCACTGGTAATATGGCTTTTAAAATATTTAAGCCCTTCTCCTTTATACCCCTTGTCATTAACTGGTAAATTACTAATTTATTTCCTATTAGAATTTATATAGTTTGCAGCAATTAAGAAGAAAGGGATAATTGCTGACAAACCCAGGGCACTATTTAAATCACTTCCTTGTTGACAACATATTTCTCTTTCCTCAAACTGAATGTCACTGAAATCTGATTTGTACAGAACCCTTGTGGACGAGCATGCTGCACCTGTCACCTGGGCGCTAGCATTCTGCTAAGGATCAATTTACATAACCTCATTTAATGGTTCATAAATCATACCCATTAAGCCCAGCTAACAGGAACCAAGGGTTCTAATTTATGCTGCCTTTCATAGCAGAAAATTGGGAGGCTGGAGCCTGTGGATAAAGAACCCAGGTCTTGCCTTTGATTGTTGATTGTGATGGTAAATGTATGGATGATGAGAACAGATTTTCACTTTATTGATTTCCTGCCAAAGCACAGCATGCTTTATTGTGAAAGGGCGCCTTTTGGCAGCAATGCTAAAAGTGGCAGTTGTTTAGGAGCCCTTTGCCAAGATGAGGTCTAAGACAATACAGAGTGGTAAATACTAAAATAATATCAAGATGAAATGTTATTCTGTAAAAGAAAAAATCAGAACCTCTAACATTTTGGAAATCAGTGACCTTTTCTCCCCAGTAGCACCCCTCCCCCACAAAAGCATGTGCATCCAAGAATCAGGACAAGATGGTTTTAAGAAATGAAAAAAAGCAATGTTTCTATATCCTGCCCTAAGTTACTTGCTGATGGTGGCTCATGCAAAATAATGCAGATGTCTAGAATCCTTCAGATAATGACATTTCAGCCAGAATGCTCTACTGGGCCAAGTCTGCAGACTCTGCACTCTCTCTTCTGCCATGTACTGCTTTTTGGTTGAAAATCCGGAAGAACCATTTTTCTATTTCATTTTTCCCTTTTAGGTCAAAATATTGTATCCAACTATATATAGTTTTCTGCAAAATGCAATATATAAAAGGTCATCTTCTCACAAGTGCTTGGGCTGGATTTCAAAATAGCAAAAGTGGTCCTAAGATCATTTTCCAGATGAAAAACATCTCTTAAGTATTGCTGAGGCATATTGATTCCCTTCTCTCATCTCAGTTCTGCCCTATAATGGACAATGTATATTCTCATTTTAGCTTGTTCTCAAAATCTTTGTTAAACATGGTGATTTTTTTTCCGATAAAATGTAGTGCCTTCTTCCCGCCCCCCAACCCCCATTTCTCTCCTCAATGCAGGCTTTTCTGAAACACTTTGACTTTTATTCCAGGTTGGATGTCACTGAGGATAGTCACTGACATGGATTACAAACACTGTGGACTCTGCCCCACCCCTATCTTTAAATTCTGAACCTGCCCTGTAGAATATTGGTTGGAGCCGTGCAAGACAATGGAAGCAAGCTTGGCAATCACTTCTGTCTGCTTTTCTGTCCAGTGTGAAGTGTCTACTGCTTTGTTACACTGATCCTTCTTCATAAGAAAAAAAATCAATGATATCTACATCTTCTCTGCTATTTGAGTTGGTTTATCTATAGTTAAACAAAGCCTACAGCTAGTACTACGAACGGAATATAAGTAGACATCTGGAGTTTTAGTGTATCCAGAACAACTTACCTCCACTCTTCTGGTAACAGAACCCTCTTTTCCCAGGGGACCTCATCCTATGTGATGGTGACATTGGCCCTGCTGTCCAGCACCATCCAAAGGGATAGTGATTGGTTCAGGAATGGGCACTGGACATGACCCTAGGAATTATCTGGAATTGCTGTCAGGAAAGACCAATCTGTTCTCTGGAGTTATCAATCTGGTAGTGAATAGAGTCTGTCCAAGAAAGGGAGGGAGAGTGGCAGAACTTCACCAATGTCATTTGAGCCTGTGGATCCAGCCATATCTAAAATTAGAGGCACCTCTGAACTTGCCAGCTTAGTGAATCCATAGATTCTACCCTTTCTCTTTTTTATTAAGCTAAATTGAGCTGGGTTTCTGTCATGTGAAATCCTAAAAGTTTGACTTAATTCAGAAAGAAACTCAATACAGAATAATTGAATAAGTGTGGAAAATTGAGCTTTTTTGTACTGGGAGTGAAGATCCAGATTCCAGTCATGACATTGTCTGTAGGTTGCAGTTTTCTCATTTTTTTAAAAAAAGGGCCATACTAGAGAATGTATAAGGCCCTACAAATCTATTTTACTCATTCATTTATTCATTCACTCACTTATTCAAAAAATGTTTAATACAGACTATTGACTGGCACTATAGTAAGCACTAGAAACACAGAAATGAACAAAATAGAAAAAAAATCCTGTCCTCATAGCGCTTACATTCAAATTAGTAGTGACAGATAGATAAATAATTAAACAAGTATCAGGAAACAGTTGAAATTTCAAATCATGCTTCAATTATCTATTACTGTATAACTTCGTGACTTAAAACAAGTATTTGTTATTTTTCCACAATTCCATGGGTCAATAATTAGGACTGAGCTCAGCTGAGAGGCTTTTCTGCTGATCTTGCCTGGGGTCACTCATGTGACAGCAGTCATCTGGCAGCTTGGCTGAGGCTGGAGAGTCTAAGATGGTCTCACTTAAGTGCCTGGGGCTTGATGCAGGCTGTCTGCCAGGCCTCTCCCTTGATGTAGGCTCTCATCTTTCAGTGTCTAGGCAAGCATCCCAAGAGAGCAAAGGCAGAGTCTGCCAAATCTCTTGAGGCCTAGGCTCTAAAACTCATAAGCATCACTTTTACCACATTCTGTTGGTCCAAACTAGTCACAAGGTCAAATAAGATTCAAGTGGTGGGAAAATAGATTCCACCTTTTTCTGAGAGGAGCTGCAAAATATGGCCATGTTTTTCAATCCACCATAGGTAGGGTGGCCAGAGAAGTCCTCATTGAACAAAGTGATCTTTGTATAAACTTCTGAGCTATGCCCTGTATCAGGGGGAAGACCATTCCAAGCAGAGTGAATGAGTATAAGGACCCAAGGTAGAAGAAGGAATGTATTAGTTCATTCTTGCATTGCTATACATACCTGAGGCTGGGTAATTTATGAAGAAAAGAGGTTTAATTGGCTCATCGTGCTGCAGGATTTACAGGAAGTGTGGTGCTGACACCTGCTTCTGGTGAGGCCTTAGGAAGTTACAATTATGGCAGAAGGCGATGGGGAGCCAGTATGACACATGGCGAAAGTGGCGCAAGAGGGGTGGCAGGAGGTGCCACACACTTTTAAACAACTATATCTCACATGAACTCAGGACTAGCACTCACTTATTACCAAGGGTATGGCACTGAGCCATTCATGAGGGATCCACTCCCATAATCCAAACACCTCCCACCAGGCCACACCTTGAACACTGGGGATTACATTTCAACATGATATTTGCAGGGGGGAAACATCCAAACCATATCGAGTAGGAGATGCAGCAGGCAGAGGAAGAAGTCCAGTGTGGTGGAATGAGCAAGGTGGAAAGTAGGAGCCTATGAGCTCAGAACGATGATGGGGGAGTGCCTTGTAGAGGGTTTTAAGGCCTCTGCCTTTGAGTCAAAGGAGGAGCCCCCGGGGATTTGAGCAAAGGAGTGATATCATTTGACTTACATAGTGGAAAAGGATCGCTCTAAGTACTGGGTTTGCAGAGATTAAATGAGTCAAGAGCAGAAGGGAGATCAGTTAGGAGACTATTGCTATGAAACAGGAAAGGGAAGAGAAGTTGGTGACATAGCCTAGGTAGCCATGGTGGCAGTAATGAGAAGTGGTCTGTTTCTGGGTATATAGAATTAATAGAATTTGCTGATACAGGGTGTGAAGGAAAGAAAAAAGTTGAGAATTAGTGTAAGGTTCTTAACCTAAGCAACTGAAAGAACAGAATTGCCATTCATTGCAATGATAAAAACTATAAGAGGAGCAGTTTGGGGAGAGAAGATTGGGAGCTTTGCTTTGGACATGTTGCATTTGCGGTGTCTGACGGGTATATTAGTGGTGCTATTGAGTAAGCTGTGGATGTTTCATCAGATTATTGTGAATGTCCACTCTAATAGCTTTGAAAAGTATGATCGTCTATGCAAATACAATTTTTAAACCATATTCCTATAAACACAGTAGAGACCGTGTGTTTACGTCAGCATTTTCCAAAGGGGCATATCCAGCTGTTATAGGTTTCCAGGTACATCTGCCTATATATTTCATAAGCTTTTAAAAACTCGCCAATCACCCTAAAAATTATCATATTGCAGTTTTTTTCATTGTCACTCTTTAAAATCAGCATCTGTTGATTTTTTTTTCTTTTAAAATCCTCCTTGTCCAACTGTTTCTTTCCCTAGACTTAAATGGGAAAGAAAAAGTAAGGTGAGACACTGAAGCATTGTGTTACAGAAGACAAACCCTGTAGAGGGTAGAGATTTTTCATAGAGATTTGGTACTGTGGATTGTAGCTTATGGGTGCTTATTCTGTGCCAGACTCTTGATAAGCACTGGGGATATGGAAGTCGATAAAATAGTACCTAATCTAAAGGGCTCACATTGTGATGGAAAAGACAGAAGGTAGTAGATGATTATAATATTTAAAATTATTACAGCTGTGGTAGAAACATGCACATGGAGCACAGGAGATGGATAACTTGCCAAGCCTGTGAAAGGGTCTAGTTAAGGAAGTTTTCCAAAAAATACAATGCCTGAACTGAGAAAGGGTAAATGGAAATTAGCCAAGGGAAGTGGGTATTTCATGCAAGGAGGATGGCTTAATCAAAGGCCCAATGACAAGAAGTAATCTTGTGTATTTAGGAAACTGTAGTTCAACAAAATAGAACCAAAAAGTTGGAGACAGGTAGTAGCACAAGGAGCAACTTAGGAGGTAGGCAGGAAGCTCACCATGGAAGACCTTCTATGCCTTGGGAAGACCTTGACTTGTATCCTAGAGGTGATTGGGGAGACGTTGAAGGTTGAAAGAAAAGGAATAAAATAGTAAGATTTCTATATGGGAAAGATCACTGTGGTGATTGGATTGGGCTGGGGGTGAAGGTGTCAAACAGGAAAGTGAATGGTGTTGCTGCAGTGACCCTGAGGAGAGAGGATGAGATGGGGCTGGAGGGACTGCTATACAGAATGGAAAAAAGGGAAAGAACCAAGAAACATTTAAGATACAAAATTGTTAGGACCAAGTAACTAATGGGAGCTAGGGGCTGAAGGAGAGAGTTTCAGTGGATATTGGTGCCACAAACTGATACAGAGAATTTGGGAGAAGGAACTCATTCAGGGAAAAGGAGATGAACTCAGGTAGAGACAAGGGTGAGTTGGGACATCCGTGTGCAACCTTTATTCAATCTGTACAAAAAGCTTGCATTTGAGGCTTAAAATGGTGAATAGATTTGCCCAGGGTTACCCAGAACCAGGATTACCAACTCAGTCCTTCTTGACTCTAGTCATCACCATCCCCTCACCTCAGCCTGTAAGTACATGCAGCATCTTGAAGGTTTTGCAGAGCTAGAATAATAATATGATGATTCATCGAATACTCATTCAGCCCCTAAAAATCTTAAGTTGCTCTGGTAACCCAAAAGTGAATTAGAGACAGACTCTATCCACCAGAGTTCATACTATATTGAGAGATAAGAGATGCAGATAAATTATTTTGATACAGTAGAAAAAAGAAGTAGAGAAAAGGAGTCACAGTGTTATATCAATTTAGAAGAAGGAGAAATTATCTTATGCAAAGACACTCGTGAAGTGCTTAATGCTAAGTACTAAGCCTTATGGATATCCAAGCATACAACACTTGTAGTACCTATGCTCAATGGTTATTCACCTCAAACTTATGGGAACTGTGGTAGGTCTCAAACAACATGTGGAATTTAGATACAAATACAGGATGCAGATGGGGGTGGGAAAGGCATTCTGATTAATGGAGCCCAGGAAGAATAGCATGGAGATGGGAATACTTCCCAGCGGCTTTCGCAGGTGAAAATGCAGGAATGCAGAGCTGTCGAATTTAGCTGGCATGGAAGGAGCATTGAAGGAGAAGAGTGAAAAATGAGCTCCAACAGTGGTTTGGAGCCAGTTTGTGGAAGATCCAGAATGCTAAGGAATGGGCTGGCACGGGCAATGTGTTCCTCATAGTTTGAACTCTGAATTTCTTGTCACACACAAAAATAAAGGAGGACAGGTAGTGGGTACTAGTTTCAGTCTGTGAGTTATATTCACTATTTCAGAAAGTTTAAAACATTAGTCTTTTTTTTGCTTTTGGTTAGAATTACGTATCACCTTTTCCTTAGGGAAACTGGTTAGATCATGTTGGGAAGAAGTTTGGCTTGACCGTTGCTGGCTTCATAGTCATTTGTGGGATGGGATTGGGACACCTGGCTGTGTTATCCTATCAACAGGCTAGCAGTCACTGCAGAGCATTTCACAAGAAATAGCTCATTGCTTTTTCACATTGTAGGTTAATTATTTTACATGATTGTGCAACTCTGATAGCCATTGGTTATTCACGAAAACTTGACTCGATATTTAAGTGGAAAGTATGCCAACACTTACTAAATGCTGTTTGTTTGGTACATAGCTTTCAGAACATGGTGTCCACAGGCAGTGTGGATGTTGTCCAGGGAAGTGAGCGAAAGAGGTCCTTAGTGGAAAAAAGATTAGGTAACACTAATATGTGCCCTGCTATGGGGACATTTCATAAAGAAACCTTTTAACTTAAATTGATTGCTTTTAGTTTAAGAGTAATAATGAAAGATATTGATCCTTTATTGTAAGTCTTGTTGGACCTAGATGAGGCATAAGTTATAAATAACAATGTCCAATATGTCTGATTTTTTAGTTGTTACATAGTTTTGGTATCTTAGGGGAGAAAATAGAGAGGAAACAGTTTTCTTGCTTTTGATTTTGATCTATGAACAATTTCTTAGAGTCACTAACCTGATAGAATTACTTTTCAAGCTATTGAAACTTTCAAAGGTCATAAATATGTAACACTAGGGGATTAACTGATATATTATGTAACATCTGTAATGGGAATACGATATAGCCATTAAAGATGATTTTGTAAAACATTTATTGAGTGAACAAATTTAAACTGCAAAACCTTGGACATTTTATGATTACATTTTTTATAAATGTGTTTGTGAATATACAAATATGTGCTTCAGAAAAACAGATAATTTTTTTAAATTTTATTATTATTATACTTTAAGTTTTAGGGTACATGTGCACAATATGCAGGTTTGTTACATATGTATACATGTGCCATGTTGGTGTGCTGCACCCATTAACTCGTCATTTAACATTAGGTATATCTCCTAATGCTATCCCTCCCCACTCCCCCCACCCCACAACAGTCCCCAGAGTGTGATGTTCCCCTTCCTGTGTCCATGTGTTCTCATTGTTCAATTCCCACCTATGAGTGAGAACATGAGGTGTTTGGTTTTTTGTCCTTGCGATGGTTTGCTGAGAATGATGGTTTCCAGTTTCATCCATGTCCCTACAAAGGACATGAACTCATCCTTTTTTATGGCTGCATAGTATTCCATGGTGTATATGTGCCACATTTTTTTAATCCAGTCTATCGTTGTTGGACATTTGGGTTGGTTCCAAGTCTTTGCTATTGTGAATAGTGCCACAATAAACATGCGTGTGCATGTGTCTTTATAGCAGCATGATTTATAGTCCTTTGGGTATATACCCAGTAATGGGATGGCTGGGTCAAGTGGTATTTCTAGTTCTAGATCCCTGAGGAATCACCACACTGACTTCCACAAGGGTTGAACTAGTTTACAGTCCCACCAACAGTGTAAAAGTGTTCCTATTTCTCCACATCCTCTCCAGCACCTGTTGTTTCCTGACTTTTTAATGATCGCCATTCTAACTGGTGTGAGATGGTATCTCATTGTGGTTTTGATTTGCATTTCTCTGATGGCCAATGATGATGAGCATTTTTTCATGTGTTTTTTGGCACATAAATGTCTTCTTTTGAGAAGTGTCTGTTCATATCCTTCACCCACTTTTTGATGGGGTTGTTTGTTTTTTTCTTGTAAATTTGTTTGAGTTCATTGTAGATTCTGGATATTAGCCCTTTGTCAGATGAGTAGATTGCGAAAATTTTCTCCCATTTTGTAGGTTGCCTGTTCACTCTGATGGTAGTTTCTTTTGCTGTGCAGAAGCTCTTTAGTTTAATTAGATCCCATTTGTCAATTTTGGCTTTAAAACAGATAATTTTTAACAGTAGTTATTTCTAGGTGGTGAAATATAGGGGCTTTATTCTAAAAATGTATTTATATATTATATATTTGTGTATAATGAGCATGCATTTGTATAATTTTTACTGCTTGACACAAAAAATTAATGAAGAAGACATTAATAGGGTAAACTTACCTTTTACACCAGCTGTCTTAACTTTGGCTCATCAGGCAAGATAAGTTAAAACAAAAGGCAGCCGAGACCCTCCCAAGTGGTTCCTTCAACCACTGTGTGTGACAGGGGTCTGAGGAGTGCCTTTTGGCCATCTTGCATCTCATATTGAATTCTTTTTTATAAAACATCTGTTAACATCATCAAGGACTGGGGTTCAAAGAAATCCAATTTATGAAACCCGATCTAGACATTTTCAAAATTGCAAATCACGGTTATCGAAAGCCTTCTAGAAAACGCCTTGCAACAAGACTGATTAAATACATTGCAGTGGGGAAGGAAGGGCTGGCAAAGGTGAAGGAGGTGAAGAATTTTTAATGAAAATTATAATTGAGGAATCTGGAAAATAGAAACCCTTTTCTTATTTGTACTTATCTTAATCTTATAAACCAGAGCAACAACACATCAATAAAAGAGATTTGGTTGCATCTGCTAGATTGAACTGTTAAAAGCTTTTATTTAGGAAGCTTTGTAATAATAATAATTAACTTCCCTCTCCCTTTGCAATAGAAGCACAGTTTTAGATTTAGATATACTGCTGGTCTTCTTTACTCATGACCTTATTCTCTTGCTTTCTGACAAATCTAGAGAGTATAGTTATGGGTTCCTTTGAATCAAGAGGCTAAAGAAGTACCTGTATTTCTCAGGAGTTGAGTGATACTTTGGAACAATGCAGAAATAAGTTGCATATGCTTTATCCTTACTCTCATGGCATTCACTTAGGGCATTAGCACTATATTCGGTATCATCAAATAAATAACATTCTATATTCATACCGATATTATTTTATTAATGTTGATTGTTCTTGATCATGGAAAATGCAGTCTTTCTCTTTAGGGAAGGATTTTTGGTCAGCTGATCTTGTGAGAATGGAGAGGTTTAAGAACAATGATGTCTGTGTTTCCTCTTTTAAATCAAAGTAGCCTTGATATCATTTAGCAATTGGATTATATGAAAAATCCCAACACGGCATAGCTCTTCTGTTGAAATTGGATTGATTTCTTTAGAGACCATCTGATCTCAACAGCAGTCTGTAAAAAATCCTCTGAACCTCAAAAGGAACTAAAATTAATGGATTTTTAAAAACCTAAGCTCTCAGTTTTTTTGAGCATGTAAAGACCCCTCCTCCCAGTAATTTGCATCTATAAACAAAAGTGAAAGTGTGCGTGTCTGTATATATAAAAACCTAATACTTCACTCTTACCTTGTGCTGAACTTTTTGATTTCTCTATTTACTAAAGAGAATAACTATATTTTCAAACATACTAAAAAATGTTTTGAAATATCTCACCAGCTCCAAATTCCAAAGTTCTCTGAATTGCATATACTTTTTAAAAAATGAAGTACATACTTTTGTATTTTTTGTTTTGTTTTGTTTTTTTGAGACAAGGTCTCACTCTGTCACCCAGGCTTGAGTGCAGTGGCGCAATCACGGTTCACTGTAGCCTTGATCTACCAGGCTCAAGCAATCCTCCCACCTCAGCCTCCTGGGTAGCTGGAAGTATAGGCATGTGGCACTACAACTGGCTAATTTTTGTATTTTTTGTAGAGACGGGGTCTCATCCTGTTGCCCAGACTGGTCTTGAACTCCTGAATTCAAGCAATATGCACGCCTCGGCCTCCCAAAGTGTTGGGATTATAGTTGTGAGCCACTGCGCCCAGCCTGCATACGTTTTAGAAAAAGGACTATAATGTGCCTTTCACTCTTGTAACGTGCAGAGACTCATTAGGTATCCTTCCACCCTACATTAAGACTCTAAATTGGAATGCATATGTCCTTCTCTTAAAGCAACTTGAAGTCAAAACATGACATTTTGAGACATTTACTATGAAAAGTGATATTATATTAATAATTCGAGTTACAAAAAGATTTATTATAGTTTTTAAAATTAGTTACCTTCTCTAAAAATTTTAAAGCAATTTAATTTGGAAACTTTTTGTACTTTTTAGAAATACATATATTGCGTGCAGCAACATTTCCCAAACCTCCATTTTTTGCATACCACTTTTTTTTTTTTTTTTTTTTTTTTTTGAGAGGGAGTCTCGCTCTGGCACCCAGGCTGGAGTGCAGTGGCACAATCTCGGCTCACTGCAACCTCCATCTCCTGGGTTCAAGCGATTCTCCTGCCTCAGCCTCCCGAATAGCTGGGGTTACAGGTGCCCACCCCCATGCCCGGCTAAATTTTTTTTGTATTTTTAGTAGAGAGGGGGTTTCACCATGTGGACCAGGCTGGTCTCAAACTCTTAAGCTCAAGCAATCAACCTGCCTCGGTCTCCCAAAGTGTTGGGATTACAGGCGTGAGCCACTGTGCCCAGCTGCATACCACATTTTTTGCCATATCTGTACATCAGTCGTTTATTATTTGCATTATGGTTTTCTTTAAAAGGCCATTAAACCAAGTCACTTTTGTTATTGTTTTTTAACTTAGACTCATCCTAAGAAATAATATCCATGAAATTATGGGTTTGATTATGTTCATTATTAATTCTTCTGATATAAAATAAAATAAAGATATAACCATTAAAAATAATTATTTTCATGCATATACTCTCAGGAACCAATGATATACATATTCTAGTTTGGGAAATGCTGGCATTGAGAAGCTACTTCTGTATCTCCTTGCCTTTCTTCAACGGTAACATGAGTTTTCTTGTTTGCAGGTGGCATATGCGGGTAAGCCTTGTCCTAAACCTTCCACAGTTAACTAAGAGTTGCAATTCAGTCTGCCGTCTTTGGGCTAGAGGCCCACAGTGAGGTCTTGGTATAAAAGACCATATTTCCCAGCATTCCTAGAGTGGGCTCTGCACACCACCAGCAGTTCTCCACACCTGCAGCTTCTCACTGCTCAGGACAAGGAGTCCCAATTACTTGGACAAGTGTTTCACTTTCTTATGGTGATTTTGGGTCTATATGGAAAACTAGAGTTGCTGGCTTTTCTAGATCTCTGGAACTGCCTTGTATTTCTTTTAAAATGGGTTCAAATGACCTTGACAATATGTATCAAAAGCCTTGAAAATGCACATGTTTTTTGACCTGACAATTCCACTTCTAAGACTCTATTCTGGGAAAGAATCAGACATTTGGACAAATACTAATTTATAAGGATGTTGACTGCAGTATTGTTTATACCAGTGAACATAAGGAATGTGAGAAATAATCTGAACTATAGGAGATTGATTAAAGTGCTATACATATATGTGATGGTATATTATGAAGATATTTCAAAAATCAACTTAAAGTATTTACAAAAGTGTTCATGATATAGCAAGTAATATATAAAGGCCAGGGAGGGATATGGGAACTCTCCAAACTTTCTACTTATTTTTCTGTAAACTTAAAACTGCTCTAAAAAATAAACTCTATTATTTTTTAAAAACTATGTAAACTATAAATAAATAAATGTTACAAAGCAGTATGTTTTGTATGATTCCTATTTATAAAGCCAAAAGACTATATTTTGTATATATATATTTTGAGATGGAGTCTTGCTGTCACCCAGGCTGGAGTGCAGGGGTGCAATCTCGGCTCACTGCAACCTCCACCTCCCAGGTTCAAGTGATTCTCCTGCCTCAGCCTCCCGAGTAGCTGCGATTACAGGCGTGCATCACTGTGCCAGGCTAATTTTTATATTTTTAGTAGAGGCAGGGTTTCACCAGCTTGGCCAGGCTGATCTCGAACTCCTGACCTCAGGTGATCTGCCTGCCTCGGCCTCCCAAAGTGCTGGGATTACAGGCATGAGCCACCACGACTGGCCTATATTACCAGAATATTAATAGTGGTTTTCCAGTATTACAAACGATAATGATTTTCTTTTTTATATATTTCTACATTCTTCAAATTTCCAAATGATAAGCATAGCAATTTTAAAATCAGAAGAAGAAAACTAGACAAGCAATAAATATTATTTTTTAAAAAGTAGAGTGCTAGTAGGGTTGGAGAGACTATGTCCTGGGTGGCTGAAAACTAGTCCAGACTTTAGGGACCAAATGGAGAAAACTCAGGACTGCGTGAGCCCTGCCACTGAACTTTGTGAAATTTATCAAGGGAAAAAAGGTCTTCAGAACGACAAGTTATAATTCCTAGAGGAATCCTTCAGAATGTTCCACTACTCTAAAGACCAGGACTCTATTTCAGCTCACCTCATACCATCTGCAGTATCTTAATCTACACCATCCTTTCCTGCAGTAAAGAAGGTCTCTTTAAGGAGATTGTCTTGGGCAGCAAGGACAGTCTAGAGAGCTAGGAGCCCACAAGCAAGAGATGGATTTTTAAAGTCTTGCCCTGGGCTTAAGGGAGAAACTCTAGTTTCCCTCAAGGATGTTCCCAGTGGTTCTTCTGAGAAGGAATGAAGGCCAGGGTTTCTGGCAGAAGCCCTGTTCAGAAATGAAGTTTTTGTCTTTGATGCAGATGTTTCTGTACTGATTTGGAAATATGTCCAGGGTGCATTGTTAAGGGAAAAAAATTAGGCTTAGAACAACATGCAGTATACTAATTTTGGCTAAGAAAGAAAGGAGAAAAACAAAACAACAACAAATATACATATACACTTACATTTCCCTAAAGAAATATTGAGATAATATACAAAAACTAATAAAAGGATTTACCAAAAGGGAGATGGGAAATGGAGTGGACAGAGATGCAGCTATGAGCTATGAGCAAGTTTTCTCAATGAGTATATTTATATCATTTTCATTTTTGAACAGTATTGTCTATTCAAAATAAACAAAATTCTGCCACAGATTAGGGGGAAAATAAGAATAGTCTCTTTGATGGGGATGGCCATGTGCATATCTCTCAGAAATCCCACATGGGGAGCAGGAGGCTAGGACTTCCAGGTGGCATAGCATTTTCAACACAAGTCACGTTCATCACAAGGTGGGGGAATCATCAGAGGGTTCCTTTGATGGATGGGATGTGGAGGTGGCCACTTAGAGTCTGGAGGTCACCCTCACAGTATGCTGGGAATCTGTTTGGCATCTTACCAGATCCTGACCCCTGTTGCCAGCCAGGTATTTGGACCCACAGCTACTTCTCCACGAGAGAGGCCAAAAAGGCATATAGTGCCTGGGATATAAGCTACTGACCTGCAAGTCTGGGATGCACAGAACCTGGGATGTGTCTGAAGCAGAGCACCTATAGCTGGGCCCAGATTATAGGCCACTTCCAGGTTAAGAGGCCAAGATCTGCAGCTTCCCCCGCTAATTCAAAACCACCTGGGGGATCTACTACTGCCACTGCACCTTACTTGTTCATGAGCACAAAAAGATTGGAAAATGTGACTCATATACCCTTAGGTATATGTGTTATGTTTATATTGACAGTCAATTCCTGGTTACCTACAAGTGGAATTGTCTGGCTGACAAGGATATGGTCAGTCAGAAGAAGGTTGGAGCTGGATATGACAAATTGGAATTTGTGTATATAAAGGATAAAAAAGTGAGTGTACTGAGGAGGAAGGAGAGAGGGATTATTGCATGCCAAAAACAATAGAAAGAGTTCTGCTTCCCTTTTCATTAACCTGGATATGGAGAGGTCAGATCAGACGCCAGAGAAGTTTAGGTGTTGGAGGGATGTTAGAAATAAACTAGTGGAGCTGCTTCATTTTATAAATGAGGAAACTGAATATAGAACATCCATGCAGTTGGTGAAGGAAGGTGTATACATATGCACAGAGATAGAACACATATGTATTATCTACTCAAAGATACATCTTAGAGTGCTTTTCCATTTATCAGGCAACTTAATGTATCCTCAGTTTCCTTTAAAATTTTATTATTAGCTCATTCTCATTGCCAAAATGAGTCATGAATACCAGGTTTCAATGTCCATTTATTATTTTGAAGCAACTGCCAAACACTGTGGAAATGGTTCCACTTACCTCCAGAATTTGCCAAAAGAAAAAAAAAAGTCCAATGATGACTGAAACCAGTAATGACTATTTTCTATTTTCTTTTCCCTAAGTAATTGACCATTAATTATAATATCAATAGGCAGTGGGTAAGGAAAGCAGACCCATGTAAGGGCTACATTTCATTTGTAACTGTTTTGTATATATCATAAATCTCTAATATTGGGCTATTGTCACCCTTGATGAATTATTGTAAGCATGTCAGCACATGGTGGAAGTCAAGTACATTCAAATACTACTCAGTCAGAATTGAATTTGGCATGATAGTCTCATAAAAGGGGGCTCAATTGAGAGTTTCCACTTGCCTGCTCTAAACTTGTCACTTGTAGGTGCTAAAGAGCTTGTTGTGTTGGTTTAATTAGTCAACAAATCGGTCCTTACTTGATTGCGTGGTCGTATCACATATGTTAACACTTCAGTGTTTGATGGAGATATTAACAAGTGACAAGAGTCTCTTGGTCTGTGGACTTTAAAGAAGAGAAGCTCTTCTATATTATTTCATTTGGCCCTGCCAATATTTATTAGATCATGCAGCCCGCAGGCTGCCAGTTAAAGAAAGACAACACAAACATTTTTCAGGGTTATGCTCATCTGTATCCCCAAGAAGGGTCACAGAACAATCGATGGGAGAAGAGTATAAGAAAGATAAGTGTTTTCTTCCACCGCTTACAAATTCATTATTTGATACAGTTTGCCGCAGACCTCCTTTGAGCTTTTTTCACTTAAAGATAATTTATGACAAGAACAGAGAGGTTCTTGAAAATGCTATAGCAACTGAAGCTGAATGATACCACTCTGATGCAAGACGCAGCACCAGAGGCTGGTAAATAGGAAGTTTGCATTTGTATGAAGAACTGTATTAGTTAAGCATTCACCCACGGTGGATAAAACAATCATATTAATAGTCAATAAGAGATTAAAGGGAAAAAATTAATAATCAAAATGATTATTTCCAGAAGTGGGGGTAGGGAATAAAAAGTCAGTGCCCTGAAAGCTTGCAAAAGACCCGTCTATTCATTTTTTTCTATAGCAGAACAAACAAAAAGGCAGTGCTTACTTTAAAGGACAGGCTTCATTTGTTCCGTCACCGTTCTGTTATGGCTTTTATCTGTGCATTAGCAAGAATCAGGTTTCCACACCATGTGCAGTCATGATGTGAAGTCTATGGACCAGAGCCACCAGATAGTTCCTTTGGGCAGGACATTGCTTTGCAAAAAACACTTAAATGACTGCCAACAATTCGAACACTGTCAGCAGTGACTTGACTAGTGAAGATAATGGGACATAAAACCATGAGTCAAGAGTTTTCTGTCAAGACTCCCTAGCGGGAACTTAAAAAATCCAATTTATTTATCTCTCTTAGGAAACTGCTTGACAACCAAAAGATCCTTGTCTCCTTACCTCACAAAGTAAAGAATTTGCCATTCCTCTCCTTGGAAGAGCTCACGTTGATTTATTCAGGTTTTTTGTTGTTTGTTTTTTGTTTTTTGTGTTTTTGAGACGGAGTTTCACTCTGTCGCCCAGGCTGGAATGCAGTGGCGTGATCTCGGCTCACTGCAAGCTCTGCCGTCTGGGTTCACGCCATTCTCCTGCCTCAGCCTCCCGAGTAGCTGGGACTGCAGTCGCCCGCCACCACGCCCGGCTAATTTTTTTGTATTTTTAGTAGAGACGAGGTTTCACCGTGTTAGCCAGGATGGTCTCGATCTCCTGACCTCGTGATCCGCCCACCTCGGCCTCCCAAAGTGCTGGGATTACAGGCGTGGGCCACCGCGCCCGCTGATTTATTCAGTTTTAATTATCTGCTGGTCACCACGTCAGAGGGTCGAAGCCCAACCCTTGTCCCTTCCTTAATTACCATGTGGAAACTCCCCTGGGCCTAGCCTAAATGTTCATCTACTGACAAGTGGGAGGAGGTGCACAAGAATAATTAAGGCAACAGTGTCTTTACACAGACATTCTCTACACATGCAAATGTGAAAAGCACAAATAGCAATAGGTTTATGAATATTTTATCTAGGCTAAAAAAAATACTCTTCTGATAGTTACAGCATCTTCCCAGGGCCACTCCATTTTTAGCCAAGCCCTAGGACTGGAGCAGCTGCAGCCTCCCTGATAATGCTGTTTTCCACTCTTGAGTCAGCAAAGAGAGAGTTAAAGGAGGGAAGCACTCTTTGTCACTTACCTTCACCTCAGTTTTTGCTTAGCCTCAACTGCAAACTAAGGCACTTTAGAAAGTGATTAAACTTCGTAACTTCCTTATCCCACCCTCCATCATTGCAAATATTTTTCATTAGAATTATAAATCAACCCCCCAAACCAGCCAATCAGGTTTTACTGGGAAGCAGGCCTTCAATGAATGCTCGTTGATTAATTGATTGATTGACAAGGGTAAATTATGGGTGTTAGCCTAACCAATAGAAACAAAAAATAATTTGACTGAGTGACAGTGTTAATCGTGAAAGGTTAAAGAGGGCAAGATGGGGTGCAGTATGAGGTAGCACAAATTCTTACCGTTAAGAATGTGAAAGCTTTGGGAGAATATTTTACTTTGAGGAAGAGAGGGAAAATGGGTTGGTTGGCCTACAAAACATATGGGTACCCTCAGTGCAAGAATTTTTCTGCACTGAGCTCTAAAGAAAAAAAGAAGAAAGGCAAAGGATGCAGAGAATAAAAAGCCATTTGATGTGAGGTGAAGAGGGAGGATTAGGGGGAGGGGAGGGGAGTAAAAGCTGTTTAAGGGAAGCAAAGGAAGGAGGAAGGGAAACAGGCTCCTGTGTGACTTAATTTAAGGCTCAAACTCCTAGTGTTTCCCATTTTTTTTCTATTCTCACTATGCTGTAAAGAATATCCTTGTGCATATAGCTTTGTGTACTTTGGAAAATTACTGGAGGGAATGGAAATATAAGAGCCTTCCTTACTACTTTCTGTAATTCTTTAATGTTAGAATTTCATATAATCAAAATGTACTGTTTTTACAGTCAGAAAAAAAAAACAGTTCAGAGAAATTAAGTTTAAAAAAAGCTTCAGAGCCGTGACTATCCTCAAAGAGAAGAAAGTAGGAATATCAAATAAGTTTAGCAAGTTAAAGAAGTCGTGGCTATTAAAATTTTTAGTTTACTCAGAAATATTTACTTTAGCTTCCATGAATGGTTTACTTTTTTAAAGCATATCTACTTTTCAGAAAACTTTGTAATTTCCTTCAGTTCTTTGCTTGCTGCCTCAAACAAGAATGAAACCATTTTTCTCAAACTGGTAGAAAAACCTTATTTCAATTATTTTTTCTAGTCCTATACTTCCAGAGGATGGGAAACTGTTCTTAAAAGTGCAATGGACTGACAGAAAGCAGATCCGCGGTTGCCTCCAGGGCTGGGGGAGGGGATTGACTGCAAAGGGGCGCACGGGAATTTACTGGGGTGACAGAAAGATTCCACATCACAATTAAGGTGGTGGTTACATGATTGTATACATTTGCCAAAATTTACTACATTTACAATTAAAATGAGTGGATTGTATTATACATTGCTCAATAAAACTATTTTTAAATAGCTTTAGTAATAAGTGAACTAGTGCTTTTTTTTTGGTGATCATTTGCAAGAATACTCCAAATTCAATAAGAACCAGGATTCTCTTTTCAAAAGTCCAAAAACTAGTAACAAGTGCTGTGTTAGATTTGAAGAGCTGGAAGGACTTTACATACTTAAATTCCATTTTAATCTAGTTGAAACTCCCATAGAAAGAAGAAAAAAATACATTTTTAAAGTACAGATTTTTATTCAATAATTCTTTAGTTCTTTTCTCTTTTAACTTCCCTGGGGGGAGCAGGGAACTCTCATTCTGGTACCGATATTTGGATTAAAACAAATATCCACCCATTCATTAAAAGTTTCTCTCATATAAAGGAATTCATTTTTTTTCTTGATTGGTGCTAGACTCACAGACAGACAGAAATAAGCTGCCATTCTTCCATTTGATAGCCAGACGCTGCCAGTTGTAGCCAGGGTAGTCATGCTGTTAAATTAGGTCTAATGAAGGAGTAATTGCTTTAGATATAGTGAACCATTTCAAAGAAAACAAGGATTCTAATTGATTTGCAATTTGTTTGGCACATTGCATTGTCTGCGGCTATTGATTAGTCTTCTGGATTTCACACTGCATGTGTTTCCCTTTATTAAGGGAATAACAGGTTACTGATTACTTTCTTTCTGGGTTTAATGTAGCGGTTAATGTCTACTTTGTTCTTGTGTCATGTCACAGGCGAGGAAGGAATAATAGGCAAGTGGGTGGCCCTTTGCTAAGCAACTTCCCTGCTGCTCTGAGCTGTGTGCTCTGAGACAGGCTGAAAAGCAGATCAAGAGAAAGGGTTAGAATAGCAGGACTCACAAGTTAAGGCCTGAGTCAGGCTAGACCCAGCTCAAAACTTGGCTTTCCCCTCCCAGTCAAAGCATAGCATGGGACAAAGCAGCTGGTGGTAGATTTGTTCTTGTATCATTCGATTATTTGTAGACAGGATATGAATCTATGCCCATTGTTTTGCTTAATAGGTATGCATGCTAAATGGATGCAGAAAAAGAATATTTGAGGGTGAGGTCTTTTGGTTCATTTAACCCTTTGGAAAGTGACATTTTGTTGGCACCTGGGAAGCACTTGTTGCTGAGGTGTCGATATGATCATCAAAATGGCTCTTATGTTTATACCAACTGCAGGGGAGGGAGAAAAAGTTCTCAGGGTTGCAGTCATTTCATTGCCCTCAAAGCACAGCAGGAATTATTAGCTTACCCTGGCGTGCCCCTTTGTTTTCCTAGGGCTTTGCTCCTCCAGCAGATACTCATTTAAGGCGAATCCACTGCTTTCTGAAATGTGTTTTGCAATGGTGCACAGAACAGGCACTCACTTAGCGGATCTAATCCTTTCATGGCTCAGCTTGTTAATGTAGCAAACTGCTGAAAATGGGAAATGGATTCTTTAATGAGAACAGTCCCTTCATGGCTTTATTCTCCCAGTCCAACCCCCAGGCATTCATTCAAGTCCCCCCACGCCCGACCTCCCACGCCAGGATCAGGCACCCCCACTTCCCACCCAGCAAGCAGCCCATTTTCCAGCACGAAGTCCCCCATCTCTAGGCCCCTTGCTTCCCCACGACCTTCCCAGAGCCCTTGGAAGCTCACAAATAACAAAGGGGTGTAGGCAGTAAAAGATTCCCTTTCTCTGCTTCAGTTACCTCCTTCCTAAGCCTGAGCCCGTCTTTTCCTGTGCTTCAAATCTGACATGGTTATAGAGTGGAGCCTTTTCCTGATAAATTGCAAAGTAGCTAACACCCAGGGATTACATCTAAATTTATCAAATAAACACACTTTTGATATAAACATACTACCCAAGGTATTATAGATTTAATATCTTTCTTTAACATAGCTTTTGTACTATACAGGTTGAATATCCTTGGGACTAGACATGTTTTGGATATTTTTGGATTTTGGACTATTTGCATATACATAATGAGGTCTCTTGGGATGAGACTCAGGTCTCAACATTAAATTTATTTACGTTTCATATACACCTTATAGACATAGCCTGAAGGTAATTTTAGACAATACGATACTAATTTTGTGCATAGAACAATGTTTGTGTTAAGTGCTATTAAGACTTTTTTTAAAGTGTTAAGACTTTTCCACTGTGGCGTCATGTGAGTACTCAAAAAGTTTTAAATTTTGGAGCATTTTGGGTTTTGGATTTTCAGATTAAGGATGCTCAACCTGAATTGGATTTTATAATGATGCTGATTGCCAAGGGTTTCAAAATGGAGCCAATCAGTGAAAGTTAACTTGGACTCTGGTCTTTATTATTTTTCTTTTACGATTTTTACTCCTGTGGGTCTTCCTGAAGCTTTGGTACTTCTCTAGAAATCCACTCCAAAGAAAAAAAATCAGGCCTGGCACAGTGGTTCACATCTGTAATTCCAGCACTTTGGGAGGCCAAGGTGAGAGGATCACCTGAGGTCAGGAGTTCAAAACCAGCCTGGCCAACATGGCAAAATCCCATCTCTACTAAAAATACAAAAATTAGCTGGGCGTAGTGGTGCACACCTGTAATCCGAGCTTACCCGAGAGGCTGAGGCAGGAGAATCACTTGAACCCGGGAGGTGAAGGTTGCATTGAGCCGACCGAGATCGCCCCACTGCACTCCAGCCTGGGCGACAGAGGGAGACTGTCTCAAAAAAAAAAAAAAAAAAAAGTACTCGAAGCAGGTAAAGTTTAGGTTAAGAAGATATTCAAGATTACTTGGAAGTCATGACAGGGCAGCCTGGAGTTTGAAGTGTACATTTAAAAGAGAAAATGAGGATAGTTATGCCCATTTTGCCTTAGAGATAGGAAAGTAAATTATGTGTACATGAGCCCAGGTCTTTCCCTCATCCAAGTTCTTAACTTTGTGTGTGTGTGCCATGGAATCCTTTGGCAATCTGGTGAAGCCTGTGGACCCCTTCTCAGAATAATATTTTTAAATGCATAAAACAAAATACCCAGAATTACAAGGAAAACCAATTGTATTGAAATAAACTTATTAAAATATTTTAAAAACAAATTTATATTCAGCAAGTTCTTTATTGTTTTTTGTTATTAATGAATTTATTGCTTTAAATAACAAGATCTATGGATGGGTGTAGCAATTCCCATAATTTTGAAGTAAGAATGAGTGAGTAATTAAATGTTAATATCTATAATAACTTTACGTGTTATTTTTAAAATCTGTGATTTCTCTTGGTGACATAGTCACAGGTACTGATAACAATTGTTTTTGTTGCCCATATCCATAATTGAAAAAAGTTATGAAAATAAATATAATTTTTTCCATCCAAATTTATGGGCCCCCTAAGTTCTGTCTACAAACCCACAGGATTCTGCCTCCTGCAGTACTAGCCTCTTTCATTGCTCCATTAGGTGACTGTCATCAGAGCTGTGGGGAGAAGAAACCCAAGAGAAATGGGCATTGGAGGTGCCCAATTGGTGATGCCCTAGACTTTATCCCATCCCACATTATGATTGTCCTGACTTTCATGGAGCAGAAATTTTCACCAAATCTTCCCAGGCATTTGTTCCTCCCATTGTCCCCCAATCTATAAAACTCATGTCTATGTAAACAAGCCCATGCACCATGACACATGAAGAGAGGAGAGGCTGACAAAAGCAAAACAGAACAAGCAATAAATTGTGCTTCTTTGCATTATAGGCACCTGATTACAAGACTCACAAGTTTACAAGAACACTTACAATTCAGTGAATAAAATCTTTGCAGAGATTAATAAAATGTGAAAGTGATATAGAGATTATCAAGAAGAACTTAGTTCACATTTAGGTAACGAGAGTTGCCAGATTTAGTAAATAAAAATACAAATATTGCATGGAACATACTTATACTAAAAAAAAATTTCTTGTTTATCTGAAATTCAGATTAACTGGCTGTTCTGTATTTTATCTGGAAATCCTAAATTGACATATTATATGTGGCAAGTAAATCCAAGCAGAGACTATAATTAAGTGACATGAGAGAATTTTTGTTTTACCAGTCAAATAATTTGAACTAAATTCAGAAGTAGCAAGTAAAAACTGTAAAAAGATGGTTTGTTTAAAAATTAAAGAGGACTTTGAGAATTGAAGGAATAAACAGAGGAGAGGGAGTTAAAGGGAGAGAAGGAGGAATAAGGTGAGTCAAAAAGCAGAATGAAGGATAGCTAGTAACAAGCATAGAAAGGTATCCTGACGAAAACCCAGGGAAACTTCTGGCAGCACCTTACTCACTAACTTTCTCTCTCATGACCACCACTCTGCCCAGACTCTTTTGAAATAGATGAAGCCAATGTTGCCTGGGTTTCTGCTTCATCCTGTCAGAGATAAAGGAACCAAGGAACCAAGGCTCAGAGAGATTAAGCAATTTGCCAGAAGTTGCCCAGCCGGGAAGTTGCAGAGCTGTGATTCAAATCCAGGGCTGACACACCATATCTTGCTGCCTCTGTAGCAATTAATGCCTGAGGATTTATTAACCCTACTCCTTCTATTGCCACCTCTCCTGTTTAATATAGAGGATGGAAACTGTCAGGACCTAATAGGTTTCTACCATATGTCAAAAACTCTGAAAGCCCTGTTCTCTGGGGGCCTTTCCATTGTCCAAGGGAGGGCAATTCAATTAATCAGCTGGAAAGCTCACTTCCTGGGAAGGAAGAGACAAGCTCAGTCTAGTTCCTTATTAACAACAACAACAACAAAGCAAAGCCACATCGTGCCAACATATCCCAGCTTTTCATTTACCTCTGGGTCTTGTGAACTTTAAAACTTAGAGTTTTAACGTTGAGGAGGGCAGGCTTAGATCTCAGTAGCTGGTGGTAGATCTGTGGGCGTCTCTTCCATGCCAGTGCTGCATCATAGAGCTATCTGGAACAACAGGTTCTAGAGGCCCCAAAATAAAGATCTCCTTATAGCAAGGGAAAGTGTTATTTTATTATTTCTTTTTATGCCCCAGAGCACAGGAGTAAAGGCACACTTCAGGTCTTCTCTTTGGAAGTCCAGACTTCCTATAAAACAACTAAGATGATGTGGGGTCATCTTAGGTGTTTTATAGGTGTTCACATCTTGGATGTGATGCCGGGTCAGCCCAGCCAGAGCCCTGCCATCTCCCACAGGGAGCATGCCTGTGTTTAAAGCTGCTCCAAGGAGAAGCTCCCCTGAGTGAAGTTCCAACCATCTGACCTTATCTAAACCCTGGATCCCATCATCCCATGTTGATATTCAGATATTTCCCCCCTTTGTAGAGGCATTTTCTCTTGCTTTATTACAAGTGGTATCAATAGGTTATTTATATTTTGAACCCTATTGAAAAGAGGATTATACCAGGGCATTTAATTTCAGTTAAGAAAATATAGAAGTTACTCCCACGTATGAAAAGCAGTGCTGTAAAATGAAAGAAAATAGTTCACTTCTCGCTGTCACAGCAGTCGCACTGGTAAGTACTCCTAAATTGCTCCACTTTGCTATTGTCTGAAGTCCTTGATAAGCATTCTGCATTTTAAAGCTTTATCTATTTCTCATCATTAAAAAGCTCATTAGTTAGTCAGCATACTGGCACTTTCTTTACAGTTCATAAATTCAGATTAGAACCTTGTGTCCTCTAAATGGTGCCACTCATTAAATCATCCAAAACACTAGTATGGAGATATTTAATGGTAAGATTTAAAATTAGATTTCTAGATTTAGAAGTCTCAATAAAATACCCCAACTGCCTAAAAGTTTTCAAAATGAGATGTAAAATCAACAGGATTTTGGTATGTGACAGAATTCTGAGCTTCTCCACGAGCTATTGCAAAGATGAAATGAGATCGCCTGTGATCAACACTTCGTGTGTTGTACTTGAATGAGGACATAGGGAGTTAATGCATCCAGGACTAAATTTCTAATGCCAAGGTTTTCTTTTCCTGATACAATGTAATAGTACTTCCTGTTTCCACGGTGGTCAAATTTTGTAGCGATGTCCCTTCCAATATGGCTTTATTGTGAAGTGAATGTGTCCTCATTTGAACCCAGGTTCTTTTTTAAAATTTTATTTATTTATTTTTATTTATTTATTTATTTATTTATTGAGACAGTCTCACTCTGTCACCCAGGCTGGAGTGCAGTGGTGCAAGCTCGGCTCACTGCAGCCTCCGCCTCCCAGGTTCAAGCGATTCTCCTGCCTCAGTATCCCAAGTAGCTGGGACTATAGGCGCGTACCACCATGCATGGCTAATTTTTATATTTTTAGTAGAGACAGGGTTTCACCATGTTGGCCAGGCTGGTCTCGAACTCCTGACCTCAGGTGAGCCACCCACCTCGGCCTCCCAAAGTGCTGGGATTACAAGTGTGAGCCACCACATCTGGCCTATTTCTTTTTTTTTTTATTGAAGTAAAATATACATATAAAACTTACCATCTTTACCATTTTTAAGTGTACAGTTCAGTGGTAATAAATACATTTATATTCTTTTCTTATTCATCTCCAGAATTCTTGAACACTATTTGGACAGTCTATATACCGGAAGCCCATCAGTCACAGAGCAACAAGCCATGGGCAGGTAGGAACCCAGTGACCTCATTGGCCCTGATTCACCCCAGGTAACCTCAAGATGCGGAGAACCTGCCTGAGGATATGGCATAGTGCTGGATATCTTGTTCTGACAGTAGTAATTGGGAGGAAGAGGGGAAAGTGGCAGACTGCCTTGGAAAAGTGATGTACATAGACAAAACATTATCTGTCGTTCTGGCTTAAACCAAGGAGCAAATGCAGCCTTATCAGTCTGTGTTTGAAGTGGAAGTTGAGAAAACTAAGCTCCCATAAAGATTGACATTGGATGAAAAAGAATCAAGAGAGCAAGCATTTCTGAGAGTCCCTAATACACACACACACACACACACACACACACACACACACGTACCTCCTTCATATTCTCCTTTTTTCCTTTTTTTTTTTCCTCTCATTTCGTTTTGAGACAGGGTCTTGCTCTGTCATGCAGGCTGAAGGGCAATGGCGCCATCACAGCACACTGCAGCCTTAACCCCCTGGGCTCAAAGCAATCCTCCTTCCTCAGCCTTCTGAATAGCTGGGACTACTGGCACACACAACAATGCCTGGCTCATTTTTGTATTTTTTTGTAGAGGCAGGGCCTCACTTTGTTGCCCAGGCTGGTCTAAACCCCCTGGCCTCAAGCTATTCTCCTGCCTCGGCCTTCCAAAATGCTGGGATTATAGATGTGAGCCACTGCGCCAGGCCTCTTCTTTCCATTTGCTATTTCACCCTGAGGTGGGTACTCTTGACCTACAGTCGATCCATAACACATTTATACTGCCATCTTTCCCTCAAGTGGCCTACCCAATTCCATTCCGTGTCCCCACGTAGTGAACTAGCTCCTGGTGCAGAGGGGTGAGATAATGAGGCTGAAGGAGGACGGCAGAGCAGCGTGGGGGCAGGGGCACAGGTGGGAGTGGTGCTGGGTGCATACCTAGGAAGCATGGTGTCCCCCAACAAACTGCTGTAGGCTGGGTACAAAGTTTCTTATGGTGGAGAACTTTAGGGATTATGCCTGTGTCCTGTGCTGAACTTGACAAGTAGGCGAGTTAAGTTATTTGAGGATGAATAAACTTGACTCTTATTATTGCGCTCACAAAAACTATCTAGAGTGGGGAGAGTGCTCCCTTCTTTGGCTACTTAGCCCCTTGTCCTTCCACGTCCTTCATGGTGACTTTTTGTTTTCTTTCCAAATGGAACCCTCTATTTTATTTTCTAATTTTTATTTTGTTACTTGACAAATACAAGTTGTATGTTTATGGTGTACAAGTTATAGTGACTTGGCAGTTTTTCTCCTCGGCCATCCCTGACCACAAGGTGGCATTTAGTGGATGGTTAATCATTTTTATCCACTGAAGCTTGTCTTTAAGAATCTTCTGTGACCCCCAAGACCTGGGGTTTCATGGCCCCTTGCTTTGGAAAAAACATACATGGTTCATTGTTTCCTAAATACTATCCTCTCCCTCTCCGCTGCCACTCCCCCAGCTTCCATGCCCATATACCCTAAACTTCCCCACCTCCTCCACCCCCAATACTGTGAACATGAAGCCCAAAGAGACCGGTATGAGATTACAAGTTGGGAATCCTAGGTTCTCTTCCCAACTCTTCCAAGCGTCTGGGAACCCAAAGTATTTTCTAAACCGCTGTCTTGGCATTTCTGTCTGTAAATTTAAAAAATAATAATAATGACTTGGAATATTGGTAAGATGTCACCAGTGAAGAAATGCTGCTAGTTCTTGGAGAATGAAAAAGGCTGTCTGCATGCTATAAGCCACTGTAGCTCTTCTACATAAGCCACAGTTGTTCTTATGTGAGATAATGAAAATCCTCTGGTAAGGTACCTTCAAACTGGAATACATGTTTCCTTAGACATGCTGCCTTGCTTTAGCGCCATCATTCTAATACCTTGCTTCACCACTGGAGGGGTGTAGCTTCTCCCAAACTTTCTTCCCACATCTTGGTCAGCCTCTTGAGCTGCGACACACACCTCGAGAGTTTAGCAAAGCATTTTGAAGCTTTGGTTCCATCCTTCCCAAAAGTTCTCTTGGTTCACTGTTTTTCAGGAACCTTAGCTTATATGGATAGCTCGCTTTATGCAACAGATGTGTTATTGGGAGTGGACAATACATTTTGTGTGTGTGTATGGAATTCTGTGTTACACACATAAGAGAAGCTCACTTTATCAACAACCTATTTATTTTATTTTATTTTATTTTATTTTATTTTATTTTATTTTATTTTATTTTATTTTATTTTATTTTATTTTATTTTATTTTATTTTTTGAGGCAGGGTCTCACTCTATCACCGAGGCTGGTCTCGAGCTCAAGCTCAAGTGATCCTCCTGTCTCAGCCTCCTGAGTAGCTGGGATTACAGGTGTGAGCCACCACACCCAGCTTCAACAATCTATGTGGTAAATTATTTTATAAATCAAAGATCCAATACATTTCTATTTTGAAGAGTAGGTTTTCTTAAAACAAGGTACACCTCCATACCCCATGTCTTTTTGCCATTTAACAAGGACCATCTTAGACTGTGTGGTCTCGCCTTATTGAAGCTCAGTAGTGACGAGCTCTCAGGATGCCTGACTCCAGCCTGCCTACCTCTTCTGGGCAGATCCTACTCATTCCAGTTTCCTCCCACTTAAACAAACAGAATGTGTTGCTGTGTTTTCTCACCACAAGGCTGGCTCCAGCCTCTTCCACAGCTCACTTCCCTGACCTCTCCTCCTAAACTGGGCCCTCCTGAGTCTCTGCAGCCTGCAGCAGGTCCCAAGGTCCAGATTCTCTGGGCCTTGCTGAGAAACATCTGTCAAAGCCGTGTTGAGCCCTGAAAATCAGCTCACACCTGGACAAGGTGGCAGCACTTCTCAGGAATGCAGCTGTACCTCTCTGTCGCTACATTTTAGTAGTTAGGACTGTAGTGGGCAGAGTTCCTTATGTTGTTCAGGGTTTCCGTGGGCAGCAGCCTGTATCATTCATTGTCACAGTAAGTAAGCCAGAGTGCTGCAGCCCAACACTGTAATAAAGCACAGAACACATGATGATAGCTCTTAGCCAGGCCAAGCCTGCACTCTGAAAAGTGCCACTTCCAACAAGAGGGTGAGAAGGCCCTCCAAACTCAGGAGCCTGGGAGCGGTAGGACAAAGCACGACCTGCACTGGCTCCGTCTTCAGTTGGGGGACCTGGCACAGGAAGGCCAGTGTTATTGTCTATGGCAACCATTGAAATCCATTGTCCCACCCCCTCCCCACCACTTCCAAGTAATTCAATCCCTGACATTAAACGTGCACTGACTCTCTAGGGTAGAAAAGCACAAACTTACTCTATGTATATTTTTATTGGTTTATGTGACAGGCCGAATAATGGCCCTCCAAAAACGTCCGTGTCCTAATCCCTGGAACCCGTTACATTACATTACATGAGAAAAGAGACTTTGCAGACGTGATTAAATTAAGGACCTTGAGAGGAGGGGGAGGATCTTGGACTACCCAGGTGGGCCCAATGTAATCACATAGGTCCTTAAAATTGGAGAATTTTCCCAGCTGTGGTCAGAGGGAGGCTTGGCTGCAGAATAGTGAGAGAGACGCAATGTTACTGGCTTTGAAGATGCAATGGTGTTTGGCTCCTTTGAGCCAAGGAGTGAGGAAACTGTAAGGAAACAGATTCAGCCCAAGAGCGTTAAGAAGGAACATAGCCCTGGCACCATCTGGATTTCAGCCTAGTGAGACCCATTTTGGCCTTCTGACCTCCAGAACTGTAAGCTCATAAATGTGTATTGTTTATGCCATTAAATCTGTAGTAATTTTTACGATAGGAAACTAATATAGTTTGGAATTACAATTCGTTAAATTTTTTGCCACAATTTATCTTACTTGAATGCTGTAAGTGCCTTAAACACGTTTCTGTCTCCCAGAGGATTTCTGGAAACAAATGATTCCTTTGCCTTTAATTTTTTCCTTCGGCATGTAGGCTGAGGCCTTCCTTATTCTATCCATTCAAAGGCTCTAGCAGTATTATCTCAGCATACAACCCTGACGAGAACAAGCCACACAGGATGCTACATTTTCTCAGTAAGGGCGGGTGGGGGGCGTTGTGCGGGGGCAGTGAATGCATTAACCAAAGACACACTCCAGGGAAGAAGAATGAAAGGAAGATGTTTTGACCAGCTTGACTGTGGCACTTCATCCCTGGAGTTGTTCCCTAGAGTCTAAATTGCCGCTGACTGGGCAGTTTTCCTTCTAAAAGCTTCAGGATGGCTGAGTGTGCCGGCCTGGAGGAAGGCCCTAGGGAAGAAGACAATAGCTGTGAGAGAATCACAGATCTCACCCCTACCACTCCCCTCCCCAACAATGAAAAGTTCAGAAAACAACCAAATGCGTGCCTCACAAAAATGCCTAGTCAAGCAGTTGTTTCACTTCTGCCTGTTGAACATTTGGGTCGCCCGATGCAAATGTTAAAGCTGTGTTCAAACCAGAAAAAATAAAAATAATAAGCTGTCAGAATAATTACTAAGAACATGCAAGGATTCTACAAAGTAAACTGCAGCCTGCAAAAAAGAGAATTGCATGTTAGCTAATTGTTAATTTTAGCGATCGCAGTGGCTAATTACCGTGGCACACATTGACTATTAGCTTGACGCCCTAGCACCTGCTTTCTCCAATGAACAGATTTCTTCATCGCTAGCACAGGAGCAAAATGTGTAATTATTGGCCATCATTGGGGCGATTTTTCAGTGATTCTTTTGTGCATCGTGAATAAAGCATAATGACATATTTTATTAGAGGGCAAATAGCTGTTTGTTAATGGAAATGATTTGAAATCCAAAAAACTAGAAGCTAGGAGCATGTTTTCGGTATCAGCGTGAATTCAAATGTATTTTCTTTTAACTCTTTATAAAAGGAGCATAGAAATCAAATCTAAACTGAGCATAATATATTTAATGATATGTACAAACACAGCATTGATTAATTACCTCAAATGCTTTCAGTAGTACACCATTTATTTTGTTTCAGTCATGTGTTAAATTTTAGTATTTCATATTTAAATCCTTATTTCTTGGTCCAAGAGTCTTGGCGAAGCTGGCCTGCGTCACACCTCATTTCCTGAAGAACTCTCTTTTTATTGGTGTATGTGGTACTTGCAGAGAGTGCTGTATAAATCCAGGCTTCACCACTTCCAGAGCTAGGCATGCCAGCATCACCCTGAAGAGAAAAGCATGGATTAGGTTATCAACACCCTACTTACTGTCAGCCAAGGGGTGGAGTATACATTGTCAATAGGGTGCCCTAAGGACAGTACCGGAATTCTTGCAGCCTTGGAAATAATATTCTTTTCCTTTTCATGACAAAATTAGTAGATCATTGCTACAAGATGCTATAAAAGCAAAAAAGCAATATCTATTTTCACTGATAGCATATATGATCACATGAGAGAGAGTGTGTGTGTGTGCGTGTGTGTGTGTGTGAGAGAGAGAGAGAGAGAATATGTCTAATTGGAAACAGAACTTTCATCGACAAAGATGCAGTATAGGAAATAGGGTCTTTCCTTTCACCTCTGTTCCTAACCTGGCTCTCAGACTTCTGTCTACCTCCATTTTCTTTTTTTCTTCCCAATCTTTGTATTTTCATAATCCATATTCTATTAACAATAGAATAATAGTTCTAAATATGGTGCTATGAAACTTAAGTCTAAAGTTCTCTGGAACTCTCAAAGAAAACATTTGAGGATGGATTAATGAAGAAATAATACTAACTGATCAACATATCTCTGTTTTGATCAAGCTCAGGGAAAAAACTGGTTTGAAGAGACTGTTTAATTTCACTGCATATTTAGGCCTTATTTGTATTTCTAACTCTGAACACTCTGTGCTGAATTCCTCCTAAGCCATGACACAAGAAAACATGCCTCTTGTTCTCAGGAAAGATTAAAGGGCTGCACTTGGGATGTGTGTTTGCCAAGCTTTCGTCACTTCGTTCCACTCTTGGGTTTGGTTATGAAAGTTGTATATTTTCAAAGGTCATTGAAAGGCAACCACCTCTGTTTTCTGAGCGTGGGGAACTTACTCCTAATGGCCAGGTTTATTGTTTTATTGCCACTGTTTACAAACAGGGAGAAACTCCCTTGAATGGGCACTTCCTTTTTTACCACTGGCTTCCCCACTATTTTAAGATGTAGATAAGTTCAGTATTCAGGTTCACTGTTTGACCCATTAAACTGGTATTGAGGTATAATTTGTGTGTTTTCCCAGTACCGTTGCACATAGAATGGGGTTCATTTCCACACGTTTGAATAAATTTATCCAGTTCAGTGAACCTGTTGTGAAGCTCAGCAAAACTCAGTAGGTGGCTTTAAAGTCCTGTAATTAGCCCATTATAGAAAATCTGTACTTTAGATTTTTGCACATTGGTTAATAAGCATAACATGCTTCATATATAAATAACGTTACATTAAATGATGTAATATAAAGGAATTAAAGGCCAATGAAGTTAAACAAAATACTTAAAAGAGACCTCAAATTAGCATGTTTAATTCCAACTCACTGCACAGGAAAAGCTGCTTGCTCTTACTGTACCAGTTCCACACCAGCTCACAATAACATGGGCTGTGCCCACAGTGCCCAGCTGTCTCTACAACCAACCTGTCTTCTGTCAGCTCTATGAGCTAGGGATGGACTTACCTTTACCTCATTTCCTTTCATTTCTGATCATAGACAAGGAGGTGAGCTGAAGGGGTAGAAGAAAATAAAAGAAAAAGTCCCGCCATGACTTTTTCATGATGCTTGCCTGAGCACTTCCTCTGATTCACAGAGGTAGATAGGCCTGGCCAGGCACTTCCTTCCTCTGCTTGCTTTTCTCACTCAAGTCAGCTTGGCAATCATTTCAGAATGAATTGCTGTGCAAATGTCACGTATGCAAGAACTTACCTTTAGGATTTTAAACATTTTATTAGAAATTTTACCCTCAAACAACCCTGTGGAATATTGTCTCACTCTGGCCTATTTGAAAAGGTGTTTTCGTCTCTTTATGGAATGGAGTTATAGTTTCATTCAAATAGTTCCCAAATATGGTATAACAGTAAAGTTAACCTGTTCCTATGAATCCAAGAATAAGTGAACATATAGAAGTTGCACTGTAGTTACATAACCAATAACAGAAATATGGTTGGACTATAACTCACTCTACACTAGAATGTAAGCTCTATGAAGCCAGGAGCATTGGTGGTTATATTTAACCACCAATATTCGCCTCACTCAAAACCATTCATTCATTCATTTGTCAACTATTTATGGAGTACCTACTGTACCAAGCACTGCAGCAGACTTTGGAGATACAAACCCTATCCTAAATAAAAGAACTTGACAAGTTGGCCAAAAATCAACACACAAAATCAATAAGTGATCAATTTACTGAATCACTAATTTGCCAAAGTTACCAAATGCGATGATTTACCAAAAACATGTTTCTTTTAACTATTTCTAAAATTTGCAACAATTTGTATAGGATTGTTTTAGTTGACCAGTTGTTATTTGCTTTTTATAGCAGCATTTTAAGGAATAGTTATTTTTGTCAAAACTAAGAATAATTTACTCTTCTTATGAATAAATTTTATTATATATTTAATTGACAGATAATATACATGTTTTTAAGTGGTATAATGTGATATTTTGCTATATGTTTGCATTGTGGAATGATTAAATCAAGCTAATTAACATACCCATCACCTCACATACTTATCATTTTTGTGCTGATAACTTTTAAAGTCCAATCTTTAAGCAATTGTGAAAGATACAATTCATTATTATTAACTATAGCCACAGTTCTGTGTAATTAGATCACTGAAGCTTATTCTTCCTAGCTCGCTGAAACTTTGTACCCTGTGATCAACGTCTCCCCTTTTCCTATCCACCTCGCTCCTCCGGGCTCTGATAACCACCATTTTACTCTCTACTCCTATGAGTTGAATATATTTTATAGTCATAAAATATTTAATGTTTTCATGCAAAATTATAATTATTTTCTGTAGAAATATTCAGCCTTAAATAGATTTCTTTTTAAAGTTATTTACAGGTTTGTCAACTACTTAGCACTTACACGATTATTTTCTGTTAATTTTAATTAATATTTAAAAATTTTTAATTTTAATTTCTGAGAGTGATAGTGGCCTTAGTATATGATATTATTGCTTCATTGTTTCCTAGTTCTTTCTCATTTTGCATATCTTTTAGCATTTTTGGGATTTTAAACCAATCTTTTAAAATCTTTTTTTGGTTTTTGCAAGTTTAGAGTTATGGTAATATATAAATCAAATTTGAGGTTTTATCATTCATTTCATTATGCCAATTCCTCTGATTCTCCTCACTTCTTTTATGCATTTTAAACATATGTGCCCTTTCATTTCAAATCTTTTGGTGCATTAAAACCAGGTAAAAATATCTCAATTTCTCCTTGTTAGAAAATAAAAACTGAGCATTTCATCTTCAGCTTCTACTTCTAGTTTCTGTGGTTTTCTAATTTTTTCAAATTATAACAATGATTAATATTCTTTCTGTAATTGTTCAGTGGCTGGTGGACTTAATTTTAGCCTGTAGCAATTAAAATTTTAAATTTCAGCATGACACATGGAATGAGATTGTTTCAATTGACTTAGAGTTTTTCCCTATCTTTCTAAATGTAATTTACAATTTCTCTTCCAGCACTGTTATATTTTTTACCAATACCTCAAATGGCAGATCAGCCTTGATTTTATATTACTAATAATTAATACCCTAAATCTCTGTAATTCACATTGATTTGGTTGCTCTGAATCCTTCTTTAGTAATTTCATGCTTAGGGAAATAAATATCAGAATTGGGATACTAATCTTGAATAAAGTTTTGATTACTGATTTCTAAATACCCTTTCCTGAACAATTAAATATATACTCTAAAAGGCTAAACCATTTTATCACTCTTAGCTATTAACAAATGAACCTCTTTAAAATGATATTATGAAGGCAAAATTAAAACCAATCAACTAAACCTTCACAGAAATCGTCAAAAGCTGTTAAAACATTCTATCCAATAGAGTTTGGTGTTTAACTTATAAACAGAAAAATAGTCTACTTTGTTAAACTGGTACCTCGCTAAATGTGGCAAAGTGTTATTTAGAAAACTGTATTTTAGCAAATTATTTTTAAGTGACTTGGAGTTAAAAATAACATGATCCCTGCCCTCATGGAGTTTACAAGCAGTGGGGAGAAGGGCATTAACTTAGGAATCACATTTGACAGGTTTATGATGCCATCAGGGCACAGCCTGGTGGAACTGACCTCATTAGGGAGGGCAGGCCTGGGGGAATAAAGTTGACTGGGCAAAGCTGGAAGATAGGAAGAAAGAGAAGCTTAAGCAAGGCCCAGGTCCTAAAACATAGTGCAAACGAAAGAAGTTCTCTACAACTGCAGAATGAATGAATGATTGGTTGTCAGAGACTTAAGATACTCTGAGTACTCCTTCACAAGACAGTCCTCCTTGAAAGCTAAGGGGTGCTGCCTCATTCAGAGTGTGCCTGGAAGCCTGCCCAGCCAAGACCAGCAGGGGACACATCAGAGTGTCATCTCACCCACCCTCAGTCCTGCCTAAAACTTTTCCTACAAGTGGATGTTGAAGGAATGTAGAAAACTTTGGGGCAGTAGCCACAGACATGGTCAACCATTGCTAGTTCTTCAAAAATGAGCATTCCTGGAGAATAATATAATTAATTAGGCTTTACAGCCTGGCATGGTGGCATGGGCCTGTAGTCCCAGCTACTTTGGAGGCTGAAGCAGGAAGATCCCGTGAGGCCAGGAGGTCTAGGCTGCAGTGAGCTATGATCGCTCCACTGCACTCCAACCTGGGTGACGGAGTGAAACCCCATCTCTAAATAAATACATAAATAGGCTTCACCTTAGCCCAACAGAATGTCAGCTCTCCAAGGACTCACCAACTCCAGGGTTGTTTTATCAGTATTTACCTCTCTGATGAGGGACATGAGAATGTCTTTGGGTGTTGTCCAAAACCGAGTCCAGGAACCCACCCCAAACCCACAGAATCAGAATTTTAGGGCATAGGAACTGGGAAAATGCATTTTAACAACCTCCTCAGGTTATTTTGCTCCCTAAATTTTGAGAACTGTTAGTATAAATGCTAAATAAATAAAACTTGAAGAGAATATTGTGTCAGGGTTTACCAGCTGGGGTCTGACCTATTTCTTTGAGAGAATTGTTCAGTTTCACTCCCTCCCTCATATTGGAAAATGTGTTTTGGGGCAAAGGTCGTCACTGTTCTTTCCCTTCCTCCCCCTACCTGCTCTAAGTATTAGGTATTATCTCCTAATACCTAGAAGTCCTCTCCAGGAGCTGAGTTCTGGGCTCCATGGGTCAGCATGGATCTACCTTGGCCACACCAGGGTTTGGAGTATCCTGGGCCTCAGATGGTTCAGAGCCATAGCTGGGCTAGGAAGTCCCCTTCTACACGCCTGGGCCCTCCTTTCTGGTGTAAACCCATTTCTTGCTCATCTGGGTGACTGTGCTGTCCCTCAGGCATGGAGAGAAATGTCTGTGCCTTCATTCTTTGTGGGCTATGGAACCACCCCCCGCAGCTGGCCAGTCTCCTTTTGTTCCTTAACTGCCCCTCCCACACAACTCACCCTTCACAGAATTAAGTAAACATGAGATTTTGTGACAAGAATTAAGTAAACATGAGATTTTGTGACAATTGTTTTTGGTTGAAAATGGTGTTTTGCTGGTCTCCTCATGTGTCATTGCCCATAGGCCATTGGAGTTGGTGAAGAAACTTTGAAGCCAGAGAGAAGGAAGAGTAAGGACTAAGAAGAGCTCAGACTCTGGGTTTGCACAGACCTGGGGCCTGCACTGCTCTCTCCCAGAGCTGCCATAGAACTTGGGAAAGCCATCCAACCTCTGGGCTCAGTTTACTCACCAGTCACGTGTGAGGAAGAATAATCTCTCCCTCCTGTGACTGTTGTGAGGACCAAATGAGACAATTTTTGTAAAGTCTTGCCACACAGCCCTCAAAAAATGTTAGGTAGGTTTTACTATTTTTGTTAATAAATGACGTTTTCTGCCAGATGCAAATAAACATTCATGAAAGAAGCCAGGGTTTGTTAGGGATTGTCCGCCTTCAACAAGCCATGGGGAGAGACTGCCGCAATGTCACCCCATATCGTACACCAATTTTGTTTTGCCATAGGAGGAGGGGCACTTTAGAACCCGGCCATTTCTCAAGGAAAGGAGCATAACAGAAGCACAATTGAAACTTTCAGACTCTAAACAGCATGAAAAACCAGATTCTATAAAGCATAAGCATCAGGAATGAATTGAAAAATGTTCAGATTTATATTGTGGTTATTCAATATATAGAAATTGCTTCTTAAAATGTTTAAAATTTTGAGGGAAGGAAAAACCAAGTCTAGAAAGGTCTTCAGAGCCTAGAACACCAGTCCAATGGAAAGACCATTTGATAAGCCTCCTCTAGAAAGGTCTTCAGAGCCTAGAACACTAGTCCAATGGGAAGACCATTTGATAAGCCTCCTCTGCACACCTCCACAGCCTTCCTTCTGAAATATGCACCAAAAACTTGTTCTGATATCTTTCCAGAAATCCCACCCCAGAGAAGTGACCAGAAAGCCAAAAGTAAGAGAAATGTAATTTTTCCCTGAAGACAAGGAAGTGGCAAATCCCTACCATTTAGAACACTACGCAGAATTTCAGGATGTTAATTTCAGAGATTCACAGCCCTTTGTAGCCGCCTGTGGTTGTTTGATAAATATTTAAAAAACACTTTAATCACAGTATACATACCCTATACAAGAGAAGATTGATTTCCTTCAATGGCACCGTCTCTCAATAATCCAGGATTAAAATAGAATAAGTTGTATTTCTTGATTGTATGTGAATGAGCTCTCACTTTGATGTATACCTTTGTGGGTGTGACTTATTTTCCGATAATTACATCTCAACTGCTACCTCTTGCTTGTATTGAGAATAAACAGGTAGCTAAATTGTGGTGGAGACACAACCTCAATTCTTCATTCATTTAACTAGATTTCACTGAGCACTTACTATGTGCCAGGACTCAGGCACTGGGGATACAGAAATAAATAGGAGTTTGGCCTTGCCCTCACATGTTACATAGTCTAGTGTTGGAGACAGACTGTTTTCTGATTATTATAATACAATGAGATATGTGTTCACAAAAGTGGGCTGATTCCTCAGAACTTATCTTTGACAGCCTTGCCGTAATTTTACCATTTTTCTATCCATTAGGCACTTTTATCTCATTTAATCTAATTTAATCATGTGAAACAAGTATTATTGTCCCCAGTTTATAGCTGGGGAAACTAAGGCTTAGCAAGATATATAACTTGTTCAGGATCACAGAGGTCCATCTCTGTGACATTCATGATTGAGGGCTGGTTGAAAAGAATTGTTAATCTATGTTTTGAATTGCTTGCACAGCAGCTCTGTAGCAAAAGATCCCAGCTGAGTTGCCAGCTATTTTGTCTTTGGTCCAGATAAATCCAAAGCACCCTGCTATCTGGAAACTTATGAGAATATTAGAAAAGCTCAATGCTGTGTTCTAGAGAATGGATAAAGTCATTCCTGGAATGTTTGTATTTCCTTGGTTGTTTGGAGCTTTTCACCATATGTAATAATGGATCACTGACCAGCATTAAATTTTACCAATTTATTCATTCAAGAAGTATTTTTTGTACACTCACAAAGTATAAGGCACTGGAATTTGTGCAGACTTGAATCCTACTCCCAAGAAGCCAGTAGTCAAGCAGGGGGGTGATCAAGTGTACATAAATACAAGAGGAAGAAAGGTAAATTGCTCTTCTGGTTTAGGAGAGGAATTCCTTCTAACTAGGACAGCAGAGAGAGCTTAATGGGGGAGAACATTTGACCTAGGTGTTGAAAGAGAGAAGAAATTGGACAGCCAGGGGTGGGAATGAAGAGAAGACTCCAGAGTGGAGACCCATCCTAAGGGAAGGCAGGATGAGGAGAGCATGAAGAGACAGGGAAAATGGTGAGTTATTCCATTTGGGTGAACTGCGATGAAGCCCTTTCCTAGAGTTTCCTTGGGACAGAAAAAGTAAGGTTCCTTTTTTGAAGTAGACACTCAAAGCAGGAAGCACCGGCTATGTAGATATTCGGCTCAACTTTTGAAAGAGAAAGGTTATACCCAAGTAAATGTTCCAGGTGAGAATACTGTCATCTAATTTTATAGCAATAATGTAAAACTTTCAATGATACTGAGAATAATAGTTTATGTACAACCAATTTTCACTACTTGTACCTCCCTTTTTAGAATGAACTATCCTTAAAATCACCTGCTTACCTCTCAGGATATGTTAAAGAGCTATTAGATGACCAGAATGACCTGAAATATCTTGAAAAGAGTTATCAGCTGCATGCGATGGCTCACACCTGTAATCCCAGCACTTCAGGAGGCCAAGGTGGGTACATCTCTTGAACCAGGAGTTTGATACTAGCCTGGCCAAGATGGTGAAACCCTACAAAAAATACAAATATTACCGGGCATGCACATGCCTCTATTCCCAGCTACTCCAGAGGTGTGTGCACGCCAGGAGGCTGAAGTGGGAAGATCCCTTGAGCCCAGGATGTCAAGGCTGCAGTGAACCATGATCACGCCATTGTACTCCAGCCTGGGCCACAGGGCAAGACCCTGTCTCAAAGAAAAAAAAAAAGAAAAGAATTGTCCGAGGCATCATTCCTTAACAGCAACAATATGAAAACACAGTTAACATTTCTTTCTGTGTTTTAACGTACCAATATCTTTACCCATATAGTTATCTATATTGCACTTACCTATACCTCACGAATATGTGGATGAAATTTTGCCCTTAGTCTTCCACATTCTTCTCCTTTGGAAGGTTTCATGAGGAACGTTTCAGAAAGGAATAATTAGAAAGAAAAATGTTATGTCTCATGTTCTTTCATTTCACATATATAATTTTACAAATTAAATTTATTCTTGTCAACTACCTGGGTCTACTGTAAATCACTTCAAATATTAAAAATATGATTGATTGTGACTTGGTGTTTGCCCCATTGGAAAAATATGTGGAGGCATTAAAGTGGGACAGAAATCATATACAATTCTTTCTGGTCAGTGGCTATGCAATTTTCTGAAGATTTTGAGCATGATCATTAGGCAAAGACAGTAATATAATGGCCCAGTGCCCTCCCTGAGGCCTGTTGTGAAGTCCAACTGATAAGCCTTGCTTATTGAGCAATGAAGGATAGGTATGTACTTGCTATATGAGAACATCACTTTACCCAGATTAAATTAACAGTGACTAATTGGCGTTATTTCTAATTTTGTAGAAACACAGGTTGGATTTAACAGATGAGTTTCATCATTTGATAATCCATGCCTTCATTATAGTATTTGGCAGAGGAATTTTTGGTATCAATTGTAGAAAGAACAGTAGTTTGAGTAAAAAGTTGTATATGCTTAGCTTTTAAGTAAAATGAAAATTAAGGTAGACAAATTAATTTTGTGAAAAAAACTAAAAATGTAAGTTTAGAGATAAAAATAATTCTTGGGCTTGAAAAGTTGCCTAGGGAATTTTTTTTTAATTCTTGAAATTTAAGATATGATGCAGAATATGTGAAATTAGAATATATAAGTAGAATGTGTGAGGGACTGGAATAAGAAGAAAGAATTTGGAAATGTAGAAAGAGAAAACACAGGAAACTGACTAAAGTGGTTACATCTGGTAGGCGATCTGAGGACTGGTAGAACTAGGGACTAGTGGTAGCCAGTGGGCAAAAGGGACTTTTAAAAAACTGTTTGAATAGTTCATCTTTAAATTCTTTTAAATTAAAAATAACTTTCAAGGCATTAGTCAAATGTTTTTAGTATTTGTAGTGTTTGCCTTTTAAATTATTATTTACTATGTGCTTATCTAAAATCAATTTTCAGAAGTTGTTGGATTATAAATGATAAATGAAAAATTAAATACACAAAACCTTGTAAGAAGGCTATGGGAGTAGGGCGGGCTGAGGGGGATTTTAAAAAAGTATTTCTTTGCTCTAAATTTTTTACTCACCCCTTTTTTATATTCCACATTCTAAGCCTCATAGAATCTCTCTGCAGCTTTCATAATTTCAGTTTTACCCAACTCATCTACCTTATAATTATGAATATATGGACATAATTAACTGAATCACTTTGAGAGAGAAAAAAATACCCTACTTAAGGCTAATTAGATGGATCATGGATGCCTGGAAGACTGCATTTCAATAAGGTGAAAAACTTTTGATAAAAATTTAATGAAGTTTCCAATTGACCACAGAGAATATTGATAAGTATTCACTCCATGCAGATTATTAAATTGTATTGATTTAGGATCACAAACTCTAAACACTGCTGTTGCCTCCAGAGGAGACCTGATTGCACTTACATGTCACATTCATAAAAAACATGGTGCACTAATTGGGAGTCTCCCGCCATCTGCACACTTGCTTCCAGGCGCACATGAAATGATCAATGGGAAAGCAGGTCAATCCAGGCAGACTGTGAGTGAAATTAAAATAATAAAATGTCTAAACATTTAACTGCAAATAGGAAATCTTTATACTCACCCACACCCTATTCTGTAGCATAAAGCTAAGGCACAATTATTCATATACCTCAAGTAATTTGCAGGCTCCATACAAAATCTCATTTAAAATAAGAAATTGCTATTTCTGCACATTTATTCTACCAAATGCCAGCTAATTGCTGCAATGGCCATTATAAAGAATAATTTTCGCTTAGTGAAAAAAAAAAAAGGAATGAAGAGAACATTTTCTGGTTTTGTTCCACTGCGAAGGCTCTATTCAGTGAATACTGAATGCACAGCGTTTCACTGCTACATTTATTATGCTGAGAGGTCAAGTATTACACAGCATCTTGTATTACGCTTTGCATGCTAAGTATTTCACTTCACAAATTGACCCTCCGGTGTACTTACTACATAATGCTTTAAAAACCCAGCTAAAACGCAGGACAATTAGCAATACTTTCACTCCCAGTTAACAATGGGAACACCAATGTAGGTGATTGCATTTACAGTGTAGCTTTCTTCACAAAACATTTTTGACACATTAAGGTGCTTTGGAATTGTGCAGTACCAGTCCTCTCTTGTGAATGGCTTTCCAGCATTTGCAGAGAGAAACAGTTACTGTATGTTAGAGCTTAATTGAAAAGAATTCAGCCACGGCCTATGAAGCACCAATTAGGGTGATATTATATCATAAAAAGCTGTAATATCCATTTTCAGACTTGTGCATCAGCCAATACAAAGTAGGACACAATTAAAAAGGTATACAGTTTAAACTCTTGAAACTGTTAAATTTAATTAGGAGTTCAGTATGAGAAAAAAAAAAAGTGTTGTTGGGGCGGTGCACGGTGATGGTGGCAGAGAAAAGGAAGTTCTCTGTAGGGCTGGAAGACCAGCAGGCATTAGCAGCCCAGGAGGACTACGTAAGTTGGTCCTTCCTTAAACCACCTTTAGTTAATGTAAGTGTGGGGTGTTTACTTTGCCCAGCGACTAGTTTCTGAGGTCAGATGAATATTCATGCAAGTTAGAAAGTGCTGCTTTCCAGTAATTCTGATGTCTGCTGACATCTGAGAGGGAGAGAGTGCAGAACTTGCTCTGGACTAAGGAAGAGAGAGTATAGTATTGAAGATCTCTTGCCCACACAGTTCAAACACAATTAAAAGGGAGTTAAGTGCATGCTTTTCATGAAGAAAGACAGAGATAATTGTGAAATAAAATGGGCATGGCCAGATTGGTGTAAGTGTCTTTGCAGGCTTGGCCGTGAACATAATATTTAAATACTGGAACCTGCATGAAATCCCACTTTGAGGTGGCAGCCGGCAGGTAATTATCAGTAAAACAACATTATCAAAGTTCTCGTGCATAGCATGTTTGACTGACTGGAGTGCTTCTCCTTACAAATCCCGCTAATATCCATTTCAATCTGCTTTAATATGTTCACAAGTTGGGGCTTATTTTGAATTCCACTGGGTAAATGAGGACAGCACACTTTGAATTTACATACTATACACATTCCTTTCATTTATAAAGGGTTTCCAGAGTATTTTTAGAGGAAACTGCTAACCCAGAATAAAAAAAAAATGCCTCCACTATAACTAGAATGAAAATAAAAAGCTCACTTATCTAGTCTATTTATTCCATTTGAAGTTATATGACAGATCTATAAAAACAGTCTGTATTTTGTTTGAAAAAGTTATTTTAATAATTTACCAGTGATAATGCAATTTTCTAAGGGGATTTTTTAAAAAACGTCTATGTTTGAAAAATGTCGTTGGAAAAATTATTTCTGATCTGAGAAGGTCTCTTTTCAGTCTATAAGTTTACTCCAGGCCTTTTTAAATTTCCGCCTCTTTCCAGTCCAACAAAGAAACAGAGCTGAAGTGAAATTTTATTGCTGAGATAAATTTGAGTTTGGGATGATTTAAAACCAGATACTTCATGTCCCTTTCTTTCTCAGCCAACTCCTCACGACCTTTAAAATATGAAACAGAAAGACGTATCTCATTGAAGATCCTAGGATGCCCCACTCTCAAACCCACTGTCAGTGCCAGGTAATTCAGAAGACACAATCGTTACCTTGGCACACTATCTGACACTCACCTTCGGTTTCCAATGCGTTAAATTAATTTAGGATATTGATAAAATTGTGATAGGTACCATGGAAATCTGCAGGAAGATTACATTAAACTTTAAAGGCTGTTTTTGTTTCGTTGGTTGAACATCAAAAAGAGGCATATTTGTACTGGGAGATTCTGCCTTTGAAAACTGGGTCAGTTAGCAGCCCCTAAAGTGGGAGTGGCCTGAAGATGTTTTTTCTTTGAACGAAAATGGAGCCAAAATGATAAAAGTGATTAACGTAAGAGGGATTTCAAGGGATATGAACGTGAAAGGTTTTAGATAATGCTCAAGCAATTGCATAGCAATTATACATTGAACAATCTAGATTCTAGACCTTTCTGTCCAATCCCTTTTCTGTTATCCTTCTTCCTAAATGAACAAAATGGGAGAGGGTCAGTTTGCAACTTTAAAAAGCAATTCAGTAGCTAGTTGTATTAAGATTCTTCCTAAGCAACAAGATGTTTTTCAACTGTTTTCCTAAGTTCATTTCTGACTAATGGTATTTCTGGGATTCTCACCCTCTGAGTGGGCCAAGAGAATTAATTAGCCTGTGTGGTCTGTAACTGATTTGATGATGAAAATTGCTGCTGAGGTATCAAAGACCTATTTTTATTCTTTTCTGCAGGAAGAGAAATGTCTCTTCCTCTGCTAACTGGTTCTATCAAAACGATACCAAATGGCTTAGTTATCAGTACCCTACTTTTCCCTCCATTGTAGCATTTTGTCTTCTTTGTACCTAGAGCTCACTATACCAAACTGCTGAAGAAATGCAGTAGTCCTCCCTTATTCTTGGCTTAGCTTTTTGTAGTTTCAGTTACCCATAATCAACCATGGTCCAAAAATATTAAATGGAAAATTCCAGAAATAAATAATTTATAAGTTTTAAGTTGTGAGCCATTCTGGGTGGTGTGATGAAATCTTGTATTGTCCTGTTTGGGACATGAATCATCTCTTTGTCCACCCTATCCACACTGTATAAGCTACCTGTCTGTTAGTCACTTAGTCAACTGGGTTATCAGCTGGAAAAAACGTAGTATATGTAGGGCTTAGTACTATCTGTGGTTTCAAGCATCCACTGGAGGTCTTAGAACCTATTCCCCATAGATAAGGGGGGAACACTGTAATCAAATTTTAATTTACTATAAATCCCCAGGGGTCACCTATTCCTATGCAACTCTGAACCAATAGGAAATGCAAACAGGTGAAGTGAGCTAGGTGGGTGTAAGACAGCAAAGGGTAGGGCCGGGCACGGTGGCTTATGCCTGTAATCCCAGCACTTTGGGAGGCCGAGGTGGGTGGATCACGACGTCAAGAGACTGAGACCATCCTGGCCAACATGGTGAAACCCCATCTGTACTAAAAATACAAAAAATTAGCCGGGCATGGTGACGCGTGCCTGTAGTCCCAGCTACTCGGGAGGCTGAGGCAGGAGGATCGCTTGAACCCGGGGGGTGGAGGTGGCAGTGAACTGAGATCGTGCTACTGCACTCCAGCCTGGCGACAGAGCAAGACTCCATCTAAAAAAAAAAAAAAAAAAGACAACAAAGGGTAGGGAAACTCTGGTGAACTAGACAATGCAGTTACTTAGCTCCAGAGATTTTGGTCATGCAGAAATGTGATTTTAGGGTTGTAAGATCTTAGAGTTTTTTCAAGAGAAGCCAGAAGTAAGTGTGTGTGAGAGAGTGTGTGAGTGTAAATGTGTGTGTGAATGTGTGTGTGTGTTTCCCTGATTTTTAAAATAGTGTCATCAAAATAAAACATGTATGCTCCAGATTTGGCCCACAGGCTACTAGTTTGCAATTCCTAATATAAATCATTATCTTCAAATGTGTTTTAAGTTTCCTTCCTTATATTCATGGACTTTCATTTTAGCAAGGTGAAGTGGCTTGCATTTAGCAGGAATTAAACTCTTAACTACAGTATAGAGCAATGTTGAGCAGGCAGGGCAGGTATTTCTTTTGGTACATGTATCTTCTTAACCACCTGAAATTAAACCACCCGGCAGGAAAGTCCTGTCCTGTCTCAAGACACAAGGGTAGCTTTATTATTGTTGTTATTTGCTCATAATTTTAATTATATTGGCCAATATTTATTGATATGTAAGTTGATTTGTGACTTTGAATACGTGTTTTTATGTATGTCATCTGACATAAGTCTCACAGCATTCTCATCAGTCAGAATGAGCTGGGCGATACTGCAGTAACAAATCGCTCAGAATCTCTGTGACTTAACACAACTAAAGTTTATTTCTTGCTCCTTCTATGTGTCCAACATGGGTAATCAGGGTGGCTCTGCTCATCTTTGTCACTCAAAAACCCAAGCTGAAAGTTTTATCTCAACAAGTGTTTCTGTCATCACTAAGATAAGAAAAGAGAGGGAAGCAAATCACATACTGCTGCTAAAGCTTCTGACCAGGAGAAACACACATAACTTCTGTTCACATTCACTGACCCTAACATTTACTTAAATGAACAAATGCCTGAAAATATCATTTTTAAATAAAAGAAAAAGAAGAATAATTAGGAAGGACATGCTTTACCAAATATCAGAAGATATTGTAAAGGCTCTAAAAACAAATCAGGTATTTGCAGAGGAATAAACAAATCAGTGGAACAGGACATGGAACCCAGAAATAGATCCTAATATATATGAGGATTTAATACATGATGAAAATGATAGTTCAATTCAGTAGGAAAGGTGATTGTTTTAAAAATAGTATAGAAAACTAAAGTTGAACTCATATACAAAAATAATTTCAGATGGATTAAAAACTAGACATAAAAATAAGAGTTTTTCGAGAATGTATGTATATGGGTAAGTCTCCATAAGTAAAACAGTAAACCTAGAAGCTGTTAAAAAAAAATGTAAAAGAAGCAGGCTTGTCCAACCTGCATCCCGTGGGCCACTTGCAGCTCAGGACAGCTTTGAATTTGGCCCAACACAAATTCATAAACTTTCCTAAAGCATTATGAGATTTTTTTGTGTGTGATTTTTTTTTTTAAAGCTCATCAGCTATCATTAGCGTTAGTGTATTTTCTGTGCAGCCCAAGACAATTCTTCTTCCTATGTGGCCCAGGGAAATCAAAAGATTGGACACCCCTCACAGATTTAGATATATTAAAATATGTGTGTTTCACATAATAATAAAAACCAGACAAGTGATAAATTAAAAATATTTTAACACAGATGGAAAATACAATATTAATATATGAGCTCTTCCAACATACAACCCAAAATAAAAAGAAAACAACTCACAAAGGAGCAAAGCTGGGTGGCCTACAAACTTGTGAAAAGGTGTCTAAACTTGCTAGTAATTAGGAAAATGGAAAATAAATTAACAATAAGGTTTAAACTCATCAGTCTGGTAAAAATATAAGTGTGATAATATCCATTTTGGTATGGCTGCTGGAGGAAAATGGTGTTCTCATTGCTGTTGGAAATAAGAATTGTTACAATCCTTTTTGGAAAACAATTGGGCAACATTTATTTTGTTATTATTGTTAACTTGTTTAGACATTAGGATCTTGCTCTATTGCCTGGGCTGGAGTGCAGTGGTACAATCATAGCTCACTACAGCCTTGACCTCCTGGGCTCAAGTGATCCTCCCTCCTCAGCCTCCCGAGTAGCTGGGATTAGAGGCATGTGCCGCTATCCCTCACTATGGGCAACGTTTATTAAAATTAAATATACACATTTCTTTGACTCAGAATTTATACTTCAGAAAATCTAACTTATAAAAATGAAAGTCCCAGTACACAGGGACACATGTGCAAGGGAATTAATCTGAGCATTATTCAGTGTAGCAGAAAACCGGAAACAAAGTAAATCATAATACAGCCATACAGTAAATGAAGTAGAACTGTATTTCCTCTTGAAAATGAAAAATCTGGGAAAAGAGTGTATAATATAACCCTGCTTTCCTAAAAAATGGCCCCAAAATTCTATGTGTGGGAATGTATATAGATTTTTTTATACATATATATGCTTAGATAGGATTATATGAGCATGCATTTTTGAAATACTTGAAGAAAAAAATAAAATACTTGAAGATACATGCTAGTTTTGTAGCATGGGTTGTGGCAGGGGTGGAGCAGCAGGAAAGGAGATGGGGAGGGAGGAGGTTTGCCAAAAGGAAAAAGAAAAAAGATAGTTTGCACAAAAAAAAAAAAAAACAGCATGTATGCTATAATCCCATCTATTCATTAATGCAGTGCTCACTTGACTATGATTTAGGCTTTAGATTGAGGAAGGTCAATCGCTTATCCCAGCAAACACTAGGAAGGACTTAAATTGTTGTTAACTACCTGATGTCAGGTGCCTCCCAGAGGTAGATGACATCCATGTAGGCAGGCAAAGCTTCTCAATGCTCATAAAAGGATACCAGCTTCGCTGTGTATTTGTTGGATCTCCAAAGTTTATGGCTCTGCAATCAACTAGACTCACTCTGTCCCTACTCTTCAGATTCTTATCAGAGAAAATAACCTCACACTCCCCATTAGCCACATGGGCTGAAAGCTATGCCAGTTGGCTGTCTTCAAATAGGAGAATGGCCTCATCATAGTGGCTCTTAGCTAATAATTTTAATAATGATGGTTTAACTTAGGTTTCTTCTAATTGATAGGTCTGGCAAACCTATCTGGGCAAAAGTTTGTAAAAGGAACAAACGACTTGTTTCACAGTAATGTAGACTCAAGAAAGCTGTTGAACCTGGTTGCAGCCTGAAAGTTTTGAATAAATAATAGTCTTGCTGTAGCTACTAAGGAATTGTTCTTCTTTAATTATGGACTTTTCTATCCCTGCAGACCATTTTCAGCCTCTAGTCAACCACATTGTAAGCACGGGGACCTTAACCAATGAAGAAAACCATTTTCAAAAGTTCGAAGTTTCCTTTCTTAGTGCAGATCATTGGGTGTCTCCCAAGGCGTCTCACGGGCTGCCCAAGGTTCTAAAGTAGTGCACAAGCCCAGGGGGAAGTTCATGGCTTTCTGATTTCTATCACTCAGCCCTTACTATGGACCTAAACTTAACAGCTAAGCTAGTGAGACAGAGAGAACATGTGACCAAGTCTAGTGCCAGCCCTACAGCATACACTCAGTGACTTGAGGCAAGTCACTTTTGCTCTCTACAGCCCAGTGTTCTCACGTATACTCCAACACAGGATCTCAGGGAACTCTTTTCTTTTGTTTAATAGTACTTACACAAATTTGCAATTATATGCTTATGTGTATGATTGTTTAATTTCCTGTCTCCTCCACTAAAGCATAATCTCTATACAGATAGGGACAATATACTATATACCTAATGCCTAACATGTTGGCTGGCACGTATTCAAATTCAGTAAAAATTTATTAATTTAATTAATAAGTAAATATATAAAATGAGAAACATGAGTTCATATATCCTACCAGCTCTAACAGCATATGGTTCTCTAAATGCAAAAGGCTTTTATTTTTAAAATTAGGTCATAGTCTTCCTTTGCCCAAACATCACTGAGTAGATTAAGTGCCTAAGTAAGCATGGCTCTGCTCTACATAATTACTCAAAAAAAAAAAAACTTAACCTATTAATCATAGTTTCTACTAAGGTTTGCTTGGTCCCATCAAATCTCATTTTGAAAGTTGATTTCCAGTGTTGGAGGTGGGGCCTGGTGTGAGGTGTTTGGATCATGGGGTTGAATCCCTCATGAAGGTCTTGGTGCCATCCTTACAGTAAACAGTGAGTTCCCACTCTTAGATCCCATGGGAGTTGCCCTGAGAGCTAGTTGTTAAAAGAGACTGGCACCTTCTCATCTCTCTTGTTTCTTCTCTCTTGACATGTGGTCTGTATGTGCTGGCTCCTTTTCTTCTTCTGCCATGGTCACCAGATACAGATGCTGGTGTCATGCGTCTCGTACAGCCTGCAGAACTGTGAACCAAATAAACCTCTTTTCTTCATAAATTACCCAGCCTTAGGTATCCTTTAAAGCAACACAAACAGACTAAGACAGTCCCATATATCTGAAAGCGTTGTAAGATGCCATTTCACCCATAGCTTTGCCTCTTAGCTGAACTACCATTTATGCAAGATAGGTGTTTGTTGTGTGTCCTAAAAGATTTTCAATCTCCCTTGCTGTGTTGTTCCTGGATCTTGAAATCCTAACAGTAATTGAAACATAGAAAGAAAAAAACTTAGAATTGTCTAGTCCAGTGATTTTCAAACTGTATTTTAGCAGAGGAACCCTATTTTGCAAAAAGAAATTTTATATAGAGGCCCAATATTTCCATTCAAAAATGTATGTCTATGTAAATAGATACAGTTTGGAGGGAGGGAAGGAAGGGGGGAAAAAGGCAGGCAGGAAAAAAGAAAAGATATGCCCTTGTTGATGTGAGAAAGGGAACTGCAGAGCCCTCCCCTGCAGGCTTTGCCTCGACCTCTCTATTGGGCCATACTCCCCTCACTGCCCTCTCCACCTGCCCTGCCTGCCCTATAGTGCCCTGTAAGGCACCACTAAGACTAGTAGCCTACGAACAGGTTGAAAGCCACCAGTTTGAATGACTGTCTCCTTTTAACAAAAGGAAACTAAGACTTGATGACTGAATCATATTCTTCTTTAGTATTCCAAATCCTTCCTTCAAAAAGTAAATTGCCTTCTTTTTGTTTCTTTTTAGATTATTCTGTACAGCCTTCCCCGAAGTAATTGCATACAAATCAGATTATCAGTGTTCAGTATACTCTTCTTATAATTAAACCACCATCATTTAACTTTACTCATAAAATTTTATTTGAACAAAACAATTTTTGAAAATATAAAAATTTCATAAGAACTGCTTTCCTGTTAGATACAAAATTTATTTTAAAAATAAATAATTATATTGACCTTTACCATCACTTGTCTAAATTTTACTCATGTTTATTGTGAAGACACAGAGGTGAATTAGAAGAGTATATCATTATACATTGTCAAATAAAGCGAAGGTTTCCTTATCCAAATAGAGAGAATATATATGTGATTACTTAATATAAAGCAAAAGCTATTTCTACCAAAGAACAGACATGCAGTTATTGATCTGGAATTGGCATGATTACAAACTACTCTGCAATTCTTCCTCTCCCCAATTAAGGTGTCTCTCTTGAACTGATTGAAAGCTGTTTGATAAGTATACTTTTTTCAAGATGGTGTGCTCAGTTGGGGGTCTTTTTATTAAACTGAAATTCTGTCATTAGCTCTGACTAGCACCAGCTGCTGTATAAATTCTGTGTTGACGTAGACCTCCATTGGTGTTCCAAATATTGCAGATGAATCTCTCTCTGCCTCCAAAATCCTCAGTCATGCAGTATGAATAATTAACATCTGAAAATGCAGAACAAAAATGGCTTTTATTAGAAGACATGGTACTGGGATCACAATTCCACCTTAACTCCTCAGAACAATGAACCAAATAGGACTTTAGCAATTAAACAAAAGTATTTCTAAATCTCTCTATATTATGTTTTTCCCTGTACTTGATCAGAAATGTTAACATTAAGACACAAATTAAATGTTTTAGTCGTACAGCAAAGTTAAAGACAGAATCCAAGCGGCAGCACATTTTAACTAATGTTTTTCTGAATGTTCTAATTCCAGATAAATTCAAAGCATTTAGGACTCATGTCTGCCATGATTATTCTTTCTTCTAAATAGTTCATAATCCATCACTTTTTTTTTTTTTTTTTTTTTTTTAGAACAGATTCTCTCTCCTCTGTCATCCAGGCTGGAGTACAGCAGTGGCACCATCTTGGCTCACTGCAACCTCTGACTGCCAGGTTCAAGCGATTCTCCTGCCTCAGCCTCCTGAATAGCTGGGATTACAGGTCTGCACCACCATGTCCAGCTAATTTTTTGTATTTTTAGTAGAGACAGGGTTCCACCATGTTGGTCAGGCTAGTCTCGAACTCCTGACTTCGTGATCTGGCCCCCTTGGCCTCGCATAGTGCTGGGATTACAGGCGTGAGCCACCACGCCCAGCCAGTCCATCACTTTTAAGAAAAACCTTTCCTATTCATTAATCTAATATTATTTCTACAAGATGTATGGTATAAGTACAGCATAAAACAGTTTCATGAAATGTCTTTATGGAGTTGAACTTATAAAACATCTACCTGGTGTGGGAGATGTGCCAAGTGGGACTTTTCCTTAATGTATTGGATAGATTTTAGCAGACAGATTTTTAAACTTGTCAAAGGACATTGATAAACTTGAATCCATGAAATGATGCAATACATAAAGATAAAATATGCCATAATAGTACAGTGGCTAAGAGCAAAGCATTCTGGACATCAATTTCTGGGCCTCAGTTTCTCCATCTGTAAATGAAGATAATATTAGTATCGGGCTTATGACGTTACTTGAAGCACTAAGAGATCATGCATGTGATCATTAGCACAGCACCGTGTATTTGTTTTCTATTTCTGCGTAACAAATTACTGCATACTTTGTGGCTCTAAACAACAACTACTTATTATCTTACAGTTTCTAGGTAAGGGCATGGCTTAGATGGGCCCTCTGCTTAGAGTCTCACAACACTGTAATCAAGGTGACACCTGGACAGTGTTCTCATCTGGAGATTTGACTGAGGAAGAAACCCCTTTTAAGCTCACTCAGGTTATTGGCAGAATTCATTTCCATGCTGCTCTAAAACCAAGTATCCAGGCTTCTTTCTGACTGCTGGCTAGAGTTTGCCCAAGGTTCCTCACCATGAGAGCTTCCTCAACATGACTGCTTACTTCATCAAGCCAACAAGGAGAGTGTCTGGAGTGAGTCTACTAGCAAGACAGCGTCTTATATTATGTAACACAATAACAGGAAGAACATCCCACCACTTTTGCCGTATTCTGTTGGTTAGAAGCAAGTCCCAGGTCCTGCCTACACACAAGTGAACACACCAGGAAGCAAGGATCCCTGGTGGTCACCCTAGAGTTTGTGTGCCAAATATAGTAAATGAATGAATAAATGAAAGTGTGAGTGAGTGAATAAGTAAATGAGTAAGTGAATGAGTGAAGTTGGGTTTGAATGTTGTAAGCCCCTTGGACAACAGAAAACATGGGAAATAGTTGTAAATACAGGATAAATAGGTAGGTAGTAGACTCTAAGGTAACTGCTCAATTGAAGTCATAATGCAAGCATCTAACCTTTGTGAAAATAATGTGTTGAATAATTATAGGGCCTGGGCTGTAAGGCCCAGAGAATGTCAGAGTAAAATCTCAGGGATGGTGGGAAATAGAGACCTAAAAGAATATATAGGGCTTTTAGTCTCACTTTAAAGTGATAATTTTCTTACAATTGGAGCAAATGGAGAAATTAGAAATGAAATAAAATGGTCAAATATAATTACATAAATTTTTAACTTGTAAGTAATAGAAATAACTAGCAATAAAAACCAAAAAAATCAACACACATGAAAAATAGAATTATCAGCACCAAGTATATGAAAATTTATTCAAACATGCATGTGAACACTAATAATATTCCCAATGGATAAATGGGCAAAGGACATGATTATATGATTCATGCACAGGAAATATGAATAGTAAAATAAATTTGAAAAACAGTTTAAATTTAATATGAATAAGGGAAAAGCCTCGCAAAGAAAAAAAATTTAAGTACCAATTTAATCCATCTTTTTTTTTTTTTTTTTTTTTTTTTTTTTTTTTATTGAGACAGAGTCTTGGTCTGTTACCCAGGCTAGAGTGCAGTGACGCGATCTCGACTCATTGCAAGCTCCACCTCCCGGGTTCATGCCATTCTCCTGCCTCAGCTTCCTGAGTAGCTGGGACTACAGGCACCCGCCACCATGCCTGGCTAATTTTTTTTTTTTTTTTTTTTTTTTTTGGATTTTTAGTAGAGACAGGGTTTCACTGTGTTAGCCAGGATGGTCTCGATCTCCTGATATCGTGATCCGCCCACCTCAGCCTCCCAAAGTGCTGGGATTACAGGCGTGAGCCACCGCACCTGGCCAACCCAATCAATCTTATTTTACCAGCTGATTACTTTAAGATGAGAGAGTAAACAGTAAATTAATTGCATTAGTATTATTAACCAAAACACCTGGTATAACTTATAACTCACCCTGGGTGGGTGGATATTCGATAATAATTAACTGTCAGTAGTGAGTGGTAGGAGAGCTAGTATGGGTAACTGCAGTCGCCAAATCATCAAAACACTTATTTGCAGACCGTAAGACCACATTAACGTGAGGCAGCTAACGTGGGGGGAAAAGGTATTTAGAATTCTTTCAATTTTACTTATACCACTTTGGTAACTGGACTGCAGTAAAACAGATAGAGATCAGACCCCAGAAGAACAGGAAAACTAGGCAAACAGGCTGGATACTCCACAGGAAGAGAATCTGCCCAAGAACAAAGTCAGCGTCCCTACTTTAACGAATATTCTCATGACAACACCTTGGCCTCGGATGAACTCCTGCTTTGTGACAGCGTCGTGGGATGCAGCAGGGCTGTATGGACTGTTCCTGGACTTGGCACGCAAACAGCGACACAGGTGGGTATCCGCTTTTCCCTCTCCCTCAGGCCTGTTCTGGGTAGACAGGGAAAATCAGTTTTGATGCCATTGATGATATGCCCAATATGTTTGTGCACGTGTGTCCTCAGGTCTCTTTAGGAGTAAGCTATGGCATGTCTCTCATCATGGCCAGGGATGGAAGGGCCAACAATTAAATGAATAATAGTAAGCACTCACTAAGTATTTGTTGTGGTTATTAATGTTGCTTTTACCTTCAGTGGGAAGAAGGCAAATAAAGATGAGTTTTTTCCTGGAATCTAGATGGGCTCTCTTGTGGTGTCAGAGAGGGCGGGCGCCCATGGGACAGCTGCAGCAGAGGGCGGGCAGACGAGGCCCACAGGGGAGCCCAGCACCTGAAGATGATGATAGGCAGCAGCAGGTGGTGTCTGGGAGGTCTGACAGCCACAGTCAGGGCCTGTGGTTTTCAAACACAACTCCAGGCTGACTCACTGAGGGAGATCCAGTAAGCTCTTCAAACCAGTGCCACCTACCACCCCCACAGATTAAGGGCAGGATTCGTCGGGGACCTGAGGCAAGGCTAGGGGACAGAAGGTGTTATGGCAAACAGGAGTCAAGAGGGAAATGGGGGAGGAAGTTGGAGAGCCAAGCAAGTGGTGGTCACAGTACCTTTCTGAGAGCAGTCATTGGTTATTATGCTCTGGAGGAGAGGAGGAAATACGTAACAGAGACCTTCAGAGGGAACGAGCAGATCGCACATTTGTTCTTTCCATATGTCCAGGTGAAGACTGGATGTCAAGCTGGTCCCCACTCGTCTCCTCCCCTCCTCCATCTATAAAATAAATGTACTTTGGTCCTAATATTTTAAGCGCAATTACCCTAAACTCATTTGGAGGTCCATCCATGGGGTACTTTTAATAGTTCTTGTCTGCATTTGGTGAGTCTTCACATCAGTATATCTTCCTTGGAATGTAAATTTTTGGAAGGAAGGAATCAGAGCTATGTGGTTCTTTGAACAGTGTGTAACACTGTAAACAATTAGATGACTTATATTTTTAAGATGAAGATGATGCTACTTATAAAATGAATGAGATTTGTGAAGCCATTCTTTTTTGTCGTAATATGAATGGGACTTGAAAAGTTAGTATTCTGCTGGTGAGAAAACAGCAGTGTCACTTCTAGTTCTTAATGTGAAACTAGCTTTTGTATTCCTCTTAAAATGCTTACCATTGTAATCCCACTTCTAGAAACCTTAGGTAGGGAAATAATAAACAATGTGAACAAAGATATATGTGTAAACACATGAGCACCTAGATGCTTAATTATAGGAAAATGGCCAGATGAAGCTTAGTACAGCTGTAAGATAAAATATCTAGCAGTTATCAAAATTATAGTTAATAATTTTAACAGGAAAATAATTATGTTAAAATAGCAAGTGAAAAAAAAACATGCAGTATTTTTTTCAATTATATTTTTCCAAAGTATAGAAATAATTGGAAAGAAACGTATCGAAATGCTAAAAAAAAAAAAGAGGGCATGAGGAGGAGGGCCTGTATGGCAGAAAAATGGCTAAGAGGTGAGCAATGAGGAAATGAAATGTGTCAAGCAGAACTAAGGAAAGGAAAATTCAGTTTTTTGAATACTCTGTGCAAGCAATGAAATAAGCATTTAATAATTCTTGTTAATAATTAAAGATAAACATTGGAGTAAGGCTACAAGGAGAAAAGAGCCTCTTTCCACAATGAACAGAAACCTCCCATCTTGGCTTAGTTGAAAGAATGGAAAGCTAAGATACTTTGAAGTCTGAATGAGTACATGAGATGACTCAGGTGTGGTTAGGAGCCCATCACCTCTGCTGAGCAGCTAAACATGACAGTGAAACTGTGAGTACACATTTGAGAAATGGGATTTGCTGAGGCCATATATGGGAAGAGGGGATAGGCAAGCCATTAAACCAGTCTGCTAGTTTCTAAACCTAGATGCCCATCCAGAATTACATGAGTAACTATCTAAAACCACAGGTATGCAGCCAAAAAGGCACAGGCCAAAGTAATTATATCAGGGCACAGATGAAACAAAATACGGGATGGGCAGTGCATAGAGAATGAAAGGAACTAACAATGGCACAGTCACCACTCACTGCAGCCTCAACCTCCTGGGCTCAAGTGATTCCCATGTCTCAGCCTTCCAAGTAGCTGTGACTACAGGCGTGAACCACCGTGCCAGCTAATTTTAGTATTTTTTGCAGAGACAGGGTTTTGCCATGTTGCCCAGGCTGGTCTTGAACTCCTGAGCACAAGCAATCCTCCCACCTCGGCCTCCCAAAGTGTTGGGATTACAGACGTGGGCCACCGTGCCTGGCAGAGCATAATGCTTTACATGGGCTTACTCACTTATCCCCTCACAACAGCGTTCTATACTAAGTGTGGGTTTCTGCATTTAACCCCCTCATTATTTCCTCCCTTACATTTGCAGTCTTTACCTTTCTACTGACTCATCTTAGTAATGCTTAAATATGTTCTTCATCCCCTACTTCTCTTTCAGCTACTCTGGAAATTACCCTACTCTGTCCTCCCCTTCAAAGCCCAAATTCTCTAAATGATTAAGTACCCATGGTCATTTCCTCATGCCCACAGGCTCCTCAACCCATTACCATTGGGCTCATGTGCCTACCTGCTTTCTAAAGCTGCCTTCACCAATGTTACCAGGAGCCTCCTCATTGATAAAACTCATTGGATACTTTCCATTCCTTACATTATATGACTTTTTGGCCACTTTAACCTCTGAGATCCAGTTTTAGAGTTACATGTCTAGCTACTTAATGGACATCCCACAGCTTCATTAGACCTCAAATTCAATATATTCTAAGTTTACCTCATCTTCTTTCCAAAGCTACTCTTGTTCCATGTTCTCTATTTCAGCAAATGACACCATCACCAAAGCTGGTCTTCCTTCTTTCCTTCACCCCCAAATACACTTGGCCACTAAACCCCTGTACAGTCTACCCCCTACCTGCCTCTCAGAGCTGAGGTGTACTCTTCTCCATCCCTATAGTACTAGGCTCATATCACCACTCCCTTGGTAGCCCCATCACTGGACTTCCTACCCTTCACCCCTCCACTGACCTACCACCATCTCTATTCTGGTCCCTGGAATGCAGTCCAGGGGATCTTTCTAAAACACAAGTCTGATTATGTCAGTCCTCTACTTAAAAATTTTCCGTGGCTTTCCACTGTCCCTAAAATAAAGTCTAAACTTCTTAACATGGTTAACATGATTCTCTCCAAGTTTCATCTTCAACACATCCCCTTCTGCACGCCACACTCCAGCAATACTTCTTGCTGTTCCTCCAATGTAGGTGCTGTCTTCTCTCTCTGGTTGTTTCCAGTGCTTGAAACAGATCTTCTGACTTTTCTTCTGGCTAAGTCCTTCCACATCTTTAGATCTCAACTTATGTCACCTCCCCTGGAAAGACATTCCTCAACCCCCAGTCCGGGTTAAGTATCCTTCTTCTGGGCATCCACTGTATTACAAATGCTCTTAAAGTGGCCTCTATTTAACCAGCTTACTTGATACACATAATTTCCTTTGTAAAGCACACTGACTACAGCCCTGCCCTCCCCAATGCTCAAAGCTGATAAGCTGCTGTCTATACACTCATCTTACTACTGCTCTCACCAGTTGAATTGCATTGTATGCCTACCAAGTGTCAGATGTGTTTGGTCTAAGTTCTTTTATAACAATTTTACTTATTGTTATAGCTATGTTATTTGAGGAAATCTTATGTAAATTAATAAAATATAAGTACAGAAAGTTGTTTTTATAATGTACAAAGACATAAATGTAAGCTTCTAAAAGTTGCTTTAATGGATATAAAGTTGTAAATGGAAAGAAATCATTAAAAATCTAAACAGATTCTACTCTGACATAGATTTGTCAGTATCTAAGTTCTTGCTCCAATTTAAAGAAATTAAAATAGAAGTAAAACATGTGTATGTATTATGGATGTGGTTTAAATCAGAAAGATGACCTGGGACTTCAATTATTGGACATATATTTAAGGAAAAGTCCTTAGCCTTGCATCAAAAAACTGGCAAAATAATATACATTTATATTTTTATTGAAGTGAAATTCATATAACATACAATTAACCATTTGAAAGTATACAAGTCAATGGCATTTAGTGCATTCATGATGCTGTGCCACTATCAACTCTGTCTAGTTTCAAAACTTGTTCATCACCCCAGAAAAACGCCCTGTACTCTTAAGTAACCACTCCTCATTCCGCTGCTCCCCTGTCTCCTGACAACCTCTAATCTGCTTTAAATTGAAATAGAACATTTAAGGCACGTAGATAACATTTTTAATGACTCTCCACTTTACTGACTTTTTGGATGAGTCTATTAACTATTGGTCCAACCCAAGTTGGATGAGTGGGCATCTGCACATCTGATTTCCTTGCAGCTCTATATTAACATTGCTCATTTCACTGCCTCCCCTGCCTCCCAGACTTTGTGCGCTTTGTAGGCAGGGGCATGTTCGAGCTGTTTATCCATGGGTCTTCAGTACCTGGCACAATGCCTGGCACACAGTGGGCTCCATATTTCTAGGGTTAATTCAGATTACCCAGAAATTAAGTAATATGTCCAAGGACATTAATGGTGAGTCACAATTTAAGCTTAAGTCTCTCTCACAGCACACTAAGCTGTGTGGGAGGTGAACTGAGGCAGCAGTCATATTAGAGTTAATACTGAGAAGTGCTTACTATATGCCTGGCACTGTGCTGAGCTCTTAACAAGTATTACACTGTTTAATCCTCCTAACAACCCTGCAAGATCAATATTATTATTAACCCACAAATTCTGGGGAGGGAGTCAGAGATGCCTGAATCCAATTCAAGTATTATAGGACACCAGAGGAAGGCTGTGAGTCCAAAAATAGTTCAGTCAAATGACTGGAAAGGACAATTATTTTATTACTTTAGTAACAACTTTTAGGACTGATTTTAGGAAAGAGGAAGTCAGGTCAGATGTCTGTAATGGAGCCCTCTCTAGAGTTTTTGCCCTTCTCCGCACACACACAGACACACGCATGCAACACACATGTCTTGGGTTGTGTCTCGCAAGTACTTGGTTATAATTCTTATGAAAGATCCACTCTTATGCTTTTGTTTTGCTCTATTGATTACCACTGTGTCCTACAGACACAGCCACATCTACTGTAAACTGGAATACTTCTAGTTTACATATAATACTTCCTTACATTATATTCCTTACATTCCAGTTTACATTATATGTAAACTGGAATACCTCTAGATCCCACTGCACTTCAGGGCTCTACCATATCTGTGCCTCTCTGGAAACAACTGCCTCCTGTATAGCACCAGGCCACTTGCCCCTCAGCTGGCCACCACCACTGCATGTTCTAGTGGCACTGCCACCAATACCCCAGAGGACAGATGGGCCAATTCTGCTCAGTGATTTATGGTGCAATGGAGAAGAATGCCTCTTTCTATTTATTCTCTCCATCAGGTATTTCCAAAGCAATATTGCCTGGCTCGCCAAAGTCTCAGAGGCTTGGGTGAAGATGTGTCTTCTGATTTTTATGTACCATCCTCTCTTTCTCCCAGGATCCAGAACTGAGTCCATTGAAATCTGCACCTGGGGCAAAGGCAAACAACCTAGGTACTTAGAGTAACTGCTCCACTCCAACAAGTAAAGTTTCATGACTGGGCCAGGCTTATCCCACTTGATCCCTCTCCACTCAGTCCCCAGGCAAGGTCAGATGATTCTGAGTTCTAAAGGTAGACACTTTTAATCTAGAGCTGGAACCCTAACTCCCTTACTTTTATGACCAAGTGTGGGAAGTGGAAGTGAAAGAAAAGCAATTCAAGACCCTGTAAAGGATGGAGCTCAGGATTTGGTGACAAAGACTTTTAGCACCAACCTAGATGCCTTGGTTAAAATGTGTGTGTTGAGTAACACCTCCATGCAGACCACCATAATAGGCCTCTTTGGGGGATTCTGACAGAGCGGGATGAACTCTGTTCCCTCACAGAGCTCACAGCTCACATGGGGATACAGTGCAACACAAACTAACATCTCACGAGCATTCCAAACTTCTGGAGGGAAGAGTTAGGGGTGACTGTTATGTTCTGTTTTTTTGCTTATCTATATTCACTAGTTTTCTGTAACATGTATGTGTTGGTTATATAGTAAAGCCTGAAGTAAAATTAAACAAGGATAAATACTCTCCAATCAGAGTTGGCACCCAGTGCTCAGACAGCTCAGCCCTCCCGCAGTCTTACCAGAGCTGGCCTGGGAGCTCCCTCCACCCTTCTCCTTGAGCATAGGACACAAGTGCCAAAAAGGAACCCTAGGGCATAGAGGCCAGCCTCTTCTCTTGCTCCATCCTCTCTATTATCACTGAACAAATAGATACACTCAACATCTCCTCAAAGCCTTCACTATGCACTGAAAACTCCAAGCTGATTATGGCAATAATAATAATAAATGAGTCTGAAAAGACCTTGCTAATGCTTTTTATAAAATAGATAGGCTGGGTATTGAATCAGTATTGACCCAAAAATAAAAGTAAATGGCTTTAAACAAAATGTTCCTCAGTGTTCTTCTCTGTTATCCATGATTTCAATGTGATCCTAAATATTTTACTCTAAACATCCCATTTTTAGACACACAACCTTTTAGTTAGCTGTTTTCTAAAAGTATATGAAATTGGGTTAGTTTTTGGTATCTTTTTTTCTTTTCTCAACCCATGTAAGAACGATACTCTTACATATATAGTTTTTGTGAACTGAGTAGGTAGGAAAAAAATTGAGAGTCTAAATTTAAATCTCTCTAATAATTGACTTCTGTAATGTTTATATCTTGACCATCATCTTCATCATCACCACTACAAGCATCTGGATTGGACTTGAAGTTTACAAATCATTTCTACAAATAGTATGTCTCTTTAGGGTGGCCCTATTATCCCTGTTGTATTGAGGAGGAAACTGGCAAGTCACAGAAGCTAAATGACTTGCCTAGGATCTCACAGCTACTTCTGGTACAGAGCTAGGACTTGATCTCAAATCTGCTAACTCTACATTTTTTATTCTTTATCCTACCATATTGCTGCTCCTTTTCTTTAGTTCCTATATTTTAGTAGTAGTGGCATTTGGTTTGACTTAGAAAATCTTAAATTAAATCTTTGAGTAGCTACCTTTACCACAGTTCCAGGAGACCAATCTAGAGGTACAAACTTAGTCTGAAAAGAACTCTCGTATCTCATTTCACATCTGTCTACCCTTTAAAATTTAGGCACCAAACCTTAAGGACATGCTTTTGAAAAATCAAAATTGGGCCAGGCGCAATGGCTCACATCTGTATTTCCAGCACTTTGAGAGGCCGAAGTAGGTGGATCACTTGAGGTCAGGGGTTCAAGACTGGCCATGGCCAACATGGCGAAACCCCGTCTCTACTAAAAATACAAAAACTAGCCAGGTGTGGCTACATGCACCCGTTATCCCAGCTACTCAGGAGGCTGAGGCATAAGAATCGCTTGAACCTGGAAGGCAGAGGTTGCAGTGAGCCAAGATAGTGCCACTGCACTCCAGCCTGGGTGACAGAGTGAGACTGTCTGAAAAAAAAAAAGAAAGAAAAATCAAAGTTGGCATTTAAGTTCAGGCAGACAGAGAGAGAGAGAGATAGAGAGAGAGGAACTTAGGTGTTCACGTGTTCTCTGTATTACATTTAGTGGCAAGGCAACTGATGTTTCTCTTCAAAAACTAATGTTTAAAAATGTCTTGGAAAATATGTGGTATAAGCAAAATGTTCTGTGGGAAGGGAGCAAGCTTAGGTAATAGGGAATATCCAGTAAGAGATCCAGACCATGGAGCTAGATTGAAATTTTGGATTTGAGGGTTTCAAATCTGTAAGGCATTTTATCTCAGAGAGTGAGTACATAAGAGTTAGAGCATGTGTCTGTATGATTGAAAGATCCAAGTTCAGTCATGGCGGGCAGGGAAAGGAGGTATTTGAGTATTCTTCAGCACCCATGGGATGCCAGATTTAGAAAAAATAAAAATTAAAAATGTCCAATTACATTTGAATTTCTAATAAACAACTAACTTTTTTTAATATAGTATGTTACATTCAATATTTGAGACATATTTATACTAAAAATTTTTCATTATTTATCTGGAATTAAATTTAACTGAACATCCTGCATTTTTTCTGGCCAACCTACCCTAGGGGCTAATCCATAGGGCATCCCTGAGCCAGGCTCAGAGGATACTTCTTTGGTGCCATCCCTGGTAAGCCAAGAACTAGAACTGAGCTAAAATGAGAAAGTCTGAATTAAGTCCTTGGTTGTATACATACATCTTTTTTAAGTGTTTCATCATCTGCTTGGGCCTTTTGTCTTTGATTGAAAGTCTCTATAAACTGTGCCTGAATACCACAGCGTTAATCACAAGCCTCCTGAAGTATTTTCATATTGTGTGTAATAAATGCCCATATACTTAGGATTTAAAGTAACAACTACTCACCACAATATTTAGTTAAAATTACAAAGGGAGTACAAATTAAGCCATCATTTTGTTAAGGTGTATATTATAAGTCTTATTTAATTTCCCCATGTTCTTTGTGTATGTTTGTATAACTGTTGTGTCAAGACTTTCACTGATAAAGTATTTCAATTAGCTGCTAAAAGAATACATTGAAGGAGTTACAACTGATGTACATTTGGGCTAAATATCTATAATCAGAGTTGTTTCTCACCTGAGTCCCTCTTACTGATGTTATGTAACAAGCGGTCCTGATTGCTAGCAATAACTTGCTTAACATGTTCACATTTGTGTGATAATCACATAAAAATAAAATGACTCACTAATACATCAAAAAAGGAACTGATACTAGTTGTAGGCTAGATGAGTTATATGGTCACTTTATCATATCTGAAAGTCTCATTCCTAAGTCACTAGGATTTTTCAGACTCTTGTCACAGGACTGATTTGAGACCAGCTGAGAGACGAAATGACATTTGTGGGGGATGAGGGAAGCAATGAGAGAAACTGGTGAATGGAAGGCAGGGAATCAGCCCTTCATGCTCACCCACCCCCAAGCTTCCTGGGTAACCAGGGCTTATCACCTGGGTATAGTCTTATGGCCAAAAAGGACTAAAATGAACTGGAAAGTCAGGGCAGTCATGTAGTAATGAGCTTTGGTGCAGAGATGTACGGGGAAGTATAGTCCTCCTCATCCACCAGGGGACTTTTATGTCCTTGTGTGACTCCTGTGGTGATTATATCACTCTTTAACAATCTTCTAACATTATAATCATGAAATCATCATCAACATTTTTCCTCACAAGTTATTTATTCTCTACCACCTTCTTTCAAAGCTTCCTGATTTCACTTTATGGAAGAGACTAGAGAATCTCAAGATCTAATTCTATCCCACAACCTTTCTGTAAATCACTTTAATGTGATGTTCTAGAAAATTTATGGGACATATCTTTGTTAAAGAAAAGAGGTATTTCTTTGGTAAGGCAGCCAATTTCTCTTATTCATTGATCAGCATGAGACCTTTATTTAAAGCTTTTTGTGTGGGTATGACAGGGTCTTGCTCTATTACCCCGGCGGTCATGGCTCACTGCAGACTCCACCTCCTGGGCTCAAACAATCCTCCTGCCTCCACCTCCCATATTGCTAGAACTACAGGCATGCACCCCCACACCCCACTAATGTTTTGATTTCTTGTAGAAACAGGGTCTTACTTTGTTGCCCAGGCTGGTCTCTAATTCCTGGGCTCACGTGATTCTCCCACCTTGGCTTCCCAAAGTGCTGGAATTACAGGGGCGAGCCACCATGCCCAGCCTATTTAAAGCTTTAAGAAGAAAAATTTCACATTGCTCAACCTCATGACTTAAGCATGTCAACTCAAGGTATAGGTAAATCGTGCCTTTCCTACCACATCACCATGGGAAACCTGAAGTGGCCACTCTCACAGCCTTGCCTGTAGGACGCTAAAAGAATGAAATCTCCTGAAATTATTCCCACATCTTACATGTGTCCTGTTTATAAAAAATTCCAGGCTGGGTGTCATGGCTCACGCCTGTAATCCCAACACTTTGGGAGGCCAAGGCAGGCAGATCATCTGAAGTCAGGAGTTCGAGACCAGCCTGGCCAACATGGCAAAACCCCATCTCTACTAAAAATAGCAAAAAAACAAAACAACAACAAAAAATTAGCCAGGCAAGGTGGCACACGCCTGTAGTCCCAGCTACTTGGGAGGCTGAGGCAGGAGAATCGCTTGAATCCAGCAGGCAGAGGTTGCAGTGAGCTGAGATCATGCCACTGCACTCCAGCCCAGGTGACAAGAGGGAGACTCTGTCTCAAACAAAACAAAACAACAAAACAAAACAAAACAAAACAAACAAAACCCAGAAATTCCATCTCTCAGAATTTTGTGAAGAATAGTATTCTTTATCCTAGCTCTGCCCAAAATCATCTCCATGAGATAGTGGATTTATGAATGTGGTAAGAAAAATTCAGTGGACTCTAAGAAAGTTTCTTTATCAATGAGTTCACGTCCTTCGTAGGGACATGGATGAAGCTAGAAACCATCATTCTGAGCAAACTATCACAAGGACAGAAAACCAAACACCACATGTTCTCACTCATAGGTGGGGATTGAACAATGAGAACATTTGGACAGAGGGTGGGGAATGTCACACACCAGGGCCTGTCATGGGGTGGGGGGAGGGGGGAGGGATAGCATTAGGAGAAATACCTGATGTAAAAGACAAGTTAACGTTAACGGGTGCAGCACACCAATATGGCACATGGATACATATGTAACAAACCTGGATGTTGTGCACATGTACCCTAGAACCTAAAGTATAATAATAATAATAATAAAAGAGAAATTTCTTTATCCTGTTCGGAGCCTCCCTTGTCCAGTCCCATGTAATGTTCTTTATCCCTGATAAATGTAGCCAAGCACTTCCAAATACCTCGGGAAATGCAGAGGTTGAAGAGGGGGAAATCTTATTTTATCATTTAAGTTTTTAATATAATATTTTTGACTAGATAATGCAATCATATAGCTCAAGAATTAAAATGACATTAAAAGGTATACATTGAAAAGCTGTATTATGTTCCCTTTTCCTATCCACCCCACTAATCCCTAATGCCCCCTATAGGTTAGCACTTGCCCTGTTTTGCTCCAGGCTCTTCCAATGTTTTTATGTATGTACAAGCATTAATGCATATTTTTAATTCCTAGATTTCTTATACAAAAGCAACATACACCATATGTGTTCTGCAGCTTGATTGCTCATATAAAATATATCCCGCAGATCACTCCATGTCAGTACATAGGACTCATAAAATGTCCTTGTTGACAGGATGTTTCTTAACTCTTCCCATAACATACAATGCTGTAGTGAACAACTTGTCTATAAGTCCTTTCGTATGTCTGTAGGATAAATTTCCAGAATTGAGACTTCATAGAACTTTTATTAAATACCTCTGTTTTAATGCTTCTCAGAGTGGCTTGGGTTTGTTAGTGCTTCCTCCTCACCATGGTATACACTTCTGAAGGCATGAACTGTGTTTTATTCATCTTTGCACCCACAGGGGCTAACATAGTGCCTAGCATGTTAATGCTAAATACAAACCAAACTTCTAGTGTAACTGTAACCCTGAGAACATTCAAGTAACCCCTCAACGTAAAGGCTGAGATCTAGGTGTAGATTAAGAGGCACTTCCCAGTTTCTATTTCAAGATGAAAATAGGACTTATAAAGATAAAAGTATTGAATAAGGAGTCAAAGTTTCAAGGATGAGGCTATCTCTTCAAATCCGGGGACTGAGTCAATGTCGGGCAAATTTTCTGGGTTAATCACGCAGAGACAAACTAAATGGTAAAATAGAGAGGAAGCCTAGAGAACTCCTGCCTGCTGATGAGCAGCCACAGGTGACTGAGAACAGCACTTCCCTAAAAGCCAGGATGAGCTATGGAGAAAAGGTAAATGCGCACTTGGATTAGAATCTGAGCAGAGATGGAGAGTGTGCCAGAGAAAGCAAGGGTGCACATGGTGCTAATATAGCTGCTTCTCCACTCTCACGACAGCCTATGGGAGTGGCTCCTGGTTTTGCTCTTCTGCCCTCACTCTTGTCAGGAAGGCTTTTAGGAAGTGACCTTGGTGAAAACTCAGGCCCAGTCCCAAACCGATGGCAGCCGTACTTCCTTAGCTATTTCTCTCCTCATCCCAGTGCTGCTCCTCCCAGCCACAGCTGCTATTTGAACACATAAGGCCATAGGAGGATTCTTTCCCTGAGATCATCACTCAGCCTCCCGGCTGCCACTGAACTCTGTTTAGCCAAGTTTGAAGACATGGACTAGAAGGCAGATGTGTCACACACAGAACTCATGTCAGTCCTCGTCAAAATCCTCACGTCTCAAAAATTGTCAGTGAAAAATAAATGGTTACATTTTCTTATGTCAGTAATGTGGCAATATAATTTAAAAATTGCAAATGTGTTTTTATCTAGCAATTCTACTTCAAGGAATTGATTCTGCAAGTACACTTACAGAAGAACAAAAAAAACTATACATATGTTTGCTGAAGTATTATTTGTAAAAGCAAAGAAATTAAAAATTACCTACATATCTATCAACATGGTAGTGGCTATATCTATAATACTATATTATGTAATATCTTTTGCAGCTCTAGAAGAATGAGATAAACCCATGTGTAGGGCATGGAGCAACAGCCACATACACTGAGGTGAATAAAAACAAGTTTAAAATAGTAAATATATTGTATGATTTTATTTGTGATTTAAAAGATGATGTGCTTGCGTATGAATTTTTTTAATTTGGTAAAAATACATGAGAGACTATTATGGCCACCACTGGGGAATGGGATTGAGGAGACTAGGGCAAAAGAAAGGAACAACGTTTTATTTTTTTAATTTCATATCCTTTTTGTATTGCCTTTGAGAATTAAAAAGTTCACTTGCAGCCCATATATTGTTTCTAAGATTCCTGTGGTATATAGATTATGTAGGATTTGGTGATTTTCTTTTTTTGAGACAGGGTCTCATTCTGTCACCAAGCCTGCAGTGCAGTGGCATGATCACAGCCCACTGCAGCCTCGACGTCTGAGGCTCAGGAGATCCTTCCACTTCAGACTCCCAGGTAGCTGGACTACAGGTGTGCACCACCATGCCCAGCTAACGGTCATACTATGTTGCCCAAGCTGGTCTTGAACTCCTGGGCTCAAGTGACCTGCCTGCCTCGGCCTCCTAAAGTTTTGAGATTACAGGTGTGCATCACTATGCCCAGCCCTAGTGATTGTTTTTTGTCTTTTTTTTTTCCCCCGAGACAGTTTCGCTCTTGTTGCCCAGGCTGGAGTGCAATGGTGCAATCTCCGCTCACTGCAACCTCCACCTCCCGGGTTCAAGCAATTCTGCCTCAGCCTCCCAAGTAGGTGGGATTACAAGCGCCTGCCACCATGCCCAGATAATTTTTGTATTTTTAGTAGAGACGGGGCTTTGCCACGTTGGCCAGGCTAGTCTCGAACTCCTGACCTCAGGTGATCTGCCCACCTTGGCCTCCCAAAGTGCTAGGATTACAGGCATGAGTCACTGTGCCCGGCCCCTAGTGATCATTTTTTAATCAGAATAGCTATCGCTTAAAAAAAAAAAAAAACAAACTTTAAAAAGGTTCTTCTTGGCTGAGTAAAACATCTATGGTTGACCTTAATTGAGGTTCACAGAACCAACTTCAGCTTTGTGGACATATGCTCAAAACCCGACTCACACAGAAAGCCTAGTATAATTTTCCGTGATTACAAAAATCAATGTGTTGAGTCTTCAGACTATTGATTATGTTGTCAACAATTTTAATAACACCCTTGACCACCCACAAACTTCCATTTGTCACTTACCTGAACACATCTTTTAAGGAATGCTTTTTAGTTCTTATGTTGCATTTCCTGCAAAATCTCCCATGCGGTGGACTTATGAATCATGAAAAAAATTTGTCATATTTTACAAGGTCAGAGAGAAGTAAAGAAGAAAAGGCGATCCCATATTATGCAAGTGTCCTGTTGCTAAAGAAAACACTGCTCAGGGCAGACTTACACAAAGTGGTAGATTCTGATACTGGGTTTTCAAATCCTGATAATTGGAGCCATTCAGTCAGTCTCTGTGCCTGATCCTGAAGAAAAAGAACCTGAGACGAAAAGCAAGAAGATGAGAAAATGTTAAGACAATAAAAAACATTTGGCAAATGCAATTGGCAGTAGACTCAACATACATTCTCTTGAGGCAAAGCTTTAATGAAGCAGCTCAAAAGTAGCAGAATATTGTTTGGAACACCAATTTCCAGGTCACCTACCTTCTCCAAGACTTTCTGTTGCTAAGATGATGATGTCTTTTGTTACTATAATTTAACAAAGTTTTCCAGTATCAAAAAGTTTTAGCAATTTGCCTTTCTGCAGTGCAGGAAAAAGAAAAGCTGTAGGATGTGCAATGTTTATTCAATTGCCTTGTTGTTTTATTGCTCTTCTTTCTGGAATAGTATTTTGGGTTTGCAAATGTAGAAAAACCTATATTTTCCTGGTATAGACCTGTGAGGACAGGTCTACCATATAAGCCAATAGACAGACATATCAAGCAAGCTGATAGTTCATCTTGCTGTAATTAACCAGATATAGTTTATGGAAGTGATTTAAGCCTAAAATTCACAAACAACCTCATGAAATTTTCAGAACCAATGTTTGCTTTTGGGGTTAGCCTCAAAACCTTTAAGAGCTTCCACTTCACAGCCAAATGCTAAAGCACAATAGTCATGGGAATAAGGCAAGGGAGATTAAATGATCAGTAAATGAGGAAGAAACAACAGAGAAAAATAGAGAAAGAGAAAGCAGTGATGTAGCAATAAGGAGAGGCTTACATGCCTAGTTCACTTATTATGAGACAATTCATCTTCTACAATAATAAAAAATGATTGTAGCCTTCCAAGAAAAGTTGCTTCTTCAAAATGAGTAGGTTCTAAGCATGTTTGGTAATTTAATTTCAAATAGATGTGTTGGTATAATTTGGGGTTTTAAGGCACTAGCCCTCAATATTTAGATCTTGGTCTCCAGAAATAAATTATCGTGACAACTAACATGAAGGCCAATGTATACTGGCCCCAATTATTGGAATGGTATGGATGAATGTGTATTTTTAAACTCAATTATCCAGGTAACTTGCACATAAATATACCAAACCAAAGACCACAGGGTGGGATACTGCCTCAACTTCATTTTAGTACAGATTGTTTTCTCCTTTGAACCACTAATCAACTTTACTATGTGCAGTTTCTACAATATAAGGCTATTTTCCTCAACATCTTAGCATCATAGTATCCTCTCATCAGAATATTGGTTAGGTTCCCTAGTGTGAATCACTTATCCAGTTGCTTGCCTGATTATTCGCATGTTTTTGAGATTTGTGAAATGTAGCAGATAAACAGGTTTATGCTGTGTGCATCTTGGAGGGCAGCCAATGTCTGTCTGCCTATACAGTATATTTACTCTCCCTCCTCAAATCTCTCTCCCATACAGAGAAGCTGTATTTTAAGACTAAAATCAGTGTAGAATGCAATCCAGTAATGTCACTGCAGAAAACAGCAGGTGCTCATCCACTCATTTGCAGTGATTCTTGCAGTGAAGAAAGTGAATCAATGATTCATCTAATGGACAAAGAAACGCCACAGTGAACATTTGGAAAAACCAAATGAGAGAAAGGAACATTCTTTTATAAAGGTGGGCTCTGATTTTGGAAAGCAAAACCTCCCACATGAAAATCAGGAATTTTGTTGTGTTCTGGTTGTAACTGCAGTAAGCAATGGCTTGTTCCCTCTCTCCCTGCTTCCTCTGTTTTATTGCTTTTGTGTTGCACTTCTAAAATAAATATCAATAAATCATTGCAGTTAGATACTCTAATATAGACAGAAATGTACTTGACTCCCTACAGTCATTACAATTGGAGGGGACTCTGATTAGGATGCTTTACTTAATTAAGTGATATCGTCTAAAGAGAGTTCTTCCCTCCATTTTCTGTTTAACAGTCTTACAAAACACCAACAGAGGAAATTCATTCTGTTGTTTGCTTTTCTTATTGTAAATGGTTTCTCCTCATTCATATTTTGCAGAAGATGATGTCGTGTTAATGAAATGGCTAATAAGCCAAAGACTGTGGTTCAGCTACACACAGAGTCTTGTTCAAATCAGCCCAGGCTACATAGACTGAAAACATTTTCACCCCATCTCAAAAATGTATTTTTAAATTTATTTTTACAACATCTGTAACCTAAAATTAAGAAGATCCAAAAGAAAGTCTTTTCTGAAAAGTCACATTTCACCTACTTTATGTATGGTTCAGCGGAGACCTTAAAAATCTGTTTCTTTGAGAAAACAGAAAAAAATGGACAAAGAATAAGCAATCCTTATGCATTAAATGTTATTTGTGAGGCATTTTGATTTTACTGAAAGAAGTCATTAAATTTGGATTGCCAATACAAATATGATTATATATGTTTTCTAAATAAAATGTTATTATGTTGTAACTGAACTCATCCATTTATTGTTTGTTTACCTAGTGCTCAAATGCATGTTTTATTCATAGATGTCTGGGAGAAAAAAATTTGCTTGATAATCACACCAAGCATATTTAACAAAAGCGATTCTCCTTTTATTAGTGAACAGGTTTAAGCAGAATGATTTCATTTTTTTCCCCATTTAGTTAATTCAGACTTGCAGGATCCTTAGCTTACAGCTTTTGTTTCTCCTCCCGCTGCCTTTTATGCCTTTAATGTATGCATGCCTATCCACTGATGGGAAAATATCATTTCCTGAAACTCTTCCTTTTTTCCTTCTTGACTACTCTCTCCGTTGATCTCTAGCTTTGGTTAGTTTTCACTAGTTAGTTCTGTCAAATCACTGTATGTACAAGACAGATAAATTGAAGCCAAGCAAATAGTTAATTATCCTGTTGAAAAATTTAAACTCTCTTTCCTTAGAGTGAATTGGAATTCTAATTTGCTCATTCCTTTAACAAACAAATAATATATTTATATATTTAAAGCAATTAAAAAGTGTATAGGACAGAAAGTCATAAAGTGAAGATTTATTAATATCTATGAAATTTTTATTACCAGAACATTTTAACAAAATATTTGCAACTTTAACAAATTAACAATTGCCTTGTATTGAATTTAGCAACTTTATTTCTGTCTATTAAAAAGCAACATTAAATGTAAACACTCTCTTAAATGAACTCAACCAGCTTACAATAGATTATTTTCACCTTAATACAACATGCAGCTAAAAGCAATTAATAAACTGTAAAATTTAAATGCATGTCTCAAGATATAAAAGTGAATATTCATGAATCAGATGCAAGGGGTTTATAATTAATTGCTAAATTATTAAAAGAACATTTTATAACAGCTAGAAATCTGAATTATTTGAATTATTTAATAGCTTGGTCATTTATCAAACAAAATAATAATAGCAACAATAATACATAATTGCCAAATGAGTTAATTAATGTTGTTTGACTCTAAGATTTTGTCTTGTCTTGTTTTAACTGCGTACCATCCTGCTTAAAAATGTTTCCTTAAGCTGGATACACTCCGAAGTTACATAATTTTTCTTAATCTGGAAGTTAAGAAAATCACAGAAGAATAGTAAAACAATGTGCCTGCTCAACATGTTACCCAAAGTGAATTCCAGAAGTTGTTCATAATTGCTTTTATTATTTTTAAAAGATGTCCTTTATTAAAAATTAGCCTCATCTTAGTTTTAAAGTTCGTTCAATGTTAGTTTTTTCCCCCTGGTTTTGTAATCTAGATAATTTTAACAACTAAAAGCTTAGTTAGCCTACTCTCTGTTAAGCAAACTTCTTTATAGATTTTCTTTAAGCTTTTCATTTTAAAAGGTGCCTTTGTCCTGAAACTAAACATATGACACTCCTGTCCCCTAAGAAAATTTTTGAGAAATTGAATAACAGCAAGTAAATCCGATAGAGAATTTTTATCCCATTCCTGCTGTTTACTTATTTTAAAATAATTGTTTAAAGATGAAGAATGTGTCTTTTTTCTTAAGTCTTTAAAAAGAATGAGAATTGTGTCTAATAAACCACTACTGAAGTTAGAATAGCCACTGAATTATTATCTGGCAGAAGAATGTGAGTTCTATTTTGCCTGAACCAATTATCTTTATCAAATGACTTTTCTACCTAAATTGTTTGCTTAAGATATTATAGATATGCAGAGTTATTGTAATATGCATTTTTAGGCCATTATTATTTAAATTCCTATAAATCAAACTAGATGTAACAGAGCCAATTTCAGGTTATTTGTTGAAACTGCTTTTCTTTGGAGCAGTTAACATTTGGAGCTAATGCTTCAATCCTAACAGGCAAATATATCAAATGTTTAAAATATAAACACAAATATTATTGCCTTTAATAGGCTATTTAGTAAGAAAAAGATTTACATCCTAACATGGGCTTTTTTCTGTGTTTGTAAGATGAGTGCTCTAAATAAAGTATTTGTCATCAAAGCTGTCTGTGTAAATTAGTAGAAAGAGTAACTTTCCTAAAGAGAACCTAGCTAAGAGACACCTCTTGCAATGGAAGTAGATCAAATCTGTTCAAAGAAAAGGTCAAAGAAAATTTATTGCTAGTGTGAAGACAGTTTCTTGAAACTATTTTTTTTCTACAGAAACCGAGTATTCAAGAAAGACAATATTTAGCAATGGGCTTTTGAGGGTTGGGAGGAGAAAAACATCTTGTGTGATGTAAAGGGAGAAAACATACAGACCACAACGAAATAAACAAACATTTTCTTTTGGCAAGAGATGACTGCAGAGTTGAAAGAGTAAATTACTTCCATCAGCGAGTTGTACCTTATAAATTTAGGAGAATGGATCATCAACTCATTTGGAGGACAATTCTCTTTTTAATAGCAACAGTTTCACAGCTAGTTTTGTCTCTAAAAAGGATACCTGCTAGACATCCATAAATTAGCTTTTAAGAGGAAGCAAAACTTGATGACAAACTATTGTCAAGTTGTATATATTTCTGATTCAAGTTAAACATATTTTTAACAAACTGTCTTATGAATCTGTTTTGAAGCACTTCAGCGGCCCAGAGGGAGCTCTACCTTTAATATACAGACAAGGTAACAAAGACTGTCAAAAAAAGGAAAAAAAAAAAGTAAGATGCAGGGAAGAAAAAAAAGGAAACAAATGTCTATAAGGAACAAATTACAAACTTAACAAAAATATGACAAAAGCAATATAATATTTTCTCCTAGTAGAACAATTAGTGAGTATAATAAATGAAACTAAAGCAAAACTTTTCTGGGTTGAACCAGGCATTGAATGAATTGTAGAAACAGAATAGTGTTAAATATTGTATATTCGTTTAAAACATTTATGACGTAGGTGTTAATGCAGTTAATTTAGTTCAGTGTTCTGTTAATATGAAAACTGCTATAATGTAGTACTTCGTTATTTATAGTGTACTAATTAATCATTCATAATATAATGGTTTACCCAGGAAAAGCTCAGTTATCTTTCACAAGTACGACAGCCATATATAAAACATGTAATAATTCAAATTCATGCCCTTAATATTATTCTTAAAAATCAGTATTCTTCTCAGGTTCAAATACAGATAAAATTAAAACAAAACAAAAAAAGGTAACTAAGATTGTCCCCCTTAAAGTGCAAGTAGAACAGCCTTTGGGGATTTTCAAGATCTTATTTTCATAACAGTAACTTGAAAATAATTATTAGAAAGCACTGTTAAAAAGCATCATATATTTTTGATGAGTCAAATATTTATTTCCAGTCCTTTTTGCATCAAGACTGTGGGAAATGTGTATTATGAAGATCAGATGGTGCACTGATGTGAGAAATGTTGCAAAGCATCCTGTTGATTTGTTCTAATTAACTGCAATGCTCTTGTGTTCTCAGTTTTAGCCGGCATACACCACACAATGCCTTTTATTTTGCTTTGAATGGATTTTTACTTAAAAACAGCTGATCTCAGTAACCACAGTATTTGGGGATTTTTTATTTTTGTGAATTTCCCTGCAATGTTTTCTTTTCAATTTTAAAAGAAAAATTTGAAAATATTTCTAAATCATAAAGTATAACCAGTTAAATTACCAGCAATCATGTGGTCTTCCACATGTATTTTGCATGTTCTGTAGTATGTGACTATATTCTCAAACTACATTTCAATTCCTCTTTAAAAGTTATATATCTGAGCAGTGGTTTAAGCAGAAAATTCTGAAAAGCAATTTAGAACACACCGCTAATTTTTTATTTTTGTAATCAGACTGTTAAGTAGAACAGAGCTAAAACCTGGGACCATGAGCAAGGAATGAGAAGGATTCCAGAATAAAAGTATCAAATAAAATTCTTTGCACTCACCTTTCTCTGATGATTTAAACTCAAGCAGCTCTGACAGAGAGAAGTCATGAATTTTCATCAACTTCACACATGTCATACATTTAAAAACATTTTGATTTGCCCTGGGACCCCTGTATGTCTCTGAAGCATAGTAATAGTGCTGGGATGTTTTCTAGGTACAAACCCTATAAACTCCCAGGGCTCTAGAAGATACATTACTAATGTAAACAGGCCCTTAAGTGGAAAAAAAATTAAATAACAGGAAATTTCCAAAGAAATGCAGAATTTAAATGAAGGAGGCTATTTTTAGAAGCAGCACCCTTTCTATGATTTTAATGGTCACAATTGTATCCACACACTAGCTTTTGGAGAACATGCAGTTATTTGTCTCGAGAAATAGAATCATTTTGGACAGGAAAATCTATAATCTAAAAATTAGAGCTAAATCATTCATTAGCCTAGTAGACCTTAAAAGTGATTAAATAGTCTTCTTTTTGTTCGTGTAAGGATAAAATGTGACTCGTGAGCAGTCCAGCGTTTCAAAATGGCTACCAACATCCTTACTCTTTCCAGGAGAAAGGCTAACTGTATAAAGTGGAGTAGAGTCAACATAGAGTTTTACCCCACGTAACACCTCTAAAGGTTATCTTCCAAATATTTGTCCCTCTTAAAATTGTAAAAAAAAAAAAAAAAAAAAAAAAAAAAAAAAATCATTAAGATGGGGTAAGAAATAAACATTAGGAGAGATTAATAAGTGCAAACAAAGCTGCCAATATAAAATGATATAAATAAAGTGCCATTACAAATAATTTACATTGTGCCCCTCATTTTACAACCGAGGAAACGGAGGCTAAAAGAGGTAAAGTGACTTTCCCAAGGTCTTACAAAGACGAAGGTGTAAAGTTAAACTACAGGCAAGTCTCTTGAGTGCTGGCAATACCCTTTCTACAATACTACACAGTCTTTCTTTTGTTAAACGCAGTAACAAAAATGTCCTCAGGTGGGTGTCAGTCATATAGTTAAGCAAAACAAAGTATGTATGTAAAAGGTATGTGCAGGTCTTACCAAATTAATTGGCCATCTTTACACAGTGTAAAGTCTTTTTCTTTAAAAAGATGTTTCTTTGGAGAATATCTTTATGCCTTCATTCTTGCCAGGCTTTGAGGATTTGTATCTATTTAATGAAAGGTGGTTCTCTTTAGCACACTTACACCAAGCATGCAGGTGAAAACCATCACCATATAGTCTCACTGTCACTAGTTTGCCCCTATTTCCATTCCATTCTTCACTCTGCTGACTGCCTGGCCTTTCTAAAATGCACATCTGATGATGTTTGAGTTTTTTTCAATGGCTTTCCATGTGCTACATAAGGTAAAATCTACACTTCTTAGGCTGGCATTCAGGGGTCTTTGAAATGTTTAGCCTGTACCACCCCTTCAGTTTCACTTCTAACACTCTCCTCACATTTTATATTCTGGCAATGCAAGCTAGGAATGATTCCCTGAACATGATATGCCTCCTCATTGCCCCTGGGCCTTTGTGCATGCTGTTCCCTCCACCTGCAATGCCTGATAAAATCCTACTCCTCCTTGAAGAGTGAGCTCAAGCACCACCTTTTCTCCTCCTGCCAAATATAAATACTTCTGGGATTCCACGGCATCTTGCACAGACCTCACGTTGCTCCACCCATTGCATTGAACTGTAAATGTCTATTTACATGCCTATCTCTCCACACACATTATCTTTGAGGTTAAAGACATATCTTTCCCTCCATGCCTAGTACTTTGCCTGGTGTAAACATTGAGTGGATGTTTACTGACTAAATAAATGAATCAATGTAAAGAGACCACCAATTTTGTTTTGTTATTACAAAATCTGTAAGCCTTGGGGTGACATCCCTCAGTTCTTTTTTATAATATCTAAAGTGAGTGCACATGACAAAAGAATATTTTTACCAACCTCTTTTTAAGGTTTCTATTATATTAACTGTTGCCTACAAGTACAATTTTTAAATCACTCTTGCTTTATAGTGAATTGACTTGACTTTGGCATCAAATTGGTAGCGAAATATAAATTGGTATCTTCATGTGAATGAAGAGGAGAATTCTCAGGTAAACAGTGGGCCACTGCTGTTGCAGATGTTGGTAAAGAGAATTGCCTTTTACGGCTCCATTTCTTATTAGGAACACAAGTTACAGGATAACCTGCAACCCATTAAGACTGTAAATGCATATTTGGGTATAAACATGAAGTGGTATCAGAATTTTTATGCCAAGTGAGTGCTTTAAAAGAGAATTTTTTTTTTTTATTAGAGGCGGGGTCCCAGGCTACCGTGCATTGGCGATTCACAGGTGTGATCACAGTGCACTGCAGACTTGAACTCCTAGGCTCAAACAATCCTCCTGCCTCGTCTCAGCCTCCCAAGTGCCTGGGACTACAGGTGTGTGCCACCATGACTGGCTGAGAATTTTTTGTTTTAAACTAGTGGAACTTAGATTTCAGATTTAGCTTATTTGAGGTTCAATTGCTGTTTGACTCTGTCCAGTCTTCTGCATTTTGCTGAACAGGCACTGCCAATGATGCAAATGTCTTCTAAAGGAGCCTGCTCAGCTGAAGCCAGGGATGCCCTTGATACAAAAACACACTTTCCACTTGCAATGATACCCTCATATTTACTGGTAAAATAATTCACATTTAAAATTAAAAAGATTTTGCCAGCATATTCTTCCCCTAACATGTAGATAATCTTGAGCCAGGCCCCCAAGTCAATGAAGAGATGCTTCAGTTGTTTGGGTTACTATAAGGCACAGGGCATCTCAATCCAGAAGCCACTTCCAATCTTATGATTCTCCCCGCCTGACTCCATGCCATTGGCTCCATTGTGCCCCAAGGCTATAGCCCCAACTCACATGTGAGGAATGTTCACCAAGGGACAGCAATTAGGAGGACAGTAATAGTAGACATTGCTCTTGTGTAATGGGTTCCCCTTGGTCATCAGATCACCTCTACAGAGCAGCCCTGTGTGGCATTATCATTAACAATCAACGCTGGTTTTTAAATTCTTTTCTGGTAGATAAAAAGAAATTGTCAATTCCCACCTCTACTCCTTATAGAATGATCATTTGTGAACCCCTCATCATTTTAGAAGATGGTTACCCTTTAGAATCTTAAAAGTCTTGAATGGTGGGTGTGTTAGGAAAGTTTAAGTCTGGAATGTAGAAAGAGATGAACTCTAAGGATTTTCTAAGTTATTAATTGTTAGAATTCATTTTGTGTTGTATCTGGGATTTTGTTTGTTTTAAACAGTACAGCATCACCTCACATAGTTTTAATTTATGTAGCCAGGGAAATATAAAAGACACTTCTTTTACTAACTAACAAAGAATTGTCCCTCTTTTCTGTCATTTTTGAATCAAACTGACCTAGACTTTTAATAATTTTTGTTTACATAAAAAGAAGAAAAATGCTAATAATACTTCCTTACTTTTATATTTTGCATATCGGAAAGGATTACAACAAGAGAAGTACTGAAAAATGTTTTCTAAATTCATTGATTCAGAAAATATTTACTGAGCAAATATTATGTACCAGGCTCTATAACAAGGTACTAACAGCAGATTTACAGCAGATAAAGAGAGAAAGAATATGGTTGTTTACAGCTCTAAATTTAAGAATGTAAAATGTGACCACCTATCAAATCACATAGTCTTGGAATTTCCTTCTGTGTACTTGCTCTCTGCTCTCTTAAAAGAAAAAACTTTATTCTTATTCATTAGGATAAGTTTCAACTTTATAACTTAGTAAGAAAAAGTATATCTATGTCTCCAACTCAGGTGGGGCCATTTGAAGTTCTTCATAAATGTATAAAAAGACAAGGGCTTTGGTTTTCTTGTAGGTCTGAAATGAATCCATTACATTAAAATGACTTTTAGTAACAAGAGCAAGTAATGATTTGTATTATAAGTTAATAAAATGGGGGTTTAGGCATATTTGTACAATAAGGTCTTTTTAAATTCACTTGTATAGACATTCCCTCTCACTCCTGCTTAAATGAACTTGGAAGATTGTTCATCATTCAGTATTGTTTAAATTACAAGGCACAAATCTGTCATCTGATTTTAAAATATTTTTCTCCCTTGGTAATGTAGATGACTAATGTCTATCTTTATTCTTCAAGGAATATGATAATGTGATAACATAATTTGGGGAAAATTAGTTTTTTAATATCTCACATCTAAAGACCCCTTGGCATATTAGAAAATATATTATTCTTCTAAAAATACATTTTGCTAGCCCTCCTGGCCACTCATACTTCGATAAACTGTGCCTTTCTTTTCTGTTCAAAAAGTGCCACAAGGCCTCTCATACAAGCCAGTCCCTTTCACTGATGAAACCAGCCTACTTTCCATGGTATCTAATAATAAATGTTACGGCTTTGCCTTTAGTGATGGTAGTTCATTTTAGATCCCCAAACCACTTCCAATGTAAGAGTATGAGAAAAGAGCCTATCTACCAACAAAGGGAACCCAGGATGCCTTGTCTCAGCCTTACAATTCTTTTATGTTACATTCCCAGATTTTACGTCCTCAAGAACACAACACTAATATTTGAGAGAGATGTGTTTTGCTTTTACAATGCCCCTGTATGCAAGATACCTGCTTGTTTTAATTTGAAGAAGAAAAAAACTATGTTTATCTAATTTCAATTTCACATTACTCTGAAAATTGAGTACCTAAATCTTATCCATGTAGTAATAATTTCTCTATTGGAGTAATTGTTAAAAGCCAGAAGTTTGCTCTGTCGAAAAAAAGTGATAGTCCTCCAAATTTCATTGAAAGCTCTTGATTTTTTCCCCTTATTATTGTCTGATAAGGGAAACTCTTCCTGATTTTTGTTCCCTATTAGTAATGAGAATCCCACTTCTATTTGTGACGGTTTTCAAAACTAGAACTATCAAGTAATGCGCTTAAACTTACTTTCCAAGGAAACTGAGTGAGAGCTCCTATACCTAAGTCACCTCTTATCATTCCCCTCCTTGCCCTTCCCAGAATGAATTCCCCCAGTGATTTATTATATGAGATAGCCGACTTAGAGATGGGGCTGACTGGTGGACCTGCCCACTGCCACTGAAGTTTTCCTCATACACTTTACATGCTCCCACAGGATTTCATGAGTGATTCACTCCTCTCCATGTCTCCTGGCAGCTAAATGGGAATATTGGAGAGCTGCCAGAGGGGTAGGTAGCCAACCTGCTTGCCCTTAATTGTGCCTGCCAGCTTTTTAATAACAGAAGTAGGGTCAAGTAAGTGAAATCATGAACTGAGGAGAGTATTCTGAGAATGCAAAGGCAGTTAATGTCCTTCCAAGCCTCAGATGGCTGGCAACCCTTGGCAGAGTAATCTATGATTTGTGGCACCTGACCCTTCCACTGTGACTGTTATCTGTGTATTCACTAGAAACATATTTACAGAATCTCTCCATTAGCAAAGATGCCTTGTGTGTGATTACCCAATTGTCATGGTCACACTAGGGTTTTGATACAGTTCCTATTCACAAATGAAAAACTGCACTAAACTACACACAGAATTGGTTTGAAGCAGGAATCCTCAATCAAGAGACCAAGACTTCTGGTAAATCTCAAAGAGATTATTACACCACGGCCTTGCTCCCCTTCCTCTCTAAAACTCCTTTCCCACCTCCCCACCACCCAATCTCAAAACAGAGGCTCTCTCACTTATTCCCTTGAATTCTTAAAGATTCTTAATAAAGTTAAGAGTAACTAGCTATAAGAATGACCTAAAGAGGTGGGTCTGTTTTTAAGCAGACTGCACCTCAGAAACTATTGGAAGAGAGGGCTCCCTGCTTAAACCAGTTTCTATGGCTCTGCATTTACATAATACTAAGTCTCAGCAAAGTGTTTCCTCCTCAAATTTTTTTAGTCAGGAATACAGATAGAGATAGGTTGTAGGCTGACTTTATTCTTACGGAATTAAACACAATAATTTTTTTAAAATATCTTCTTTGAGGCAAGTGACCACGAGAGCACCTGTTATTTAAAAGTTTATTGGGTAGTTTAAAAAGCGGTGTCTCCCTCTTCCCCCTTCAAAAATAAATGGCATTGAAGTCCTCCGTTTCTCTTGTTTAGATCCTGCGGTTGGCTCGCTCATGAATATTAACTGAGAAAGGTGAAGCAGTAATTTAGGGAATCGAATCAAACTCACTAGGAGCAAAGAAGTGGTCCTGAATCAAAATGGAATAAACGATAACCCAGAGTCATTGTCAAGTCTCCCAAATGAAGAGATGTTCTGGGTAAATAAAAGTGACAAAGTCGTACCACATAAACAAATGTAGAAGATAGATGCCCCAGATCAAGAAATACTACTAAAGTGACCTGACTTGACAGTAATTGCAGGCAGCTTTTGAGAACTGCATCGGGGTTAAACGGCAGAGATCCTGACGACCTGGGCGACCGTCCCTGCGCAGCCCGGCGGGAGGCTGCGCCCAGAATCCTGGGCTTTGGGCCTCTGGGGCCCGGCGAGGAGATGAAGAAGTCAAGCCTCGAGCTCTCCGGAGGTTCGATGGCCGCCGGGCCAGTGCGGGCTCAGAGGAAGACCCTGCAAAAAAGAGCGCTCGCCCCCACCCCTGGAGCCGACCCTGCGCAGTAGGGCCGCAGCCGGTCCCCGCGGGCAGCTCAGCGGGCGCGGGCGGGAGGCTCCCGGAACGCAGGCTGAGGTCAGGCTGACCACGCCGCCTCCTCAGTCGCCGTATCGCGGGGCTGGCGGCCAGCGCCTTAGAAGAGCCTGCTCCGCCGCAGGAAGAAAGACGCCCGACAGGCGCCCACTGCCCGAACCCACGCGGGGGCCAGTCAGCCAGCGGGCCGTGTTGGGAAAGCTCCGCGCGGCGGCGGGACATAGGATCCCCATCGGGGACCTGGGCGACGGCCTGAGCTTGGGCGCCCCTCCAGCTGGGCGTCATCTCCACACAGTTCTTCCCTTGCGCCGCGAATTCAGCCCCTGTGAAGACGCTTTGGGCATTGGCGAGCAACAGGGGAAAAAACGAGTCACTTAAATGGGAGAAGGAAGGGGATGGTCATGAGGACTTGGAGGAAACCACACGGAAAAGAAATCCTCATCACTACCAAAAGCATTTCTAAGAAGTCCTAAGGTTTTATGCCTGGAGATTTCACTTTAAAAGCTGGAAAAAAATTATTCCACTGCTTTTAATTGAAGTAAACAAAGTGCAACAAATCCTAACTCAAATATGATTGCAGGGAGATTAGGGTCTAATTGCTTAGGGTTCAGGTGGAATCTGTGGGCTAAATCCTACAGGGCCAATCTGAATTTCACAATCATTCTGTCAAAAGGAGAGCGATGAGAGCCCACACGCTTCCTAACAAGTCATTTTTAACAGTTACAAGCTTCGCACAAAGACCACACAGGGCGTCTAAGAGATGCAAATCTAATCCCTGGTCATTCTACAGGCCTTCAACAAAGATGTGCTAAACCCTAATAGAAAAGAAATCAGTTCTCTGTCACCAGCCCCTGGTAAAATCTATTAGAGAATGGACAGAGCCGCATCTACAGCAGTTGCTGCAAAGGTTAAGGACAAGTACAAATAAGAGGGACCCAGTTTTGTTTTCCGTGTGAAATATCGGGAGAAGCTAACCCCCAAAGAGTGACGGGATTCAATCCGTGGCTTCGCATTCATTTGAATGCTAGAAAAAATAAACACACATTAAGACTTTTGAAGGCTCCATTTCTGAATTCAAGAGAGATGAAACAAATTCGCCCAAAAGATAGAAATCTTTGCCTCGGAAATTATCGGAGAATATTAACGGAGAGGGAGGGGAGCGCGCGGGTCGCCGAGGAAGGACGCGGGTACGGCCCCTTGCTTTGGGGTGGCAGAGCCGGGCTCAGGAGCCAGCCAAGCTGACTTCGCGAGGTGGCGCCTGGGCCTTTCGGGGGAAAGCCCCGACGGCGGAGCCGCGGCTGGGCGGGGACTCAAATGCTGGCGGCCTCTGGGCTGGGGCCGAGCAGGGGGTGCCGACCGCGGGAAGTCTGGGCGGCCGCCCTCCCACCCAGACGAGCCGATGCTGGGCCGCGGTCCCTCTCAGCTACCTCGCTTGCCCGCCTCGGGGCCCCTGGAGAGGGGTCTGTGCCTCCCAGGCAGGGAAGCGTCTTGATGTGCACCCCGGCGTTCACCAACCAAATAAGGGCCTCGCTCACACAGTCGATGTCATGCTGGGTATTAAAAGGGTTGTGCTGCAGCTAAAATATCTCACAGTGTGTGTGAACCTCATAAAAGGGAGGACCCGGATTCCAAGCCCCTCGAAGTCCCCAAGCAGCCTGGAGGGTGGGGGACTCCCCTCTCCTTCTCTCCACACTGAGCCCCCGGGCAAGCCCAGGCCTCCTCCTGCGCCGGGGTCCCCGGGCTCCGAAACTGCGAGAGCCCTGCGGAGCCCGGCCAGAGGGGCAGAGGGTGGGGGCTGGGGGCGGGGACCTGGGGGGTGCAGCCCAGCCAGAACCCGCGGCCTAGCCTGATCGCGGGGAGCCGGGATCCGCCTTCCATCCTGGGAAACGACTCGGGTTAGGGAAGCGGGATGGGCTCCGCTCGGAGTTCCCAGGCAGCTGGGGCGCCCTCCAAGTGACGCCTTTGTCCAGGCTGCGCTCGCGGAGAATAAAGGGGGCGCTGTCCAACCTCAGGTTCGGGGAAAACCAAGGAACCAAGGGACTCTTTTTCTAAAATGCCCTCTCCAAACTACAGGGAGGAGGAATGGGACACGTGTGCAGAAAAAGAGTTTTGCCTGTCTCCACAGAAGTTTCTAGAAGCTATTTCCCCTCCCCTTGGCCTTGCCCTCTGCCCCCAGGTTCCCTTGAATATGTTCCTCCACGGGGTACAGAACCCGGAGCGATCCAGGATGGAGGAGCAGGCTGGAGTTCGGCTGGCGAACTCCCAGTCCTGACCCCTGGGCTCCACAGTCTTTCAATTTGCTCTGGCAGGACAGTCCCCCTTCTTAAAGCCCGGAAGAAGGGAAGGCAAGCTTTGCTAGTTTTTGCCCCTCAGCTCAGAGACAGACTGCCATACACACATCTGCTTCCCCCTTATCCCTCTCTATGCCCCTCCAGGGGAGGCATATGCCTTGGGTCCCGGCTGTACTCCCTCCTCCCCATCTACTGACATTAATTGATTTTCTCCAGGCTGCGGCTTCTCTTTGCTTCTATCGTTTTTCTCCCTAGTCCTTTGATAGGCTGACCTTGGCTCTTCTCTGGTCTTCTTACTCCCCAACTGGTCTCCCATATGGACCTTACTGGCTTTCATTCTTTATTACTTAGCCTATCCACTTTCTCTACTTTTCCTTTTAGTACTGACATTAGGATAAACAATACCGAATTGCCTATAAAGTAGGATTGCAGCCATGACTGGAGTTGGACAAGAAAGCAAAGAAAACATCGGCATTGGAATAAAGAAATGGAAAATGGGGAAGGATGAAGAAACAGAAGAAAAGTAGATAATAAAGTCACACCAGGTTGTAAATACAAGAATAAGATGCTTGATGTTCCTGCACATGATCTTGGGGTCCTAATGAGGGTCTCACATACCTACACTGGGGAGGCAGGAGGGGTCTCCCTGAGGAGGGCAGGGTGAAGTTTCTTCTCCCTGACTGGGATTGCACCTGAAGACTTGGGCTAGCGAGCCGCTGTATATCCTGGATCCGGGAAGGTGTGAAGGGATCAACCACCACTTCTAGAAATAGTCATGTGGGCAATATATCTCTATGGGGTTTTCAGATGGCTGCAACTTCCTACCCTGGATCTCTGCTGCTCTTGGGCACCACATTCCTGTCCACCCAGCCAAGCCTGGTCTGAGGCTGTGTCCTTAGTCAGGGGAGCCTGTTTCCCTTTCCCCTGGCAGACTAGGTCCTGTGGGTCCCAGCGTCCTCTTCACCTCCTGCCAGTTGTAGGAGTTCTGTCCTCCCATTTTGCGGAACCAGGGAGCCTGTGGGAGGCCTTACCTCCACTGCCAGCCCCACCTCACCCCAGGGCAGATTAGTGCCTCTGAGCCACTCAATTATCCGCAGGATGGGTGGGGGGGGGGCGGGGAGGGGAATCTAGAATTTATAGCTGGGGGTGGAAGGCGCAGTGAGGGAGGTACAGGGAGGAAGAGTGAAATATTTAGATCTTTGGGGTTCCTGCCATTTGGCCCCTATTAAAGAGAACCCTGGGGCTTTTAGAATGAGTTTTGCATGAAATTGAACAAGCAGGGCCATGAGCTGTACAGAATCCCACCTCCACCCCCCAACATACACACACCTTATTTATTGGTTCTTCTGAGATCTTCCCAGACGCAAAAACTCTTTACAAGGATATCAAAAAATACAACACCTGCCTACGAGGCACCACTTTGAGGAAGCTAATAAATTACCCCCCTTTGAAACAAAAATGGAATCAGCATTAAGCACATACTATTATTAGGTTGAGTTTCAGTCTCCTAGAAAATTCGTTAGATGTTGATATCTGGGGAGAGAAGGAATCTCTCTTTTCCTTAAGAAAATTCACGAGGGAAACAGCAGTAGTTCGCTGGCTTTGTTTGGTTTCGTTTATTTGTACAAAGAAAGATTGTGCGTTAAGATCTTTTTTAAAAATCCCTGCAAGTTAGAGTTTGCATCATCGTCGTGACCTAGTGAACTAATATTTGTATATTCTGGGATCGAAATTCCGAGGAAGTTTCTGCTCTTCCGCACACCAGACTTGCCGGTGTGGTCTCCAGGAGGGGTTGGGGGCCGCGTCCTCAGGGGGCGCGCGGCCGAGGCTGTTCCCAGCGCGGGAACGGGAGGGAGAACCTGGGCAGGGGCGGGGCGGGGCGGGGCGCGGGGACCTGGGTACGCGGAGACGCGGGGCGGGCGGGGGCCGAGAGCGAGGCTGCCGGCTGGGTGTTGGGAGAGAGGCCGCGGGTGGACGGGGTAAGGACTGGGACTGGGGAGACTGAGAGCTGGGGGGTGCGGGGAGGATGAGGCTGCGGACAGGAAACGAAGGGCCTGGGACAGCTGCTTCTCTTGGTCCTAGAAACCAAACTTTCGTAGCGAGAGACCCTAAGACAGCTCGAGATTTCAAGTGTCCACACTTCTAGTTTAGACATTTGGCAACCAATTCGGAACAGCCGGGCCGCGAGGGGCCCCCAGGTCTTTGGCGGCGTCGTTGGGAGGCCGCGGAGTTGTCCCTGGGCTTCCCTGAAGGCCCCGCAGACTCCCCGCCAGTCCCGGCCACACCCAGCCAGGGCTTTGCAGCTCCAGCCTGAGAATGTTAGCCCCGGCAACCCCTTCTGGCGGTTGTTCCTTTAAAAACCAATTCATTTTTTCCATCAAGTCTTCTACCCAATGGGTAGACTCTTCGTTAAATGACTGTTAACCAGTACTGAGGAGAAGCACAATCAACATAGTTTCTCTGTCACCTTTCTTGCCGGTTTTTTCCTCCCAACCATGGAGTCTCCATTTTCTAAGCAATTAAATTATATATTCAACAGGAACATTCCATTTAAAATGGTTCGGGACAGAAGACTGATGCACAAGGTCTGAAGCTGGAAGAAAATATTTAGTGCTTGCCTACAGATTCTGTCACCCATCATCTGCTCGGAATGCGCTCCGTATCTTTCAGCGTGTCCGGCTCTTATGATTGCAAATGGCCCTGTTTTCAAATGGAAATAAGACTTGCAAACTGATTATGTGTATTGAATCAGAATCACTCGCTAGATCCTCTTGTTTAAAATGTATTGAAAAAAGGATGATGGGTGCAGACCTCTGTAACCAGCTCTGTCTCTTCTCTGGGAGGTCGATCTATTTTGCAACTTTTTGCCATTTGAGCGTGTTTCAGCCAGATAATTACGTTGCCATTGTGTTACCGGCCCAAAGCTCAGACAGGGTACACACACCACCACCCAGCCGTCTCCCAGGCCCTCCCCACTAGGATCACCCCCTAAACACCACAGGCACATGACACAGTCATCCACCACCATCCCCACCTCCCCATCACTGTGACCCAGCTATATATAACCAGCACTTCTCAGCTGCCACAACCGCCCTCAGAAGCCCACACACTTTCACCAGGAATAGTTGTTTCTGTTTTCTCCCAGTATCCTTTCCGGCCCCCTTTCTCTCTTCTGTCTTTCCAATGAGCAGAACCACATACACAACCCCCAAATAGCTTTCACAGGCACACCACCAATGCAATCTAAGTATTTAGCCATGTTGAGAATTTTCAACAACTAACTGTGTTGATGTGGCATTGTAATTGTTAGAAAATGGTTAATACAGGAAGGTTACTGTGAACATGTTTGTATGCTACCACATACCTCAAAGGGTTTCTCTTTCTCTTTACCCCTACCCAGTGCTAAATGATGGCCATGAGTGGGTTGGCTTTTTGTTAAATATTTCCAAAAACTTTTTCTGTTTGATTTCAGTACGAAGCCAATGGACTATGTAGATGTGTAGAGAGATGTCTGAGTTTTATCTATTGCGTGAGTTGTAGGTATGATACAATGCAGCACTTCCAAAGTTTACTGCACCCAGGTCGAGGCTCAGGAGTCCTGTCAGGGAACAGTGCTGCCAGGGAGTAGTAATCGACATTTCAGTTAATACTGCCAGGTCACAGGGCAGTAACGAACTAGCTACAATTTCTGTCTGCTGTGGCTTGAGGTAGGAATGTGTGCTGTGTGCACCACGGTGGTTTGACAGTTGCAATTCTTTCTGAAGTAGAATCAGAAGGGAAGGAAGAAGCTGCCACTGCCCAGCCCCCCAGGCCCTTAGTCCCACCCCAGGCCTTGCAGACCTTGAGGCACCATCAAGTGGCCAGGCAGAGAGAGAGATTTAATCCTCTGCGGCTTGAGTCTCCTCTAGAAGTCTGTCGCTGCAAGTCTGTTTAGAGACCTAATGCTCTGGAAGCGTCTGTTGGGACCATAACTTTGCGAGGTTCGCTTTACACATAGGCATATCCAGTTCCTTAGACATTGACTGGGTCTCCTGGGTTGCGGCAGAGCGTGCAGTCAGCTCAGAGGAACTAGCTCTCGGTCCTCTTAGTGTCATTATGGTAATTCACAGGTTTACTTCTGCGCGCGCGCACTCAGCCCCGTGTGTGCTGCTGAGATCAGGTAAATCAGTAGCACGCGGGCCAAATAAAGCCTTGTTTTCCTAGAGCTTTGGACTTTTAGAGCAGCAGCATTAGGAGGGAGAATGCTAGGCAAGGCAGACGCTAACCTGTTGTGGGTCATTTTCCATAGACTGGATCCAGAGCACAGGGACAGGGGAAGGATATCCAAAGATACTTGGTGGCCTGATAGCTCTGATTTTATATAAATGAATGATCAACAATCACCAATACTCTAGAAATAGAATGTTTGACACTCCACCAACAGTCTGCTGTTACTAGCAGCAAGATCTAACAATCAAAGACCGGATTCCCCAGAAATGTGTGAAATAGAGGGGAAAAGGGAGAAGAAAAAAAATTTGTCTTTTTCCTTGTTGTCAGACAACACTCAGACCTGCATTCTTATTTCCACTACTATGTGAAGGCTTAAAGTGTGAAATCAAGAGGACGTTTGCAACAAATGCGGAGCAGAAACAGTTTTCATTTGTTCGTTGCTGTTGTTGCCCCAGGGCGGTAGTATTTATACCAGTGATTTTTATAGATGGATAATAGAAGTTCGGCAAGGGACAATTTTTTTGTTGTTGTTATAGAATGTCTCAAAAAGTCTTATCCACAGCTGTGTCTCAGACACCAAGTTCAAATTATTTAGGAATAAATTTTAAAATTTCCTAAAACATAATTAGTTATCCAGAGTTTCACATGACAATAAATAAATATTCTGACTTAAAGTGGGTAAAACTAAAGGGTTTTGGTCTATTTGAATTTTTCAAGGAAACTTTTTCATGAGACACCTTAATTGAGGTAGTGAATTTATTCAATGTTCTTGCATCTAACAGGTTCTGTAAAATCTCTGAGAATTCTATATTACAGTTTTTGAATATCTTATAAAATAGATATATGTGTGTAAGATAGATACATATGTATATATACATGTGTATAAGAGATACATATGTATATATACATGTGTATAAGAGAGATACATATGTATATATACATGTGTATAAGAGAGATACATATGTATATATACATGTGTATAAGAGAGATACATATGTATATATACATGTGTATAAGAGAGATACATATGTATATATACATGTGTATAAGAGAGATACATATGTATATATACATGTGTATAAGAGAGACACATATGTATATATACCTCTATACACACATACATATATACATAGAAATCTGTGTGCAATCACTTACAAAGTAGGCAGAATCAGATGTGGATTTTAGGTGGGAGGCAAGAGTTTTCTTTAACAAGTCCTTTGCCTGCCACATTTATGTTATGTTTTATTTATATTTCAGGCAGAGCACTAACAGTGATCAATTTATGTTGAAGGGTCCTGCAAATAACAAAAATAGATAAAACAGGAAAATGAATTTAAATCTCACCCTTTCCAAAACTTTGCTACAACTCATAATAACAAGGGTAATAAATGCTTACGAAGCAGAGGTCAAACGGGAAACATTAGCAAACGAGGAGAGGCGCAGGAGCCCAGGATCATGCCTCGATGCCCACCAAGTTGGGCATTAGGTCACTATCAGAGAGAAATGCAGCCAGCCACTTCAGCTATGGCTTCAGCTGAGGCAAAAGCTGTGCTGCCAAGTTGCTGAACCTGCTCTTTCTCCGTTCCTTTGAGATTCATTAAAGAAAGTTCAGAAACACAACTACATGAGGTGAGGATAAGGGCATATGCAGACCCCCTTCAATAAAACTTACTTTCATCTACTCCCATCCATATCCAAATCCCTCAGCTTGGGTGGACAAACTTTCCAGAGAGGGTGACTGAAAATAAGATACTCCTTCTAGAAACAACTGGCCGAAGGGGCACCAGAAAACTTTCTATGCTCCAAGTTGAGGTAAGCTACCAAATTGGGCCCCACAGAGGGTGGCCTGAAGTCTCAGAAACACAGCTGCACAAGGAGGAACGCGTCAGCCAGAAGGCAGGGAGAGCCAGAGGAACATGGTGTCCAGCGTCTCCTAACCAGGATCTAGCCGAGCAGAGAAAACATTCAGCCTCCTCCCTCCCAATACCCGTGTCTGTCACTTTCTTTCCATTCAAAAAGAAAGTCCTAGTTGAACTAAACAAGCCAGTAACCCATGCCTAAGAATCATATCATCTCAGATTCTCATCTCCCAATGGGCTTTCTAGTTCTCCACAAATAAAATCGTCTACTCTGCTTCCTCGCGCTAATAATTGGGGGGTGGGGAGCAGGGAAGGGAGAGCGATGTCTGGAGACATATGATCAGAATTCAAGGCAGCTTCTCACAACTCTCTTGTTTATAGAAAATGAATGTCTGCCTGGCTTGCTTTTAGTTCAGAAAAGGGGTCAGTCTTTATCAGCACGGTTCACACAGATCCTGGATTTTTTTTCCCTTATCTTAAATTGACCCGCTTTTAAGATAAAGACATAATAGAGAAAGCATTGACCTTACCTGGTCCCTAATGAGTTGGAAGTCAGAAAACCCGGCTCTCATTTCCTCTTATCTGGATCGCCTGAGAAGAGACTCGCGCTACCTTTTGTGCACTCGCGCCTCGAGATAGCCCCTCACTGACGCCTGGACGCGGTGAGCGCGCTGAAGGCTGTGCGGCCTCTAAAGTCTCAGAATTCCTCCCTGCGGCCTCAAAATTGGAGAGTTGGATTCCAGACCAAGACACTGTCACTAGAGCTCCCTAGCCCTGGCCCAGGAAGATTTAAAATCCCTTAAAATCCCTTAGACTTGCTCCCGAGCAAGTCTTTCCCTATGAAAGGCCAAACTCTAAGCTTCGTGAAGAAGCCTCCTACAAGGACACTGGTCTGGAGCGCCCGGGCCTCCGCGTCTCCAGGAGTGCGCGCCCAGAGCGTTTCTAGCGGAGACTGCCCAGGCCTGGCTCGGATTTCAGTCGCGGGGCCCCAGGCTACTTCCCACCGGGCCAGCAGCAGGGCCGAGCCGCTGCCCTGTTGGCTGAGGCATTCCCTGCCCCCACCCCCCTCCTGGCCTTGAGGACCGCAGTGTGTACCCTTGTTGGTAGCGGCAGCAGCCCGGGATCCCTGTCTCCCCTGCTCAGAGCATCTCTGTCTCGCTCTTCTCCCCGCTTCTGAGCTTGGCCCAGTCCCTGACCCCCTCGCTAGCTGAGAGAGCTGCTTTCCTTCCTCTCCTGCCCACAGCTCCCAGTTCCCAGGCTGGGGCCAGGGTGGGGAGCAGCTTTGGGATGCTAAACATCAAAAAAGCCCAGCCTGGGGTTTCAGGGCCCGAAGCCACTAGAGCGGCTCTCCAAGGCTCTCGAGAAAGTCCTAGTGTTTACATGGCGAAGTGGGGGTGGGGAGAGGAGGAAGGGGGGTGCAGTGTGCAAAATCTCCCCCACTCCTCTCAGCCGTTGGGGCCTAGGGATGGGTAGGGTACTTTGGCGGAGGCAAAGCTTCGCGGTGATCTCGGGGTGAACCGTACTTGCTCCCAAACCTCGGAAGCTTCCAAGCACCTCAGCGCCAGGGGCATCCTCAGAATGCTGATTTCTCCGAGAGGGGAGGCCAGAAATTGGGCACGAGTTGATGCAGGAGATTCCCAGAAAGGAGGACTGTCGGCTTTCCAGAAGCCGACGGTGCTGTAGGGGCGGAGGGTGTCCCCAGGTTGCGGAACCCTCTTGCACTGCTCCCAGCGCGCACCTATTTCCCTAATGAAACGCTTCAGATTGCGTTCTAGGTCTCTTCCCGCAGCTGCGACAATTCCCCCAGCCGGGAGCGGGAGCGGATGGAGCCAGCGTAATTGATGGCAAGAAAGAGGCTGAGGTCCTGTTTGTCTCGGTCCGCAAACCCGATTGAGTTCACCTTTCCCCGGGACAAGTAAACAGACTTCAAACTATGCCGACTGTAGACGGCGAGGAGAAGAATGTATTTGATGGAAACTCCATCCAATGCAAAGATGATAAGGCCGAGGGTGCCACAGCCTACTAAAATTGTGACTCCCAAAGGCTTCCTCCCAGCTAGAATGGGGTGCGGGGCAGCCGCCAGAACCACAGCCGGGCACCGCCAGCCAGGTCCCCGCCCGGGCTTGGGCTAGGCTGGGGCAGGTTAAGCGAAGCTCCAATTCCGTGGGATCCGGACCTAGAGCCAAACAGCAGCTGCAGTATCCATGTCCCCTGCCCGGCCGGCCTGAGCTGGGTGCCTTAGCCACCTACACTCCCGGTCCCGGAACCACAGCTGACCATTCCAACGCAAGTGGTCAAATTTGTTTGTTTTCCAAAACGTGAGACCTGTTAAAATCTCCCTTCCCCGCCTTCCAACAAGCACTCTCACTAGACCCAACCATCCTCTTGGGAATCTTCGAGTCCCTCTGGCTGTTGGAAACTGTGTCTCAGCAGTGAGGCCCAGGTTTCTGAGGGAGAAAGCCCGGCCTAGCCCACAGTCTTAAGGCACCACGCCAGAGGAGGCTCCAGGAAGTTAACAAAGAGGACTGCTGGGCCCGGAGCGAGGACTCCGGCCAGTCTGCTTTCCTCACAAGCTCTTGGTGGGGGAGCGGGAGAGAGGGATTGGGAAGAGATGCAGACGAATAACGAAATGAGAGAGGGGAAGAGAGGAAGAAAAAGAAAGTTGAAAACCTGGGCGAGAAGTGAGTACATGCCAAATAAGAATCAATTGCCCATAATCCAATACTTCCAGGCCTAGAGGAAAGTGCTGGGAGGGGCGTCTGCCCGCAGCTGGCTCAGCTGCCTTTCGACCGGAGATTTGGCAAGGGTGACCCGGAAGGGCTACAGCCCATCCAGGGGACTACAATTTTTCTGTGTTCAAAACCATTCCTTCTCCCCTCTCTCTCATCCCTAATGGGTCTCCCAACACAAACACTGAGCGCTGAGGAAACCAGGAAATTAGAGGTTGGAAGAAAGGAATCAAAAATGATTTATTATTTATTTATTTTTTTTGCTTGGCGTGGGAGGTAGTGGCTGGGAGGTGAAGAACTGTAAACAGGAGAAAGATTCATTACTACAAAAATTTAGGATCCCAGAGATAAAACCCAGTACAACAAAGAGTGAAATCTCAGCTCCCAAAGTCCTTCCTGGGATGTCCTCAGGCCTGTCACCCAGTGTTACCCCGTTGGAGGCCAAAGGAGCCAAAAGCAGCAGGGGCTGAAGGCGTCTGCTGCTGGTCCCCTAGAGGGGTCCCTGTTTTAGGACAGAAACAAAACCCCTGAATGACTTCCTTACTTTCGAAAACAGCCTCCCATCGAATTCTGTGAAGGAGCTCAGCCACTGATTAGAAATAAAGGTTTGATGTTCAAATCTACAGAGGTGATCCATTCACTGAAAACCATAACTCACTCAGACTGATTTAAAATGGGTGTCCTCTCTCACTGTTTTAAAACTTTGGCTCAGCTTTGTGAGACCACAGTAGACAGTTCTGAGACTCCTATCAACAGAAGTCTGACTCAGAAAATGAATTATTTGGTCTCTTTCTCTTCCTCTCTCCCTCTCCCTCTTGGTGGAAGTAGTTTGGTATTTCGGTCCTCCACTGCAGTCTCAGGACTGCTCAAGATTTGTTTCCACACAATTTCTGAGGCAGAACAAAACTCCCTCTTCCTGTGGGGCAAGGACTCTGGGCCTGGCCTCCTTACCTCCTTAACCGGTTCAGAATCCTTTGAGCTCAAACCCAAACAATTTGAATCTCATCAGACCAAAGACAAGATCCTCCCAAGCCCCCGCCCCTCAAAGCCATTTAAAGCCAAATCAAAACAAAACAAAAAGGAGGGTTTTAATCAGAAAAAGAATCTTTTTAATTTGTATAATTTATTAGAAGCTTCTTAGGAACTATATTTAAGCCAAATATCTACATAAGTTACAACAGAAAAAGACTGACGCCGCAAATACCAAACTGCCAAATAATATACACAGATTTGTCAATGCCCATAAAAAATGTGAAGGGCTGGGGACTGGGAGTGGTTTTTCTTTTTACAACAAAATGTACAGATTACTAAAAACTAGGCATTTAGTCCAACTTTTGACAGCGTTTTACAGCTACAAGTTCACATTAAACAAACTATTTTCGCGGAGGGCGGTCGCCGCTGAGCCTAGGCGGCCAGAGGGTGCCGGGGAGGGGGCACTTCCTTTGTGTCAGTGACAAGTGGGTTATGTTGAAGACTCTTTCCTCTCCCCAGCTCCCGTCCTCCCTTCAAAAAAAAAAAAAAATCCTGGTATTTACAAGCGAGTCCTCTTTGCTGGCAGAGTGTGCCCAGAGTGAAGTTTGGTCTTTAGAGTCCAGAGCCATGTCAGCACAGAGCCCTCTCCAATCTGTGCCCCGCCCTAGCGTGGAAAACCCATTTGAATCACCAAAAAAAGACACCCCAAAGCTGTTTTATGCCCTTCTCTGCTTAAAGATTCCTTGAGATTGGATGCGCTTGGTTGTTTTTCATTTTCTTTTTTTAAAAAAAAAAACCCACAAATTTTAGGGGGGGAAAAAAAGAAAGACGTCCAGCAGTTTGGCCTTTGTGGTTTTTTTGTTCCTTGGTCTAAACGCGGCCAGGTTGTTAAGAAAAGTCGAAGCGCGTGGAGCAGCGGTGGATGGTGGTCTGTGTGGCGGGCAGGAGGGAAGCGGTGAGGCAGAGCGCTGGGCTAGGGCCGGCCCGGCGTCCTCTCACCAGGTCCGACCGTATAGCAAGGTGGAGCAGGACATGGTGCCGTAGTCCGAGCCCGAGGAGTTCAGGTGGGACAGGCTGGATACCTGGCCCTGCAGCGCCGCGGGGCTGGCGGCGTGGTGCGCCAGGTCCGGAGACTGGCCTGCGCTGCCTGGCTGGTGGCCCGGGTGTGCGCCAAGGCCGGCGCCACCGCTGCCCACGGAGATGGCCGCTGCCGCCGCCTGCGCGGCCTGCGCCTGGTGCTGCGCCTGCTGCTGCGCGTGGCCTTGTAGGCTGGCGGCGCCCGGCGCGGGGGCACCCGCCTGGCACGGTTTGCCGTCTTTCACCAGGACCGGCACCGCCACGCGTCGCGGCGACTGCTGCTGAGCCTGTTGCTGCTGCGGGCACCCGGTGCCCCCGCCGCCCCCGCCGCCGCCGCTGTCCTGCTGCAGTTGCTGCTGCGCCGCCTTGTCCTTGGCCTGGCGCTTCATTTTGTAGCGGTGGTTCTGGAACCAGATCTTGACCTGCGTGGGCGTCAGGTGGATCATGCTGGCCAGGTGCTCGCGCTCCGGCGCCGACAGGTACTTCTGTTGCTTGAAGCGTCGCTCCAGCTCGTACACCTGCGCCTGCGAGAAGAGCACCCGGCGCTTCCTGCGCGGCGCGCTTGGCAGCGGGGCCATGTTCTTGCTCACGTCCCCCAGCGAGCCCAGGCCGCCCATGCCGCTCATGTTCATGCCGCTCGCCGGGCCCATGAAGCGGGAGACTGTAAGCGACAAACGCACAGCGTCGGCCGGGGCCAGGCCGAGCCAGGCCACCCCTGTTTTCCGCGCCATTGGCCCGCCCGGCCCGCCCCAACCGACGGCGCCCTCCTGACCCAGGCAGCCTAGCGCTGGGGCCCAAGAGGCCCATCCGCGGGGAACTGCCAGCGCCTGCCCCAGGCCGTACCGTCGAGGGGGCTGTACTGGAGCGCTCACAGCCCCAACCCTGGCTGCCCTCCCTCAGTCTCAGTTCCCTCTTTCGAACCAAAAGACGCAGTGGGGGAAAGGCCGCTTCTGCTCCTTTCGTGCCCAGCCCGGGTCAGAGCATTAGGATTAGCTGGCCACAGGCGGCGAACTGGGCTCAGGCCGGGAGCTGGGGTCCTACGGTAGACCCCAGTTTGGAGAGGTTAGGAGAGGGGGTGTTGACTTCCAAAAGCTGGAGCCCCCAGACGCTTTGCCTCTTGGCTTCTCTCCTGTCAGGCCCCAGTGAGGGCACCTGCTCGGACCCTTAGAGTCCCCTCTGGAACTGCGAGTCCTCCCACCTGCCCAGACTCCGCTGGAGAGAGGGCCGGGCCGGGCGCTCGAGTGCCTCCCAACAGGGCAGCCTCCCTCCTGGCCCGGTCTAGCCTCTCCGCGCTCTGCTCGCCCCTGCTCCTTGAGCTCGGGGTCGCTTCCCTTGGCTCCCCGAGGTCTTCTGCGCCGAGCAGAGCTGCCAGTCCACCGCGCCTAGGAGACGCCGAGTACCCGCATCTGACCGCAGGACCCCAGCGCTACCAAGTGCCTGTTCTTGGACCCCCAGCCGAGCAGGGGGAAGCATCCCCAGCTCCCGCACCCAAGTCCCTGGCGCCGCTGCCGGGCCGCCCTCCCTGATGCCCAGCGCGCAGCCTGCCGGCGCCGCGCCTTCTGGACGGCTCTCGCCGCACCTCCTGAGCTCAGCCCGCGGCCCCGCAGTGGGGCGGCCTCACTTACTGGCGGGGAAGCGCGGGTCTGGGTTGGCGCCGTACCATCCGGGGCCAGAGGCGCTGTTCCTCATGGTGTCCTGGTACGGCGGCAGCTCGCTCATGTTGCCCAGGTTGCCGTTGCAGTAGCCCCCCACGGCGGAGTGCGAGAGCTGGGGCACCCCCGCCGCCGTCATGTGGTAGGCGGCGGTGACGGCGCCGTGGTGCCCCACGGCGTGCTGCTGCATGGCCGCTGTTGGCGGTGCCGCCTGGCCCTGCCTGTACGCCGCCAGCGGAGCCCCGAGGCCGCCGCCCTCCATGCCCACTTTCTTGTAGCTTTCCTCCAGGGGACTCAAGATGTCAGACACTGAGAACGGAGTCGTGTGCTTTGGACTCATCGACATGATTCGGCGGCGGCTGGAGGAGGAAGGAAGAGGAGGAAAAAAAAGGGAGAGGGGGAAGGCGAAGCCTCGCTGCTTTTTTTTTCTCCCTTTGCCAAATATTCTGGTGTTACCTTAACGCCGATCTTGTTGGATGTACACGTAACGGAGTGGACCGAGTCCTCCTTAATTGGCTTGAGTGGAGGCTCGGGGGCTGCCTCGCGTTTGTTTTAGCCCGGCGCCAGGTTTTAGGCAGCCACCAGAGGCGGGGCGTAAGCGCTAAAGCAACAAGACAATAGAAGCCTACATCTTGCCCGAGATAATTAGCTTACATGCTGATGACAAGGTAAACACCTTTAAGTTTCACTTGTCAGGATTTTTAGGTCTCAAAGAGAGAGAGAGAGAGGCAGAGACGAGACCCAAAGCATTTCCCCCCTCCCTTGGACACCCCCACCCCCATTTTTTGTGGGGTACCAGCGGAGCGCGGGGAGGAGGTGGAGGGGAGGGGAAGGAGGAGGGAACCGAGAGCGGGGAGGGCAGGAGGTGGGGTGGGGGAGTAACAGAGGAGGAGAGATGGTTGAGAGGAAGGAAGGTGAATGCTGCTTTGCAACCAACTTGCGGAGTTACAAAGTGGAACCACTTTCCAATTCGGTCGGGGTTCCCCGGGCACGGACAGGTCTTTAGGAGGAGGGGGCTGAGGGACAGGGTGGGGGTTTCACCTGAGCCTGCCGGGGCTGCTCCTCCCTCCCGCCGCGGCCTCCCAGCCCCGCGCCTTCCCACTGCCTCCGGACCACATCGGGCTTCGCTGCGCTGAGCCCCAGTCGCCAACAAATGAGCGAGCGAGTCTGGGGACGAACCCTGGGGCCGCACTGTTGGTCTACGTGTCTGTCAGTCTGTCTGCCTCTCTTCTGCCGCCGTCAGAGGGACACCTCTGCTCCCCGCCCCCTTTCCCCCTACCGGAGAGAATCCGAGCGGGCGGAGGGGGCGCTGAGTAGGGGATCGACTGCCTCCCGGAGGCTGTCCCGGATCCCCGAGCCACAACCCGCCCCCGCAGCTCAGGGGTTTTTCAGTGGGCCACCCCCGCTAACACGCCTCCCCCAAGGTCTTCCCCCCCCCCCCCCACCCCCGGCCGAGCAAACACAGCACTGGCCCCCAGAGCTGGGAGGATGGGAAGGGGTCTCACGGGAGGGTCCGTCACTGAAGTTGCCCCACCTCGAACAAACCTGGTGTCCCTGACCCTCGCCCATCTCCCAGACACGCGGGGATCTGGGGCTGGAGCTGACTTTCCGAGGACATCACAGCCCCAGCACCCGAGCCCAGAGCCACGCTGTTTTCCCCTCTGATGCTTCAGGGAGCGCGCGAGCAGGGAGCGGCGTGAGTGCCCGTCTGTCTGTTGCCGGGCGGAACTGAGCCTGAACCCCGGCGGCTGGAGCGCTGGCCAGGAGGGGGCGAATGCCGAGGTGCGGGCAGCTCAGCGGGCGGGAGGCTGGGCCGAGGCTCGCCTCCGCCCGCAGCTCAGCCATGCAAAAGTGCTCTTGCTTCCCGGGAATAACCAAATATCTTTGTTTAAAGTGGTGGCGTAAATGGCCAGTCGCTTTGTGGCCACGCTGGATATTAGTAGATGAGGATCATTCTGCTTCAATTGGGCGCCTCTCATCCGACGAGCAAGAAACTGCTTAGGAGGAAGAGGGTTTCCTGTCTGCGCGTTCCCAGGCTTCAAGTGTGGGCCCCGCGCCTTGAGGGTCCTTGGGCGCCTGGCGAGGGGGAGCTGTGGGCTGCGCTCCCCAGCGGAATCGGGGGTGTCCCCCGCGTTGCTCCGGCCAGGCCGGGGCCTGCAGCCGAGTCGACTACCGAGTGGAGCACTGAACGGCGCGGATTTTGAGACCGACTCCGGTTTTTGTCCTTGGATTTTAAACGTTTTTATCATTGTTTTTGTTTTGCTTTCTCCTTAGCTGTTTTAGTCTCCTCTGCGCGCCAGGGGCTGGGAGGGCGGAGCGCTCCCCGGCCGGCCCCGGCAGGTGCCTCCAAGACACCCGCGCTGGTCAAGGAGCTTCTTGAATTTAGTTTTTGTTTTCACATTTTCTTTCCCCTCCTTGTAGAGAAGGAGCTCCTGATCATGACGAACAGGCAGTTTTGAGCTACTTAATTCATCCGGGCTCCCTTTTTTTATTAATAGCAATTACAGTAGAGAAAGTTTTATTTATTTTTAAAGATTTCAGCCCTCTCCTTGAAGAGAGCTCTTACTCCCTCAATACAAAGCCAACTTCTATAATAACATTCGCTTTTCTCACCGCCTACCTTCTTTACCAGGGTAAAGAAAGCTCAGGACACCCTCCGCCCTCCCACCTGCGCCCGCGTTTTTGTGCGGTCCCCACGGCAGAGCTGGGGAGGCCACCCTACGTTTGCGCAGGGAGACGCGCTCGCCGCTGGTGTTGCGAAAGACCAGAGCGAAGCCCGGCTCCTTGCCCTTCCTTCCCAGGGGCTTCTCTGGGGGGCGCTCTCAGGCCCCGACGAACTGAGCATTGATCACTGTGGTGGCTAAGCAAGGAGGGGAGGCGACGCCGGGCTTAAGCGAACCACAGAGGAGAACTGGCAACGCTGAATACAGACCTTGTCTGCAGGCGCGACCTGGCCGGGCCTGAGTCCCGAATGGGGTCTAATTGCGAAGGCGGGGTGGGTTTCCCAGTCACCCAGCTTCTTTCTCTCACTCGCCATTATTTCATAGTTGTTTGTAAGTTTAAGGAACACCAAGTGTAGAATGTTGTACATCTCTTCCAGTCTCAACGCCATTTAGAAATGGAGATCAATCTTCACAAGGTTTTTGTGAGATTCAAGTAAGATGAAGCACATCAAAATGCTTTGAAAGCTTTGAATGTTTTTCAGCTCAGTGCCAGCACTGGAGATTGCGGTAGTTATTATCATGACTATCCCCACCCCCTCTTAGGTCCCAAGACCTGAGTAAAAGGAAGAGTTGGGTGAATCTTCCACAGCCCCTAGGTCCTGTCTTCTCGGCCTTCGTCCCTTGGCAGCTTTTCAACCTCTCAGCAGGCCACAGGCGCACGTGGCTGGCAGCTCCCCGGCCTCCGGCTCTGACAGTCCGGGGGCAACCAGGCCTGCAGTTCTCGAGGAAACCCCCAGCCCCCCACGTCTCGTTCTGGACCAGGAACCCCCTCCCCAACAACCGCGCAGCAAGTGGCGACTCTGGGAGCTGAACTGGAGTGGAGCTCGAAGTGGCTGGGGCGGGCAAAGACTCCCGCTTCACTCTGGGACACAACTGGGACGGCGCTTCAACCTCTGCCTGCAGGCGTGCTTCTCGCGCGCACCAGCAAGCTCTCTATCCACCTCGCCTGGGCCTTTGCAGCGCCCTGCCGCCCAGGCTCCAGCGCCTCTACTACCCTAGCCCCTTCTCAACACGCGGCTCTGCCTTCTTCCCCAGTACCACTGCACTGCCGAAAATAAGCCCGGAGACTAACGCACCTTGTAGGGAAGAGAAGGACATCTGTATCTCCAAGCTTATCCAAGCAAAGGCCTCCAGAGTCCCTCCCATGGCCCGAAACACCTCCCTCTGACCGAAGAGCGTCCTTTCTTTCCGCCGCCTCCTGGACTCATCCTAAATAGGGCAGACCCGGGCTAAACCAGTGATTTTTTTTTCCATGAATACGAAGAACCCCGATTGCACTTTGCGAAGTCTGCGCGTATTCCTTTATCCCGCAACTAGCTTGCTCCCGGGTGGAGTGGGCACAGTGGGGAGCGGTCAGGGCAGGGCAGGGCCCAACGCTGGCCCCTCGCGGAGCTTTCCCTGGCGCGACCTCACACGGTCGCTGCCTCTATTCCGACCACGCTCTGCTTCGCTGGCTGCGGCTCCGCCAGGAATCCGAGGGGGCGCAGGCCCAGGCTCGGCCCTAGATGCGCGGAATCGCCATCAGCCTTTGCTTACACCAGCGTGGCCGCAGGGAAACTCCTTTCTCTCCCTCCAGTGTCACTTTGCGAGACAAGAACAGAGGGCTCATACAAAAGAAGGCTAATTTGGGGTCTGTAGCTTGGACCAGGTGGAACTGTGAGGAGGAACCACCTGTCTCACCGCCCCACCCCCCAACTGCTTTTTCTAACTCCCTTTGTGGTCCTCCACACCTGTTTAGGGCGCTGAGCCACTCTGTCTCCTGGTAGTGTTATTTTGCTCCAAGTTTTATCGCAATTTTTGATTCACTCGACAGTATTTATTCAGCTAGGGCTCTGTGCCAGGGACTACGCAAGGCCTGAAAATTCAAACTTAATCTAGATGCAGCTCCTACTCACACGGAACTTACACATTCACAATAAATCACCCAAATAATATGTAGTTACTTTCTGACAGATGTTACTCTAGGATCCAGTGAGATAGAGAGGGTTGTAATGGAGATTCGTGTGTGGGTTTTTGCACCATTTCTTGATCTCTCAGCATTCCAAGGTCGTGAGAGGAGTCCTTGAGTGGAAGTCCGTCCTAGGTTTGAACCCTGGCTTTGCCTTTTTCCAGCTGTGCAGTACCGCTCTTGTGGGCTCCCGCCACACCCTGGAGTCACTCCCATCACAGCCAGAGTAAACCAGTGTGTGTTTTCTGGCTTCCCTCCTTGAGGGTGAGCCCCTGTTTTATCTATCTTTGAACCCCCCAGTGCCTCGAGAAACGCTGAGGAAACACAGCCTCCGAGCACCTGTTTCCTGAGCTGTAAAAAATGGTCACAACCTGCCCTGTGTACTGGCTTGGTTTGTGCTAGGGATCCAAACAATTCAGGATGAGATCATGTGCCTGAGTTTGTAGATCACAAAAGTCGCTAATAGAAGGAGTTATTCCTTCTGATTCTGTATTTTGGATTTAGAGAAACTGTGACTCTAGGCCTCTGACCTTCAACAAGAAACACTTGGGCCCCTCAGTTGCTCCCGCAGTCTCCCACAGCTAGGCACAGGCTTCTAAGCCGGGCTGAGCTGGGCTCGCGAGTGCCATCGAGGCAACCAGGCGCAGGGAGCGGAAGGCAGGAGTGTAACTGGGCGCTGGGGGGCGCTGCTCCGCAACCCCAAGATCCGAGGAATGCCTCCGGGGGATGATTTCTCTGGAGGGGTCTCGCAGGGCCCCCTCTGCGCTGCTTTCTCAGGCACCAGAACCGAAATCCTCGGGAGGGACCGCGGGAGCCCGGGGCGTGCAGACAGGCGGCTTTCACAGACGCAGCGGGAGGAAGGATCCCTCTACTGCTCCCTTTCCCGATTTGACCGTCTAGGGCCTTTGAGAGGACTTTCCTTTTGGGAAAGCTTTTCTCAATTCGTGGCCTGTGGGCAGGCTGGGGGGTGGGGCGCCAAGTCATCCGAGCGCGGCTTCTGCTTCTCCCTTTCCCTCACAGGCATGCTCTACGGAGGGTATGGGAGGCGAGGGCGCGTCTATGAGGGCCAGAGTCCGCGAAGAGAGTCCGGCCCTTAGGCCTTTGGTGTTGAAGAATCTGCTCCTCTGTCGGGTCAAGCCCCACTAGAAGTTAACACCTGTGGTCTCCAAACTTGCCTATTTTCCTGTCACGCAGTTCAAGCCAAGATTCAACTCGTCTTGAATTTTTGTATTTAGAGCCCCTACCTTCTCCACCGACTCCAGGGGCGCCCTCTGGCGGGAAGGGGCCTGGGGTAGGAGGGAACCTGAGGGAGCGGGTTACAAAGCAGAGAACAGCGGGAGCTCAGCAGCTCCCTTTGAATTGCGAGGAAACCAAGACGGAGACGGGAGGTAGGAGCACGGGCCTGAAGCGGTCAGCCGACCCTGTGAGGCCCGCGCTGCCGTGCTACGCCGCGAATCCGCCAGACGCCCCCGTCGGAAGGGGCAGGGACACCCTCGGGGGCGCTCTAGGGTTCGTGCTGCGCTAAGGTAAGTTTCGCAGCTGCTCCTGATAATTAAAGGACAGATTCCCGAAGCATCCTTGTGGCGGCGCGGCTGTTTTCGCCCCAGGACCTGTGCAGCCTCATTCAGCTTTAGGTAGTCGAAACCTATAGCTCTTTCTGCCCTCTGTTCCCCAACAAATCTCAGTCCCAACAGTGGGAGCCCGTGGGCCTTGGGTGTTCGAGTTTCCCGCGGGCTTGCCAGCAGCGCTGGGGTTCCCTCCTCCGCTCCTTTCCTCCTCTCCAACCTCCCACCACAGCCCGTCTCCCCCACATCCCCAACACTTGTCCCAGGCAGTTTCCGGTGGCCGCAGTATCGACCCCAGGCCATTGGGGTGGGTGTGAGGGAAGGGTGGAGGGGGAATCTCCGAGGCCCAATGTTTTCTGGGACTTGAGGGAGGCTGAATTCTCCCTCGCTGCCTAGGACTTGGGGTCTGAAGGTTGCAGACCGAGGCGATCCGCAGCGCCCTCTTCCGGCGGCCGTCTGGAGAACTGCAGCTTTAGAGCGGTCTCGGGGAAGCTTTGCTACTAGTTTCCGGCTAGGGAAAACTGGTGGTGGTCGGAGACTGGTAGTACATCATCCACGCATTCGCTCATTCTAACTGTCCGCCCGACCATACGTCAGGCTGTCTATCGGTCCACCCAAAGCCAATATAAGTTATGATTGACTCTTTGAATCACCCAGTCTCCTTGCACCTGCTATTTGAAAGAGCCCAGGTGTAGATCAGGGCTTGGAAGCTGCTCTTGTACCTAAAACCCTCTTTTAATTATGCTTTGCTTCGGAATTTTGTTATGCGAATGTCCTGTCCAAGTCAGAGGGCATTTGGAGGCATATTTGGTGACCAATGGAGTAGCTTGCACTTTCTGCATGTCCTTTCTGGAGGAGGCAGTGGCCCTATTAGCTTGACAGCCTGACACAAGGGGGTTCTGCCTTGTGTTGCAGCAGTAGGAGCATAACCTTTAGAAAATATTGGAGTAGGAAAACTTCTGGGACTAGCTACACTCGATGGGTGCCTTCCAGCTCTCCAATCTACGGTACCAACTCACTCAGGCAGGCTTTCCCCCAAATTATTCCCCCTTCTTTGGACTCTGGTCAAAACCAGATCCTCTCCACCCTCCCAAACCCATCCCAGCCAATATGCCCATGTTACTCTGCTATTCTTTTTCACTTAGCCAGAAAAATCATTCTTTCCAGCCCCACAACTAAGTCATATCCTTCTCTTTAAAAATCCAATTGCCTCTTCTGACAACTAAATGCCTGACACATAGTGGGAGCTCAATATATGTGTGCAGAATAAATGGATGAATCTCTATTACACTTTTCTGTTACATTGATAAGCAATTTCTTAATTGAGTGATTTCCTAATTGCCATGTGTTTGTGTTCTTTTTAGGCAGACCGTAAGCTCCTTATTTTCTGTTTTTTGTTGTTTTGTTTTTTCCCCCCAAGACAGGGTCTCTCTCTGTTGCCCAGGCCAGAGTATAGCGGTGTAATCATAGCTCACTGCCACCTCAAACTCCTAGGCTCAAGCAATCCTCCCTGCTCGGTCTCCCAAAGTGCTGGAATTACGGGCATGAGCCATCGTGCCCGTCCAGCTCCTTGATTTTAACAGCCATCTCAAAAACACTTAGACATGTTCCTAGAAATGTGCCCAGTGCTCTGAGGCATTTGATAATGTTAATCACCCCTTTCTAAAATTCTCTCATTGGCTGCAGAGTCACCACTCTATCATGGTTCTCTTCCTCCATCTCTGGACATTTCTTCTCAGAGACTAGGGTTGAATTCCCATCCTGCACTGTATACCCATCCCCGTGGCTTCAGCTGCCACCTGTTGCTGATGGCTCCTAAATCCATACCTCTAGCCAACCTCTCTTCAGAGCTTCCAATCTATATTTTCAGTTGTTTACCTCCTTATGTGAATTTCTGCCAAACAACATATCCAAATCTGAACTTACACTGTCCCAATTTGCTTCTTGTCCTGTGTTCTTGATCTAGGTGAATGGCATGAACATCTCCCAATTCCTGCCACCCCACTCCTTCACCAAGCTCCTGTGCTAGTCAGTTCTGTCTGCCATAACAAAACACCACAGACCGGGTGGCTTACACAATGAAAATTGGTTTTCTTACAGTTCTGGAGGCTGCAACGTCCAATATCAAAGCCTAGCAGGATTTATTTGCTGGTGAGGGCACTCTTAACTGGCTTGCAGAGAGACGCCTTCTCCATATGTCTTTGCATAGCAAAGAGAGATCTTTTTCTATATAAGCCACAGTCCTAATAGATTAGAGCCCCACCCTTATGACTTCTTTTAACCTTAATAACCTTCTGCTAGGGTTTGCATGTGTGCCATCCAAAATTCCAGTGTTGCCAATGCGATAGTATTAAGAGGTGCAGCCTTTAAGATGTGATTAGGTCATGAGGGATCCTCCTTCCTTAATGAGATTAAGGATCTTATAAAAGAGGCTTCACGAAACATTTGGCTAGCTTGCAGTCTTGCTCTTCTCCCATGTGAGGACACAGTGTTCCTCCCTACAAGGCCCTTACCAGGTACCAGCGTCTTGACCTTGGACTTCCGAGCCTCCAGAACTGTGAGAAATAAATTTCTGTCGTTTTTAAACTACTCAGTTTCAGCTACTCTGTTATATCAGCACAAATGGACTAAGATACCTTCTAAAGATCCTATCTCCAGATAGAGTAACACTGGGGGAGGGGGGGTTAGGACTTCAACATCTGAATTTTAGGGGAACACAATTCAATGCCTGCTCAGAAGCCAAATACCTCGATATCAACCTTTTCCTCTCCCTCATCCAACTGGTCATAAAGTCATTTCCATTCCACATCTTAGATGTTTCCCAAATCCAGCCCCACTTCTTCCTCACCAGTTCTCTCCATTCACTGCCTCAACCGAGGCCATCCATCATCTAATACCTAATTGTCTAGTTCTTATTCCTACCCTAGGCTCTCCCAGTCTAGTCCACAATCCTGTCCACAGGACATAGTCCAACCTATCTCTCCAAACTAATTTCTTCCTGCCTCCCTGCCTACCCCCTCATAACCTACTTTTTAGCTACTCTAAACTTCTCACTTTTTTCATTTTGTACAACTTTATTAAAGTATAACTGAGAGAGAGAGTGAGAGGGAGTTGTTGTGTGTTTTTTTGTTTTGTTTTGTTTTGTTTTTTGAGATGCAGTCTTGCTTTGTCACCCAGACTGGAGTACAGTGACCAGATCATAAGTCCCTGCAGCCTTGAACTACTGGGCTCAAGAGATCCTCCTTCCCCAGCCTCCTGAATGGTGGGACTACAGGTGCACACAACCATGCACAGTCCAGTTTAAAATTTTTTTTTTTTGTAGAGACAGGGTCTCACTATGTTGTTCAGGCTGGTTTCAAACTTCTAGCCTCAAGCAATCCTCCCACCTCAGCCTCCTAAAGCACTGGGATTACACGTGTGAATTACTGTGCCCAGCTTGATTTTCTATATTGTTTTTCTGTTTTTCATTTCAATGATTTCTGGTCTCATTTCTGTTTCTTTTATTCTACTAACATTGTGTTTAATTTGCTCTTCTTTTTCTAGTTTCTTAACATATAAGCTGAGGTCATTGATTTGAGGCTACACTAGCTTCCTATGGCTGTTGTAACAAATTACCACAAACTCAGAGGCTTAAAGATCAGGAATGTATTCTCTCACAGTTATGGGAGCTAGAAGTCTGAAATCAAGGTGTCCGCAGATTGTACTCTCTCCAGAGGCTCTGGGGAGATTCTGTTCCTTGCTTCTTCCAGCTTCTGGAGGCTTTTGGCATTCATTGGCTTGTGACACATTTCTCCAATCTGTCTCCATTTCCACATGGCCTTCTTTGTATGTGTTTCTCTTTGTCTCTTATAAAGATGCTGTGATGACACTGAAGTTCCACTCAGATAATCCAGGGTGATCTCATCTCAAGATTCTCAATTATATCTGCAAAGACTCTTTTTCCAAATAAGGTAACATTCAAAGGTTCTAGTGATTAGGATGTGGACTTATCTTTCCAGAAGCCACAATTCAGTCCACACAGAGACCTTTCTTCTTTTCTAAACAGGCATTTACTACTCAGAATTTCCCTCTAAGCACTACTTTAGCTGCATCCCACACATTTTTATAGGTTATGTTTTCAGTTTCATTTTCAAGTCAGTGAAAACATGTTCAAATTCCCCTTTTGATGCCTTCTTTGACTCTTGAGTTATAGAGACTTATGTTCTTTAATTTCTAAATGGTGGTTTTCTAGAGATCTTGCTGCTATTGGTTGCTAATTTGATTCTGTTGTGATCAAGGTACTTGGTATGACAGGAATCCTTTCAAATTTATTGAGGCTTGTTTAATGGCCCAGAAAATGATCTGTCTTGGTGGATGTATATGCACATTTGAAAGGAATGCTTGCTCTGCTGTTGTTGAGTGGAGTGTGTATAAATGTCAATTCGGTCAACTTGTTCCATAGTGTTATTCAAGTCTTCCATGCCCTTCTTGTTATTCTGTCTACTTATTGAGAGAGACATGTTGAAATCTTCATCTATAATTGTGAGTTTCACTATTCTCCTTATAGTTCTATCAGCTTTTGCTTCATGTATTTTGAAGATCTGTTACTAGGTTCATAAACACTTAGGATTGTTATGTCCTCTTGAATTCAATATTTTATCATTATGAAATGATCTCTTTTTTATCTCTGCTAATATTCCATGTTCTGAAGTCTTTTTCTGATTATTTAGACCAGTTTCATTTAATATGGTTATTGATATGTTGAGTTTAAATATACTATCTTGCTGTTTGTGTTCTATTTGAGACTTCAACTATGTCTTCCTTTTCCTCTTTTTATGCCTTTTTTTGGGGTATTGAGTGTTTTCTACAATTTCATTATATCTCCTTTTTTGCATATTAGCAAAACATTTTCATGTGTTGTTTTAGTGGTTGCTTTGAGATTTAATTTAGCATCACAGTCTACTTTCAAATTATACTATACCACCTCATGTATAATAGAAGATCCTTACAACTGCACACTTTTATTATTTTCTCTTCTGGTTTTTGTGCTATTGTCTTATATTTTACTTCTAAATATATCCACAATAAATGTTTATTATTTTTGTCTTACACAGTCAGTAATCTTTTAAAGAGATGTAAATAGTAAAAAAAATTCTTTTATATTTCACACATAGTTACTATTTCTGGTGCTCTTCACTCCTTTGTGTAGGTTCATATTTCCATCTAGTATTATTTTCTTACAAAGAATTTCTTTTCAACATTTCTTATAGTACTGGTGTGATGTTGATTAATTCTTTCAGCTTTGCCTGTCTTTATTTCATCCTCATTTTGCAAAGATATTTTCATTAGGTATAGAATTATAGGTTCACAATGTTTCTGGGTTTTCTACCCCCAGCACTTTGAAGATGTTGTCCCAGTGTTTTCTGGCTGAAATTGTTTCCAGGGACAGCACAAAAGTGTGGAGCACTGGGAGGGCTTCACCTCTACCTCAACAGTCTTCACAAACTCTCTCTAATCTCTGATATGGAAAATTAATTTTTAGTAGGTTGTGTAAGTGAAGTTTTATAGCCCTGCTTCCCATCTGCCTAAATGGCACACAAGATTGTTTTCCATCGCCATATCCTCACTGTACATGGAAATTCTGGAACTCCCACCAATTGCTTCCAGAGCAGCGGCACATGTCAGAGTTAGACATTCTATCATCCCAATTTTGAGCCCTTTCCAGGATATAACTGCCATTATTAAATGGTTATTTTTTCTTACCTAAGACTTTTTAAAATGATCCATGAAGATGTACTCTTTTGAGGATGCAAGGAGAGAATTACAGCATATGTTTTTAAGAGGTTACCTTGTGCTTAATTGAAGTTATTCATTAAAGTCTTACAAACTATGTCTTAGGAGAACATAGAATTTCAGACCAATAGTAAGAAATGCATTAGCCTGGGCCTTTTGAGACCAAAGCTTGGGGAACACTCTTAGATAAAGGAATAGTCTTGGCTGGACCCTTCCTTCTGGCAAGATACATTCCAGGCATTTTGGCATTCATATTACAAGAGAAAGGTAATATATTCCCTATTTTTATAGATGAGGAAACCGAAGCCCAGAAAGGTTAAGTAAATTGCTGAAGATCACATGGCTAGTAAGTAGTAGAACTAAGTTTTGATTGTCAACATGTCATATTCCAAACCACAAGAGGAGTCATTGCCTAAATAATCAGACCTTTAAAGAATTGTCTACCTATCCCCCATTCAACATCTTGAAATTTTATAGTTATTTTGACAGCAAGATAGTTCAAATATCTACTCATCTGCTTGGGGAGTTTCTTTGTATTACTCCCTTGTCTAGCTCCGTAGATGTCAAACTTTAATGTGGACAAAAATTATTCTATCAAAGTATAATCTCAAATTTTGTTACCATTTCATCAGTTTTCTAGGGTACTTTTGGTATTATTAAATTTTACCTTAAGGAGTGTCATATTTTAAACGTAACAACTAATTGTTATGGAACCACACTGTATTATTTCCACTATATTCAATGCTTCTCTAATTTTCAACAAATAGTTTCCAGTCCTTTTGGAAAAATGTAGTAATAAGGAAAACACTGTGGGTAAGAGTATATTTACCAAGTTTATATGACTTTATTTTAGATTTCAGGGAGTGTGATTAATGAACCTGAAGAGTTTAAATTCTTGTTCGTAGTGAGGAAGATGACTTCTCAAAAGACAAAGTTAAGCATGGAAGTTTAATCTAAGACAGCACCTGTCAAACTTTGGAGTGCATAAGTATAACCCAAAAAGCTTGTTTTAAGTGTATATTCTTGAATGGGTGTTCTGAGTCCAGTAATAAAAAGTACATTATCTGACTATGCCTTTTTCAGATAATAATGATAAACTCTGGACAATACACACACACACACACACAAACACACACACAATTATTTGAAGGCACCAGAAAGTGGTCAAAAGAAGAAAGAAACTGAAGAAGTTTCTAGTCATAAATGGAACTACTCACTGGGTAAGAATTAAACTTACAAGGATATTCTACTGAGGACAATACTCATACCACAGAGCACAGGGCAAATAGAAGGTGAGCGAAAAAATCCAGTGTTTTTTATTTGAAGTGTGAGAGGATGGAGTCAGGGGCTGAAAGAATATCTGAAAGATTAAGGTAGGGAACTCCTAGAACAGAGGAATCTAGAGACTCTAAAATGTATTTTTCACAATGGCAGATTAAAATAAAAAATTACTAGGCATGTGAAGACATAGAAGATAATTTCCAAAATCAGAAGAGAATGCAGTCAATAGAAGCAAATCTCCAGGTTTGGAATTAGCAGAAAAGTACATTTAAAGAGGTATATATATATATATATTCGAAGACAAATTAAAATATGTCAATAACTGAACAAATTGGGGAACTCTATCAGAGAAATGGAAGCTATTTTAAAAATGAATTGAAAATTCTCTAAAGAGCTATAGCGTCTGAAATGGAAAAGAAAAATCTCTGGGATGAGCTGAAAGAAGATTGGCGACAGCAGAAGAGCCAACTTGAATATAGAATTTATCCAGTCTGAGAAGCAGAAGGAATAAAAATTAAAAACAAAAACAGCCCCAGTGATCTGTGGGACAATATCAAATGATCAGAAACATAAAGCAAATTTATTTTATGCCCTATTAGATCATTAAACACGCAGAGATCGGTCGGGCGCGGTGGCTCACTCCTGTAATCCCAACACTTTGGGAGGCTGAGGCGGGCGGATCACCTGAGGTCAGGCGTTCCAGACCAGCCTGGCCAACATGGCGAAACCCTGTCTCTACTAAAAATACAAAAATTAGCCGGGCATGATGGTGCATGTCTGTAATCCCAGCTACTCGGGAGGCTGAGGCAGGAGAATCGCTTGAACTCAGGAGGCGGAGGTTGCAGTGAGCAGAGATGGCGCCATTGCACTCTAGCCTGAATGACAAGAGTGAAACTCTGTCCCAAAAAAAGAAAAAAAACATGCAGAGATGAATTTTACATTTATAAATTATTTGTATCTTTCAGTGAATATTATTATTGTTGTTCGCATGGCCATCAAAATTTTTACCTCTGAATAAAGGCATTTCTTAACATTGGATTGGTTATAGCGTGGAAGAAATTCAATCACTCCACCAATGTTGTGGCAAATACCTCAAAAGCACGATCAGTCCTATCATTTATGGCTGCCTTGGTTAAGCTTCAAGAATAAAACTTAACACACTTCTAGACAATATACCTCAAAAGAGATTCTTCTACTTGCTTCACTAGCTAACCAAACAGAAATCATTATTGCTTGGCTTGGCTTCTCCTTCCAGCAGAAAATTAATCAACACCTTTGTTAAATATGCTGTATAGATTTCTCTTTTTTCTGGGGGAGTGGGGACACTGTTGTTAAAGTAAGTCATCTCACCTTGTTTTTCAGCTTCCTTTAGTTGAATCTCATATTTTTGAAATTCATGAAATGCTTCTTTCATCAGTTTGTCTAGATCTACTTTTTGTCTTGAAAGTCCAACTAAGAATTTTGTTTTCAGTATAACGGATATAACCATTAGTAACTCCACAGCGATCTGTCTGTATCTATATATTACTAGCTAGTTAATATTTCCCAACATATCTTAAACAAGAGAAAGAAATTCATAGAAGCCAGACACTCCTCCAATTATATTCTCTTCATATATGATTGTATCTCACAGGTTGGTTGCTATGGTATTTGATTCCTAGTTACCATGATACTATTAAGTGTTTGCTGCAGAATCTGCCATGCTTGGTCACAGAACTCAGTGAAAGTTCTATTAAAAGACTTATCAATTTGATGCCTGTTCAGTCAACGTCTTCCATTTTGTTGAGGCTGGAGAACCTCCAACAGAAGTTAAGCAAAGTTCAGTAGGTATTAAGCTGGGTCCTGCTTAAACTGGTGGACTTTATCAACCTGATGCATGCAACAGAAAGGAACAACTCTCATACATTTTAAAGCTGGGCTCATGGGTCCTTCCTGGTCATCATTAATGAGCCTTTATGTGAAAGTTAAAGCCCAAGCCCTAGAAGCACAGTATAGGTTGTACTTTATCTTGATATTCTGGTCAGCATCACATGATTTAATGGGAAAAAGACCTGTGGTTGGACTTTGAAACTGCAGCAATGTTGAGTTGACAGTTATTTCAAAATGATCCAGTTTATTCCACACAGTGTTTAATTATCAGATCTTGGAAGATTAATTATTTTAAGAGACTCGTAAACTGAGATAGACCTTAAGAAATTAGATAAAGAGGATATAACTCCATCAAGTGAGCTGGCAATGCCAAATTAGTGAATCTAATCATAAGCATCACAAGCTAAACTTAATGGTTGGCCTGGAAAGTCTCTGTTCCAGAAACCTCCAAGGTCACTTTGGACGTGAATACCACACTCCTACCATTGTACTCAGTTTACTGCCTTGACATTTGATTCTTATTTAATTTTTTTTTTTTTTATAGATGGAATCTCACCATGTTGCCAAGGCTGGTCTTGAACTCCTGTTGTTTTTCAACTTCCTTTAGTTGAATCTCATATTTTTGAAATTCATGAAAAATGAATTTCATGAATTCATGTTTTAATTCATTTCACTCAAGTGATCCTCCTGCCTCAGCTTCCTGAGTAACTGAGACTACAGGCATGTGTCACCATTCCAGGCCACTTGGTTCCTTTTATAGTTTCTATTTCTTCATTTATTACAAGCATATTTTCCTTTATGTCCTTTGAGCATAGTTATAATGCAGCTTTAAAATTCTTGTTTGCTAAATTTAACATCTGGATCATCTTGGGGTTGGTATCAATTGTGTATGGGTCTCATTTTCCTTTTTCTTCATATTTCTAGTAACATTGGATTGCATCTGGTCCTTGTGAATGATTCATTGTGGAGGCTCTGTGAGTTTGCTACTGTGTGGAGTCTCTTCAGGAAAAAGCCATAAAAGAGAGATACTTCTCCAATTCCATTCTCTTCATCCAACTGCTGACTCTCTTATTCTTTTTGTTGGCTTTGAGTTATTCTCTGGGGCTTTTAGGTAGTCTTTTTATATTTTTTTCTGGAATTTACAGTTATCTGAAAAAGAATTGGTTAAATAGAAACTACTTTGCCATTATGAGAAGCATTTTTTTTTTTTTTTTTACTTTTCATCTTTCTTTGTTGTTGTTGTTTTAGATATGGTGTCTCACTATGTTGAGCAGGCTGGAATGCAGTGACTACTCATAGGGATGATCAAAGAGCACTGCAGCCTCCAGCTCCTGGCCTGAAGTGATCCTCCTGCCTCAGTTTCCTGAGTAGCTGGGACTACAGGCATGTGCCACTGTGCCTAGCTTTATTTTTGATCTGTCTGTGTCTTTACATTTATTTTTTTCTTGTAGATAACATATACTTGAGTCTTGCTTTTTTATCCAGACTGATAATTCATGCCTTTTAACTGGTGTATTTAGACCACATATAAAGTAATTTTTAGTACAGTAGTTTTAATTCTATCATACTTCTATTTGTCTAATGTTTGTTCTCTCTGTTCTTTGTTGTTTTTACCCCTTTTTTCAGCCATCTTTTGGTAGTTCAGTATTTCTTTAGTATTCAGTTTTATCTTTGTCATTGGTTTATTTGCTATAACTCTTTTAAGAAATGATCTACAGTTTACAATATACATCTTTAACTTATAGTTTACTTTCAAATAATATTTTAGCACTTCACATATAATGTAAACACCTTATAACAGTATAATTCAATATTTCTGTTGTCATATATTTTACTTCTATATATATAATAAACAGTCTATTATTTTTAAATAATAAATTTTGAAACCAGGGAAACTATCTTTTATTCCTATTCATATATTTGCCATTTCTAGCACTCCTTTATTCCTTTGTGTGGCTTTTATTTTCTCTCAGTATGAAGAACTTCCTTTAACATTTTTGTAGTTCAAGTCTGCTGACAACCAAGGTTTTGTTGGTCAAACAATGTTTTCTCCTGTGTTCCATTTTGAAGAATATTTTTATTGACTATAGAATTCTAGGTTGAAAATTTCTTTTCTTTTTGAACCTTAAAGATGTTATTCTATTTTCTTCTGCCTTTATTATTTTTGATGAGAATTCACCTGTATTCTTTTTGGTGAAACAGGGTCTTGCTATGTTTACCAGGCTGGAGTGCATTGGCTATTCACAGGCACAATCATAGCATACTATAACCTCTAACTCCATGGTTCAAGTGATCCTTTTGCCTCAGCCTTCCAAGTAGTTGGGACTACGAGCATGTGCCCCCAGACCTGGCTTCTGTCATCCTTATCTTTGGTTTTCTGACTGTTTTTAATATTTCTCATTGTTATTATTTTCAGCAATTGTGTATTATGTGCCTTCATGGTTCTTTGTGATTATCATGCTTGAACTTTGTTGAATGTATTGGATATGTGGGCTTATAGTTTTCAACAAATTTGAAACGTTTTTGGCCATTATTTATGTAAATAATTTTTCTGTCCCTTCTGTTTTTGGGCTTCAATTTTAAGGACACTAGACTGCTTGAAATTTTCTTATAGTTCATAAAATATTTGTTCTTTTTCTTCTTCTTCTTTGTGCTTTAGTTTGAATAGTATTGCCATGTATTCAAGTTTAGTGATTTTTTCCCCCAATCTGTCTAATCTTCTTTTAAGCTTCCAGTAAATTAGTGATTTCAGATATTTTGTTTTGCATGTCTGGAAGTTCCATTTGCTGGTCTTCATGTCTTCTATTTCTTCACTCATTATGTTTATGTTTTTCTTTAAATCTTTGAACACATCTGTAATATCTGTTGTATGTGTGTTTTTTGTTTTTTTTTTTGTTTGTTTGTTTAATTGGTTTTTGTTTTTGAGATGGAGTCTTACTCTGTTGCCTAGGCTGGAGTGCAGTGGCCCAATCTTGGCTCAGTGCAACCTCTGCCTCCCAGATTCATGTGATTCTCATGCCTCAGCCTCCTGAGTAGCTGGGATTACAGGTGCCTGCCACCATGCCCAGCTAATTTTTGTATTTTTAGTAGAGACGGCGTTTTGCCATGTTGGTCACGCTGGTTTCAAACTCCTGACCTCAGGTGATCTGCCCACCTTGGCCTCCCAAAGTGCTAGGATTACAGGCATGAGCCACTGCACTTGGCCCTGTTTATTTGTTTTTTTGAGACAGAGTCTCTGTATCACCTAGGCTGGAGTGCAGTGGTGCAATCACAGCTCACTGTAACCTCAAACTCCTGGGCTCAAGTAATCCTCTTGCATCAGCCTCCTGAGTAGCTGGGACTATAGGCATGTGCCACTATGTCCAGCTAATTTTTTGATTTCACTATGTTGCCCAGGCTGGTCTTGAACTCCTGGCCTCAAGCGATTCTTCCACCTTGGCCTCTCAAAGTGCTGAGATTATAGGTATGAGCCACAGCACCAGGCCCTATAATAGCTATTTTAAAGTCCTTTCTACTGATCCCAACATCTCCTTTATTTCTGGGTTTCTTTCTATTGTCCAATTTTTTCTTCTGAGTAACATTTTCCTGCTTCTTTACTTGCCGTCATTTTAAAATTGGATTTTAGATATTGTGAATATTACACTGTTGTGTGTTAAGATTTTGTTACTTTCCTCATTGAGTGTTGGATTTTGTTTGATCAGACAGACAAGTTTCTTGCTGATCAGCTTGGTCATTTGAGGACTTACTTTTAAGCTTTTAGAACAAAGCTAGATTAGTCTTACCCCATATAGTTAGCTTAACTCTACTACTAAGGTGTGACATTTCTAGGATCTCTACTGAATGACCAGTGCAAACAAAATCTCTTCACTCTGTCTTATTAGAACCCAAACACTTCCCAGCCCAGTGTAAGCTATGGGAAATTTTTAATTTACAGCTTCATTCATTGCCTAGCCTTCTGGAATCTCATCCTATTTATGTGCTGCTTATATTCAAAGACTCAAGAGGACACTATGAATATTTCTGGAGCTCTTTTGTTGGCATAGCTCTCTTCTAGTGCTCTCACACATTCCACCCACCTCACCCTCCTCAAACTTTGATCCCTGTCTTCTCAACTTAGCAAGACTGCCATATGCTCTTGGGATTCCTTTCCTGTGTCATTGTCCAGGTTCTTATTGCAGGCAGAAAGCTTGAGTGATTGTAAGGCTCTCGTCATCTGTTTCTCTTTTCTCAGGGACCATAGTCCTGAACTATTTGTGACCTAATGTCTGAAAAGTTGTTTTATATGTTTTATCTAGTTTTCTACTTGCCTACAGTGGTTGGAGATGTTTGTCACTAGTTAGTAATAGCTGGAAGTGGTACCAGTGACCTAATTATTTTTACCCCCAGCAATTTTCTTCAAACCAAGAGCTAGAGTTAATGGAGTCACATTTGTATGAGCATAGAACAGACAAAATTGGACTTGGGTTGACAATCTTTTTTTCCTAGGAGGCAGCTGGAGAAAATGGTTACATAAGCCCCAGCACCTAAATCTTTTATGGATTGATTGTTACTTCTAATTTACTAAGCAAAGATAATAACATGTGCCAGAAAAGTAAATAAATTTCTGCTAAATAAAGTGTACATTCAATAGGACTGAACAAAGTCATTGCATGTTGAAGCGAAAGCCCCTTCTGAGAAACAACAAAATTACCAGAGAATTAAATCAAAGAGACTTTGAGAGAAACTAACCAATATTCTCAAACTTTGAAATGAAGTACAGGAAGCAAAGTGGGTCGTGGATCAGATGAAAAGCTTTTTTAGTCAAGATTCAATTAGAGAAGCAGGGCTACTAGAAAATATAGATAGAGAGATGGCTGATTGATTGATTGATATAAATATAGATATATTGAGACATATATCCCAGATATATATTTAACACACATGCATACATACACAAACACAGAACTTTGTTACAGGGATTTGACCTCAATTGTGAAAGCTGGTCGAGAAGTCTCTGTAAAGTGATATTAGAGCTTGAAGTTTCTCAGGACAGGCAGTTAGGAAGGGATGTAAACTTCAAGAGAGAAAGGACAAGCCAGAACCACCAGGCACGTCCTGAAACCCGAAAAGATAAGCTAAAACTTGTGTTAGTTCTTACTGATGCTGATCTTGATGGCATGGATACCCTGCAAAAGAAATTGGTGCCTTTAGTCATGGAGCTGAAGACACACCTAGCCTAGGAGTTAGAGAAGCTGAAGGAGAATTCAGGGGAAGGTGGAGCTGTTACAGACTAATAGGTGAGCCAGAAGGTAGGTGACAATGTGTATGTCACTTTAAAAATCGGCTTTTGCTTCATTTGTGTCCTTTAAATCTCAGATAAGCATAGATCTTGTGAGTTGGGCATGATGGCACATGCCTGTAGTTTCAGCTACTTGGGAGTCTGAGACAGGAGAATCCTTTGAGGCCAGGAGTTAGAGACTGTAGGGTGCCATGATCGTACCTGTGAATAGCCACTGCATTTCAGCCTGGGCATTATAATGGGACAAAAGTCTCATCCACTAAGCCAGAGGAAACTGAGCTGCTGGGATGATAATGGTCTGCAGAGATAGGCAACATGATCACTTAGCAGTGGCAAGGAGGTCAGTCAAGGCCAATGAGAGACTCTAGGTTTACTATTAGTCCATTCAGCACTAGAAACAAGTCTATGAGTCAATTGTCTATGCTCAAGTAAACTGGGATCCTATTAAGAATAGAGGTGACCGAGTTCATTCTCATCTGATTACTTAATCCCTAGGAGCCCCAGTTTCCTTGTGTGTAAAATAATAATATATTGGTTTGCAAAGCTGTTGAGGCCAGGCACCGTGGCTTACACCTGTAAATGCAGCACTTTGGAAGGCTAAGGCAGGATCTTGAACCCAGGAGTTTGAGACCAGCCTGGGTAACATGGTAAGGAGTTTCTACACAATTTTTTAAAATTAGCTGGGCATGGTGGTGAGGGCCTGTGGTCCCAGCTACTCTAGAGGCTGAGATGGGAGGATTGCTTGAGCCCAGAAGATCAAGGCTGGAGTGAGTAATGATCACGCCGCTGCACTCCAGCCTGGGCAACAGAGCAAGTCCCTATTTTTAAAAAAAGCTGTTATGAGGATAAAATGATAAAATGAGATAATATAAATAAAACTTTGTATCCTCTGCTCCTTCTACCACCATAGGAGGAATTCAATAAAATGTCAGTTTTCCTTTTCTTCTTTTCCCAGAGGAAAAACTCTGATGCTATAGTAACTAGAGGCCACTCTCTGCAGGAACACAAGAGATTTTTAATAGGAAGGAGACACCACTGAAATCCAATTCCCCCAGGCACTCAAACCCATTAAAATGGTTATTTTTTAGGGTCATCCTTGTAGGAACCATGACTCACCAAAATTTCCCCAACCTGTTTGTTGGTGCCTGACATATCTTTAATAAAAGATACTTCTATTTTATGAATAGCAGCAGTGAAGGTAGAGAGATATAGGCAATAAATACTCTTTATTGGAAACAGTGCCATCCTACTCTAGTGGACTTAGGCAAATCACTTAATCTTCTCTTTTTACAGACAGTAAAGCACAGTCTTCATGGTGCACAGTTCTGTTCTGACAAGACATAATCATATAATCACCACCAGAACCAAGATACAGTACAATTTTGTCATCTCAAAAATTTCTTTGTTCCATTCTTTTGCAGCCAACCTTTGCCTCTAGGAACCACAGATCTGTTTTCTGACACTATAATTTTGCCTTTTCCAAAATGTCATGTAAATGGAGTCATACATTACATAGCCTTTTGAGGGTGGCTTCATTTACTTGGCATAATGTTTGAGATTCATTAACATTGTTGCATATTTTAGTAGTTCTTTTTTTTTATTGTTGAGGGGTATTCCATTGTATGGAGGTACCATACTTTGTTTATTCATTCACCAGTTGAAGAACATTTAGGTTGTTTCTAGTTTTCTTGTGATTAAGATCAAATTTACTAGGAATATGTTACATATTTTGTGTGAACATGAGTGTTCATTTCTCTTGGGTAAATCTGTAGGCATGGGATTGCATGCTGGGTCATGTGATAAGTTCATGTTTAACTGGATAAGAAATTGCCAAGTTGTTTTCCAAAGCAGCTATACCATCTTGCTTTCCCTAGCAGTGCGTGAGTTTTATTTGCTCTGCAATCTCACCAACAACCTTTTCAAGGCTAAATTTTCTGACTCTGCTATGGGAAAAATAAATCAAATAATGCAGTGACAATAAAATTGAAGAGTAGCTGTAAAATGCTTGGAAAACTATAGAGGCACTATGTAATGTGTATAGATATACAGTGATATTTTTAAGGCAAACAAAACAGATTTAGGAAACACTTGAATTCACAGAAAGAATAATTGGGCAAAAAAGTCCCATAATTCAGAGGAGTTTGGTTTCCTGTAATCACAACTGTGCACTGATGAATCAACTCCTACATAATTAATTTTTTCTTATTTAAAAAATTACAATAAAAAAAGTCAAAAGGTGTCAACAGAAGGCAAAAATCATCTATGATATTACCACTCAAATTCGATTATTGATGGCATTTGGGAATAATTCTTTTAGTCTTTTATTCTTACATATATTTTTGCCTGATAATAATTATTATTTATACAAAGTTTTATATCTTTTTTTTAAATTTTATATTAAATTCTAAGTATTTCACAGTTATACCATGATCTTAAAAACAATTATATAAAATTTTATAAAGTAGATGAACATGTTTATTTAATTGATCCTTTCTGATAGTATTTTACCATTGCCCTCAATTTTACTATTATAAATAATACTGCAATAGACATGTCCATACATACAGATTTTTTGTTTTATTTTTTGTTTTTATAATTATTTCCTTAGGATAGATTCTTAGAAGTAGGATTACAGTATTTAAAAGATTGGAATATTTTATGGATCTTAATGTGTATTTATAGATTGCTTTCCAAAACACCATATCAATTTATATTTGCTGTTAACAAAGCATGTTTCATAATACTTTGGCAATTCCTGGATATTATTATTTCCAAAGTTTTTTAATACAAGCAATTAAAATGGTACTTTGTTTGTGTTTCTTTGACTGTTAGTGACCCTGAATATTGTGGTAAGAAGCATGGAAGATGTCCCCCTTTCTGATCCCACTCTCTGAGATTCATTTCCTTGTGCAATCCCCTCCTGAGTGTGGGCTGGACTTACTGTCTTGCCTCTAACAGAGAATATGGCAGATATAATATGGTAGATATCAACCTTTAGAAAAGACTCCTTTCATTTTGGGAAAATAAGAATCAGTCCTTTGGTTAAAAAGAAATGTAAAGTAAGTATCCACCAAGTTTTCTTAGGTAAAATGGAATTTTTTAGAAGTCTGATTGCAGAAGCTGCTTGTCTTTTGTGGATTGTTTCCATGAGAAGTTGGAGCATTATATTTGCTTGTTTTCTAAAAATAACTTTAGAATGGACTGAAATACCTGTAATTCAGATTTTGGGAGCCTGGCTTCAGGCATGGAAGCCATGGAAGCTGACGACACTGCATTCAGCAGACCACAAAGTTTGTTTCAGGTTCACGGATGGGCAAGAACAATAACTTAGACTTGGTTCAAGGTTGATTTTACTTTGATTTACTCCTAAAGCAGCCAATAAGCAGGGCAAAGTTTGTAGACATGATAAAGATGTAGGTAGACAAATATGGCTTTCCTTTGCCTCTCTCACATGGCGGGGGGGCACACTAGAAATTTAGCCCCTCTTGTTAGCGTGCCCAGAGCAAGATGTTGCGCCTAGCTGGAAAAGTGAAGACTTTACACCCCCAACCACACCAGCACACACTACACTCCTCCGCATAGAGTAATAATTCTGCTACATCGTTCATGCATAATGTCCAGGTTCTGGAACGTGAAGTTCTTTCAATGACAACACTTAGAAAAATCCCCTTATCAACCCCTGTCCTACTTTCCAAGTCCACTGGGCAAGTCTGGCCCTAGGCTGCCCCATTCACCGTGTCCTACCCAGTCAGACTTCCCCAACTGACAGCAAGCATCTTAAGATGACTAAAATTAAAAGTCTTTTTCTGGACTCTCTAGGGACACCTATACCTATGTAATGTATATAAGAGTGCTTTTAAGCTGAAAAATATGCTAAAAACATGCTAAAACATGCTTCAGTAAGCATGAAGTAGTGGTGCTATACATAGTTATTTTGATTTATCCAGGTTCTGATGCTGATTTGGATAATTCTCTTCTTTGTATCTTAGCTTCTTCTGAAGGACTAGGAAAAATTATGCTGGATTTTAATAAATATTACATATAATTCTTAAGAGACCTTAAATTATTTTGGAAAATACATTAAAACCAGACTATCGACATTACTTTTTTTTTTTTTTTTGCAGTTGCAAGATTTAATAGAGTGAAATAGAGTGAAAACAGAGCTCCCATACAAAGGGAGGGAACCCAAAGGGGGTTGTCAAATGCCTGGGTTTATATTCCAATCCTTGTTTATATCCCTCCCACTGTGCTCTCGGGCAATAGATCGGCTATTTCTTTACCTCCTGTTTTTGCCTAATTAGCATTTTAGTGAGCTCTCTGATTGGTTGGGTGTGAGCTAAGTTGCAAGCCCCGTGTTTAAAGGTGGATGCGGGCATCTTCCCAGCTAGGCTTAGGGATTCTTAGTTGGCCTAGGAAATCCAGCTAGTCCTGTCTCTCAGTCTCCCCTCTCAACAGGAAAACCCAAGTGCCGTTGGGGAGGTTGGCCGACGACCACTCTAACTGCTCTTGCTGAATTGGGGCATAGTAGGGGTTGCGCAGTTGAGATTTCCTGGGGAGGGGTGCCTTGGATGTCATTAACATCGGAGCATGGGCTAGCAGGCCAGTCCAGGGGTCCGCAGTAGCTCTTAGTCAAAGACTGCATCTGGGCTCCATTTGAAGAATGATTTGTAGTTTTTCAGCTTTGATTCTGGAAGAGACAAATGCTTTGGAGGTCCCTTCATGGTCACCAAAATGTTACCGGAGGGTCCTTGTTCACAGAGCTTCCAAGATGGTGGCAAGCCTCGTGTTCTCTGACCTGGGGTTCTTGGCCTCACGGATTCCAAGGAATGGAATCTTGGGCCATGCGGTGAGTGTTATACCTCTATTAGAAGCCTTGGGTCACGGAAGAGAACCATGGAACCCAGTGACAAGTGTTCAGCTCGATTAGGACGAACCCAGGCACTTAGCTGTGCAGGAACAATGGCAAGCCTTTAGCCTGATCGGGAGCGGCAATGGGTGCCTCGCTGGATCAGGAGCACAGTGGACACCCTGCCGGATCCGGAGGGATAGAAGTCAGCGGCGGTCCGCCACCGCGACAAACAGCAGTGGTGGACAGCAAGCGAAAGCTCAGCTTGAGCCGTAACAAACATGGACCAGCAGAGTGCAGTTGCAAGATTTAATAGAGTGAAATAAAGTGAAAACAGAGCTCCCATACAAAGGGAGGGGACCCAAAGGGGGTTGCCAACATTACTTATTTTGAACTTAAAGTTTTGAGTTTCTCATACATGAGGGTTTACTGCAGTTATTTCCTGTATAATACAATCCAATGGCACAGATCCTTTTTTTTTTTTTTTTTTTGAGACAGTCTCACTGTCACCCAGGCTGGAGTGGAGTGGCAGGATCTCAGCTCACTGCAACCTCCGCCTCCTCGGTTCAAGCGATTCTCCTGCCTCAGCCTCTCAAGTAGCTGGGATTACAGGCACGCGCCACCACGCCCAGCTAATTTTTTGTATTTTTAGTACAGACAGGGTTTCACCATGTTAGCCAGGATGGTCTCAATCTCCTGACCTCATGATCTGCCCACCTCGGCCTCCCAAAGTACTGGGGTTACAGGCGTGAGCCACCACACCCGGCCCAATGGCACAGATTCTAATGGCCTCATCACATCCTAGATTCAGCAGAATTATTACTGGGTTTATTTTTGCAGCCACAAACCCTGCTAGTTCGAGTGAATGACAATCTTTCTTCAAATCATACCCCTAAGTTCAGAAACTCATTTCATTCACTGATCTTCTTATTTGTTTTTTTGTAAGAGCATTTAAATTTAACAAATTGCTGCATGTGATTTATTTTGAATTTAATTACAGAGCCAAAATGCCACATATAATTATGGATGTAAGTAAGCATCAATTCTTTGCCCTGATGGCTTGAGAAAGGCTGTAAAGTGTAGCCTAGCCTTTCTGCATAATCTCCTATGAGCCTTTTCTGCCCGCTATTGAATCAGTGCTGACAAATAAAGTATCAGAATAGCAGCTAATACGAGGTCACGCCTTTGTGCCAAGCCCACTCCTCGCTACTCATTCATGTTGATGCTAATGTGATGCCATCTAACACAGTTCAGGAAAATTCATAAAATCAGCCTGCTTGGGAAGAACTTTAATCAAAGATGGAGAAATCACAACACTCCAGGGGTCGGTTTAAAATAAGTAGTAATATGACATATTTCCCTTTGTTATAAGTTAAAGCTCATTTTTATACTCTGGGAGAAGCAATTCAGCTCTCTAGAACAGCATAAGCATATATATATATATATAAACAACTAGCCCATCCGTGATACCACCAGCCTTAATTCTATAACATTAAAATAGTGGGTTTCAAAATGGAACTTCAGTTCTCACACATTCTCTGGGATTTAGAATGCACAGGTAATTTTCTGGGGTTCTTTACTGAATGAGAGGTGTTATATCTTCTTAACATTATATATATCACTATATATATATAATGTTACATAACATATTAAATAAATATATTTCTTCTTATAACAGTACATAGGGATTATTTTACTAGCTATGAGGCCTCAGGCAGTTTATGTCCTTGACCCTCACTTTCTTCGTCTGTATTTTAGAGATACAAATACCCCATATGATTGTTGTGTGGATTACTAGAATGTGTGTATAGCACTTAATATAGCGCCTAGTGCATAGTAATGGCCAATAATAGCACTTGATATTATTAATTTCTATTTAGCTTTCCCCACTTTCTTTTTCTCATTTCAATTCCTGCAGCCAAGTAATACACGTTTAGGAACTGCGTATGTATCCAAAGGTTTATTGGCAGCTCCTTGTCCCAGTGGCTGTGAGCACTGGGGAACTCTGGCTCCGCTGGCCTTGGAAGCCCTATTTTGGGCCAGCTCCCCTCTGTACCTCTTCCTGGATGTCTTTCCTAAAACAAACGTACTTTAATAAGGGCTTAAATAAATCTTTCATACCTATAGACATACTTAAAGTTTATTAGGCAAACTTGTCAATGTAAAGGAACTAAGGAAGAGTTCATAAAACAAATCCTAAATTTATACTTTAGTAATTGTTCCCTACTTTCTTAGCTTTATATATTTCTATGTATTTAATACATTTTTAAAGAAAATTTGGGATGTTCTTGGTTATAGAATGGCCAGATGAGTTCTAGAATACTACTGTAGGAGGAGTAAAAGTAGACACTGACCAAAAGAAAAAGGAGAGGTGAAGAAGATGGGGAAATGGATTTAGATATATATGTCCAACAAAAGCTAATGTCCACTGATATTATATTTTAAACCACTTTATTAAGACATAATTTACACACCGTAACATTTTCCCACTGTAAATGTGTGATTCCATGGCCTTAGTATATTTACAGAGTTGGGTAGCCATCACAGCAATCCAATATTAGAACATTTCCCTCCATTCGAAAGGAAGCCTCTTGGACATTAGGAGTCACTCCCCATATAATCAACCATTAATCTACTTTTTGCCTGTATAGACAGGCCTATTCTAGACATTTCATATACATGGAATCATAAATAAGTGGTCTTTCGTGTCTGGCTTCTTTCACTTAGCATAATATCTTTAAAGTTTATCCACATTGGATCATGTGTTAGTTCTTCCTTCTACTGATTTTTTTAAAGAAAATTTTATAATTTTGTTTTAATTTTCAAGTGAAGATGTTCAATATTGTCTCTGCTGAGAAATGTAAGATATACGATACAGTAATTTATAAAAGAGTAACAAAATCTACGTACACCAGCACATGTCAGTCAAGTCCTAATGACTTGAATAAAAAGAGGAAATAGTTTCAAACAGACTGTAGGATTAACCACTAAAGGGTAAAAAGGGTTGCCTGATACTAATAGTAGTTGAGAAGAATACCTAGCTAGAGGAATTAATTAGAAAAGGTAGAGGAAAGAGAATCTTCCTATGGGCAATTTGAACAGAGCTTAGGGTGCTAGATTGTGAAATCTAGTTCTGAAAGTTTCCGTGGACTCTTGGAAAGAAACGTGATGAATCAATAACTAATACAAGATGTAGTCGCAATGTACCAAAGGAAGAATAATGGGCAAAGTTTGCTGGGGGATGACCCCATCTCCCATTTTTTTCTTTCTGCACTCTCGTTCTCTGACCTGCTTTAGTTTGCCCTTCCTAGGTCATTTTTGTCCTTTCCTGGGGGAAATAGACGTGACTGGCCAACCACCAGTAAGATATTAATGAATTAGTATTTTTTTTTTACTCCACCCACAGATATTTATATTTTTAGCAGCTGGGAAAGATAGTGTTTAATTCTAAGAAGTGATTGTTAATTTGGGGGTATTAGGCACCTTAACAGTTAAGGGAGATCTTGGACGCAGGAGAGGGTTTCTTTTTCATTCCTTTTATTTGCACATTACTTTTTTTGAACAACTTCAAAATATTTTATTTTAAAACATAAACAGAACCCAGTTGCTAACTTAATTAGTTCCCAAAGCAACCCATTTATTTCTGGGACAAGCTTTGGACTTAATTAGATATTTTAAATGATAAACTATTTAGAGAATTATATATGATTTCACTGTTTCACAGCTGTAAACCAAAAAGAGAAATAGAAAAATAGCCATTTTTTAAACATAAATGAACTAACCACTCATTATGACAGAAGTTGCCTGTGCATCCTCAGGGCTCAATCCTGGAATAGTGGTGGCAGTTTATAGGAGCAAAACTCCTTTATGTACCAGGAAGCACAAATTTTATTTTATAGGTACCAAGCCAGAGGAGGTGGCAGTGGTCACCTCTAACAGAGCCCTGGATGGGTAAGCCAGAGTCCATGGCCTAGCTGAAGTTATAGCTGCTACTCTAATTTGAGTGACCAGGTCACCTCAGCCAAAGTTGTATGTCCACAGAAGTGTCCTTTGGGGATGAGCAGAGTCACATCTGCCAAATCTGAAGTGTTGGTGATCGATGCTCTCAAACACACTCTATTGCTAAGTCAAGTGTCACAAGGGTTTATCACATGGAATCAATCCGTTCATTAGTACAGGAAAAAGATATTCAGAAGTTTAGCAAAAGATACATGGTAAGTGCCTATAGCCTATGACAAGTACAATTTACTTCATTTGCTGACTCATTTGTAGTAGCATTTGCTGCAGCAGCAATAAAATAATTGAGGACCTGGGCATTTCTGAATAAAAACAACCTTGAAGCCAGTGAGTTGGCTTGTACCTTTATGTGTCCTGAAGACAAACTGCAGCTAAAATCCTCAGCTATTCCAGGATTGGTCTGCTGTATTGTAAATCCACTTCCTGTTGAACTTTAATCATTTTTAAAGCCATGTATGAATTGTCCTTGCTCTTAGAAGAGCAAGTAGCAAACAGCAGGGTCAAAGGCCAGGCTAAAAACACTTAGAAGTACCTTCCTCTCTCAAGCTGGTGAATAGGATGCAAAGCTGGCATATGGAGCAGATTTTGTAGGCTTCAAGGGCTTGCCACCAGTGCAGTCCTAAAGGCCGTGGCTCCAAAGGGCCCCATGCTTGGGATTTCATATTCTGTCATCTTCATCTTGAAATTCTTAACAATTTTATTTTTTATTTGTGTTATTTAAGTGAATTTTGATGGGACAATGGAGCATGCACCAGAGGCTTGGGATCTTTGCTCACTTGTGGTCTCACCTCTCTTCACCTCCCCACCTCCCCCAGGGGTTCTGTGTCTCCCCTTGACCTGGCCACATCAGTGGGGGTACAGCAGGGAAGGGGGGGATTTTGTCATTACCCACTGCAGGGAAGGTTGGGATTAGGCACTTGCCTCTTGGTGTCTCAGGTGGGGAATGTCAGCAGCTGTCTGCTAGGGCTGGCAACTCCATGACTCGTTCACTGGATGACTTAGTGAGGTGAGCCTCTCATCCGTGCCACCTTCAGGTACCCAGTGTGTCCTCAGCATGAAAGCTGCAATTTTTCAGGATCGTCCATTCACTTGGTTTGGGGCTGGGAGCCCATGGGAAGGGGAGATTGGCTTTCCTGCCCCCACTCGGAGACCAGCGCAGCTGGTAGATGGTCAGCTAATGCTGAGTCGTGGGGTGCTCCCCACCCCAACTCCACATCTGTGGGGATCTGCACTTGCCCAGTGAGTACCCTAAGGCCTAAGGGAGGACATTAAATATCTAATATTTATATCTAATTATATATATTAGATTATATCTAATTAATATCTAATATTAACATCAAATATCTAATAAAACATCATGACGAGAGAGACTGAGGAAGAAAGAAAAATATTTTATATTTCAGTAGATTTAATATCACCTTTTCCCTGCTTTTTGAACAAAGCGTCTGGCTTTTTTTTTTTTTTTTTTTTTTTTTGCACTTGGTGGGCTCTGAAAAGGGCCCGTTTAAGGAAGAAGGATCTGGTTGCTAGCCACCACGACTGACCTGAGAGAGAATAAAATAACCAGATGAGGGCCAACTTGATGGTCATGGGTCCCACAGTGATGGACGTGAAAGGCAAAACTTATGGGAGATAGGCTGATTTGTGGACACCCACATGGGAGAGGGTGCATACTGCCAGAAAACCCAGCACCTTATGGGTGACGGGTCCTTTACTTTGAGGGTAAATTTTACTTTTTGCAAATGAAAGATGAGGAAAAAAATGTATCAAAGGCCTTTGAAATGTTTTGCAAGAATTCCAGAATGTGTACATATTCTGCTAACCCCACTGACATCTGTCCTACATATATTTGTTCTTTTATTCAGCCAACATCAAGGAATAACAACAGCACAGGAAGCAGACTCTTAACATTATTATTTGGTGATAAAAGCAACTTACTTTCTTTGTGTCCAATTAACAGAATCAAATTGTAAATGTAAGTTTGAAGGAGCCTTAATTTAGTACACAAACAACTACAAAAGTGGGAAGTGCTCATATAAGATATAATACATATTAAGTAATATTTGATAGTTAATGTATTTATTTTCAAAGGCACATTAATTCAGAATAAAACCTGAAAAATTTATCCAAAGTTCAACTTGTTATATTCCAATATTGATATTTAGTATTCCCATGTGCTAGCAAAATGATTTCGCTTTCCCTCTGTGGTAGCATACTGTCAAAATTCCAGTTTATCTCAGTAAGTTAAGGATGTAGTTTTCCTAAGTTAAGGATGTAGTTCTCCACCTTGAACTCTACATTTTCTTCAGTTTAAGATGCCTCTCAATGTATTCTTTCCCTGATATAGAGGGATTTATACTTATAACTCTTAGAGCATTGTGATGAAAATATCCCTGATTTTGTTGGTCATGATGAGATCATCCTTTAGTCTGTGCTGAGCATTTATGTTCCAATTTTCATCTTAGTTACCATGGCATAAATAACATGGAAAAAGCCATGTTAGAAAGTGCATTATTTCCTCTCTATTACTGCCACCTTTTTCATTTGTCAGTTAAAATGTGATAAGTATATTTATTTAAGGTTACTAAACTTTGGGGAGAGTTAAAAATCTACAGATATCTTGCCACATTTTGATATTTCTAAATATCCAAGATTGTATGGATCTAAAAGAGAACAATACCCTGCCACTATGATTTTCAACTTCTCCCTGCTCTCTTAGTTTAATAACCTTGGTTAGTGATCTTTACTCCCTTTGAGGTCCAAGTGGCCAACCAACGAGTGTTTAAGTGAGTAATGGGAAACTGGCCCACAGGCCAACCTCTGTCTGTTTTTGTAAATAAACTTTTGTTAGGACACAGTTACACCCACTCATCTGTTTGTTGTCCATGTTTGCTGTTGTTATAATAGCAGAGTTGAATCTTAGAGACAGAAACTATATGTCTTGCAAAGTCAAAAATATTTACTGTCTGGACCTTTACAGAAAAAAATTGTCAACCACCACTTTGTTGATAAGCTACTGCATGCTCTGTCTTACTTATTCCTGTTTAAAAAGAGAGGCAAGATACGTCCAGTTTCAGAAGAAAAATAATGTGAAGTAAGCACCATATGACAGTTTTGTCCATTTACTGTTGACATTCATCCACTGAAATGTGTATAATCTTCTCATCCTTCCATTCCCAGGCAAGAGGAAAGAGTAAAACATTGACGTGATTGTTCAACTTCATACCATTTTTTAAGCTGAAAGGTCCTCTCATGGTATAAAGTCATTTTCAACCTTAAACTGTCAAGGCAAATCAGAAAGAAAAATCCTTGTTGTCAATCAGCATTTTCTTAATATTTATTTAAAATTGTAAACCAAGCGTTTGGGACTTAAAACTTCAGTGTACCTCAAGGAATATTATCTTATTTGAGTTTCAAAATAATCCCTTGAAGTACACAGAGATAAATATTTCCATTTTATAGACAAGGAAACTGAAAATAAGAGTTGTTGTGTTTATGGTTTTTTGTTGTTGTTGTTTTTGAGACAGAGTTTTGCTCTTGCCGCCCAGGTTGGAGTGCAATGGCATGATCTCGGCTCACTGCAACCTCTGCCTCCTGGGTTCAAGCGATTCTCCTGCCTCAGCCTCCCGAGTAGCTGGGATTATAGGTGCCGGCCACCACACCCAGCTAATTTTTTTTTTGGTAGTTTTAGTAAAGGCAGGGTTTCACTGTGTTGGCCAGGCTGGTCTCGTACTGCTGACCTCAGGTGATCCACCTGCCTCGGCCTCCCAAAAGTGCTGGGATTACAGGCATGAGCCACTGTGCCTGGCCACGTATATGTTTTAAGGTTAAGGTTAGGAAGTAATAAGTTTGGTTCTAATCCAAATATTGGTGCCTGATTCTGTGTTATTTATAACTGCCTTGTAACATCATCCATTTGTTTTACTGTTAATCATGGCATGTACCATGATTAGTTCCTGAGACTCTTCCAACTGCCTGGTGGCTTATTTGCTGTGTTGTTTGATTCTCATACAGTTCTTTGAAGTGATTGCTATTATACACATTTTATAAAGGAAGAGACCACAATCGGAAAGCCTGAGTAACTTGCCCAAGATCACACAACCAGTAAGTCTGGTTGTGAGACAGGGTCTCACTCTGTGGCCCAGGCTGGATTACAGTGGTGCGATCATGCCTCACAGCAGCCTCAACCTCCTGGGCTCAAGGGATCCTCCCACCTCAGCCTCCTAAGTAGCTGGGGACTACAGGTGTGCATCACTATGTCCAACTAAGTTTTTAAAAAAATTTTTGTAGAGACAGTATCTCACTATGTTGCCCAGGCTGATCTCAAACTCCTGGCTTCAAGCAATCCTCCCATCTTGGCTGCCCAAAGTGCTGGGATTTACAGGCAAGAGCCACCATGCCTGGCTGATTAGTATATTTTCTTTAAAATTTTATATCTAGCTACTTTTCCAATTTAAGTTATTAATTCCAATCATATTTAATAGAGTGTCACTGATTTTCTAAATGTGTAGCCAAACCATCCATGGGTCTTTAGGAAGACATTTGGATCCCTTTAATGTACGTGGGAACTTACATAAGCCAGAAATTCAGAAGCCATAAATGACGAACTTGGCTATATAAGATATTTCTAATTCTCACGAATAATAATAACCAGCATATATTGAGCATTATTTTAAGTAGTTTACATTTAGAAAATGCTAGCTAAAAATTAGTTCTATTACTTTTGACAACTATTAAAGCCAGCTAGCAATCTCTGTCTTAGGCACTTTTGTAGCTTTCAGTCATGGAAGCAGGATTGAAGCCAAGCAAAGATAAATTTGAGAAGAGGTAAGAATTACCAGAGAAGGAAAAAGGAGGCCTCAAATTTCCTGGAGAGTATAACAAGCGATGTGGAAAACAGTAGGGTCAGAAAGGAACCCAATACATCGGTGAACTCCATTGTAGGGAGCGCTACTTAAGAGGGGTAAAAAGGCCCCAAATCTCTCTTTTTAACCTACCTTAAGAGCAACAGGTTACCTTAGCTTTATGGAGGCAACCGTATGTGGTTGTGTGTCGGCGAGGAGGTGGAAACAGCACTGGCATTTGTTTTCTAGCAACGTGCTCAAACAGCCATTGTCTTGAACTTGGTGCAGACTTCCGCCAAGCTACATCACCTCTTAATTGATACAGCTTGAGACTATCTCCCATCACAAAGAATGCTTCTAGATCTGCCTGGGGACCTGGGACATTCCATTTCTCGTGCCAGAGAACCACAATATAGCTATCCTTCTAGTTAAACTATCCTTCTAGGGTCCTGTTAAACCTAGTAACAGAAACTTGGTATCACCACAGCAAATATTAATCAATATAATAGTTAGTCTCTGCATTCTTTGTTATTCCATCCCTTACTGCCTAGAGAATTTGCATGTCACATTAAGCAGTGGTGTTGGTATTAAAATGTGTGACCAATCTTGAAATGTTTGCGTCTTAAAAAAAAAAAAAAAAAAAAAAAAAAAAAAGTTGTGCTCAGCGTCTTGCAGGTAACAGTCCCCTCCACCAGAGGTCTCTAGCTCACTGACATTATCTGAATTTATAATAGCTCTTCCAACAGGCTATGCTGAATCTGTGAGGTCCAATAGAATAGCCACTAGCCCCATGCAGCTATCTAAATGTAAATTAGCTAAGATTAAATAAAATTAAAAATTTAGTTCTTTGGCTGCCCTAGCCACATTTTAAATGCTCAAAGCCACATGTGGCTATTGGCTCCAGTATTGGCTAATACGGATATCTAACATTTCCACCACTGCAAAAAGTTCAAGTGGATATGTTACACTAAGTTCTGTTAACTCACAAATGTAGAAATAGCATTTCGGGATCACAGTGTTAAAAGGACAAAGAGGCAGTATCTCTCCTGTACTGTAACTGAATCCTCCCTTTATCCAGGTGGTATCCTGGGTGGATGATGACAATGTTCTTTGTGATCATATTCAGCTTATTTTTCCCTCACAACCAGCACGTTGTATCACTATATTTTAATAATTCATAGATATAATTTCAATTCTTCTCTTATTGAGAAAATCAGGGCTGGCAAATTTTAAGAAAGAGATATGGTTTAAAAAAAATCAGAAGGCCTTAATGCCATCCTCAACTCTACGCCTAACGAACTGAGAGCTCTAGAGAATGTTGTTGGACTTCTCTGGGCCTGCATTTGCTCCTGCATGAAATAAGTGGGCAATTAGATGTTCTCTAAGACCTCAAACACTTGAACCCATACCCACAGTGCAGCAGGACTGTTGTGTGTGCTCCTTGTAAGTAAAACTAATCTCTGACCCATCCAAGAGGTTCCAGTATGCTAGAGCATGTGGGAGGCTTCTGCCTCATGTCAAGACGTGCTCTAAAGTCACAGAATTGTGTTGCTCCAAAATGGCAGTGGTCAACACAATTGGCTGGCAGTTTAGACCACATTAGAAGATAATCGCTATTTTTAGTATAAATATTATTTTCCCTTTTATCTTAAGGGATAGTACCAATTCCATTCTTTATTGCTAATAAGTTACCAGTAGTATATCACTGCAGTGAGAATATTTCAAAATAACCCTGTAGCTTTATTCCAAAGACCTCAGTTATAGACTTACTCTCATTTTGTGGTCACTCCAAAAACAAAAACAAAAGCCTCCTTAGGCAGATCCCTCAATTATTCCTCTCTGTAAAACATCATTCCTTGAAATGGACATCACTCTTTTCATAAAAACGTGACATAGACTATATTCTATATTCAATACACTCTCATGGAACAAGTAAGATTTTTAATTATTTTGAAGAAAAAGATGAGCTTATTTTCAGTTTTCAGATTCCAGCTTTTCTCAACCTCTGGATGAAAATATTTTTACACCTGGAGTTTCTCTTGCAGTTAGCATTCATCCGTCAGTAAGTAGGCCAAATCCTTGTTCACTTGCAGGTAGTCCATGGCTTAACATGTCTGTAATTCACAGAAGGCTGAATATGGGGTAAATAAATAAAACTGAGCTTAAGGAGAAAAACTATGTGGGAGGAAGGAAGCGGATGATTAAAATGGAAATGGGTGGTCAGGAGCTTCGGTTATTCTCCCAGGTGCTTTGTTGGCAGAGATAAAAAAAACTTTTCTATCAAACCCCACCTGAATTCTTTCAACTACAATGATGCAAAGAAAATACACGCTAATTATGAGCAGGAACATTATCTATTAATATGTTAATGAAGCAGGTTTGCTAATGGTGAAAGACCTGAATTTTAATAAATTTTTAAGAGCTTCTTGATTACGTGTTTGTTAGTCGATATCATCATTTAAAATTATCTCTAGGTGGCTTTACATGGAATAAAACCTACATTAGAACTGTATTCTAAACAGGCCTTAATGAAGCAGGTGAGGATAGCATCTGTGACATGAACACTGTCAGCCAGAAATTCACTTCAAAAGAAATGTAAACTAGTTAGCAGGAAACATGTTATCATATCTGCCAGTATCAGCTTTCAATGTAGGTAATTTATTTATGCATTTACTTGCTAATTTTTTCAAACATATTTGCTTATGAAATAATGTTCGATTGAATTAATGGATACTGCCTTTCAATATTGGAAGTGTTATTTTTCATTAAAACAAAAACAACTCTAGTGTCCTGTTTTGACAACATCCCATACATAGATGAAAACTGTTTTATCCACCCAAACCCCATATTTTTTGAGAAAAAAATCACTAGAAATCCAAAAATCAAACCAGAATGAGTTTAGAAACCTCACTGATGTGTCTCTATGAATAGAAGAAATTGTGTCATCTTTTCTCCAAGATGACTGTGGCATCAAAGTGACTGTTAATCCCTATCTGCCTCTCTAGAACTTGGGTGAAGGCAGCTGGCATCCTCTTTCATTTTGCATATTAGAACCACGAGGCTCTGATTAGCAGCTGGGCCTGGATTGCAACTCAGAGCTCCTGAAGACAGAAAGACACTGAGGAGGCGGCATGGAGACTTGGGTGTAAAATGCCAGTGCTATGTGCCCCAAATGCTTGAGAGCTGCTGGGCTGGAGAGCCTGTGAAGCATTGTGTGCAGTGGGCCTCATCATATCATTGGGAGGATTTGGGGTCTGAAAGTGGGTGAGGCCTGTGTTTTCTCCATTATGTATGAGGCAGTGATGAAGGTGTTAGTGAAGGAAAGTGAAAGCTAATTCTAGAAACAAAAGAACAGTGGGTAAGAGCCCAGGCTCAAGTGCCTTAAGCGCCCTTAACCTAACGGGCCAGGAATGAAGGGACGTGAAGGAGGCAGGTGGGTGGGATGAGGAAGAGCAAGGACCTCTAGCTCTCACCTTGTCACTTCTGAGCTCTGAGGAGAGTTGGAAGAGGAGAGGTTGTGGCAGAAAATCACTTTCAAAGGAGCGGCCTCATGTGGGAAACCAGCAGGGGCTTCCTCCTGAGTAGAGGTCCTTCCACAAAGGCGATGCCTGGTCACCAGGTTTCTTAATTTCCTGGGCACTTTATTTATTTGACAGTCTCAATAAAACATGCTTCTGAGGGAGTCATTAGAAAGTGCAGGTAACACTCCCTTAAATTCTGGATAGTGTGCCTAATGAGTTTCAAGGGTTATTTTTAAAGTCGATGAGAAATAATTCAATTGAAGGTAATTGGCCATTTAGATGGATTCTAATTGGGCCCTGGGTGAATTTCTTTGGGGGCATGCTGCCCTCTAGGGGTGGAGGCACAGTGCTCGGAGGGAAGGAAGTGTTTTGAGTTTTCATAAAAATGGTTCAATCTTTCGATATAAAGTATCACTATTCTAAAGGCCTTAAAGCAATATCAGATCGATATACTCTTTTTCCCTTTATTTCTTTTTCTTTTCTCTCTTTTTAAGATTTGCTGTATGTCATGAAGTGGGGTCAGAACAGAGAGAAAATGTGCAGGCATATTAAAAACTCTAATCGCCCATTTTCTCATTATTCAGTGCAAGTCTCTTAACCTTTTACTGGGTGGCTACTTTGTGTGGGCCCTCCCGCATGCATGCCTTTTCAGAGTAAGGCATTTAATTTTTGCCTCAATTTTACTGACATATTAAAGACCGCGAAGCCAGGCAACTGCAGAACCTCTATTTGAACCCGTGTTTTCTTATTCCAGAATCAGTGCACCTTCAATTTTGCCACCAGCAAAACACAACTGGCTTTCCCTTAGCTTTTCAAACAACTGGTTATTGGACTGTTTTATGCTTCCAACTTTCTACAGTAATCACGAATTGAGTTTTTATTTTAATAAAGGAAAAGACTTATAGATAAATATTTGACAACCATACATTTTATCATTTGGCAACACTTTTATTCAAAACTTCAATTTTGCTAACACACGTAGAGAGAAAAACAAATACGAAAATTCGTGTCATACTACAGGCCAAGAGCCAGAGAGAAATTTAAGTTCTAAAGGTTCAGGGACTAGGCCAGAAAAACTTATAATAATAGGAACTAAAACTGGAGATACAGGGTAGGCTGTAAGAAAACCAGCATTAAATAATTAAACAGTAAAATTCTGATCTCCTGCAGCTGTGGTGCTTAATACACCATAGGAGGACAGATGAGAGAATCTTAGACCTTTCCAGGTAGGACCTGTGTTCCATGCCCGGAGGGTGCTCCCAGCTAGAACACTTGTCCTTTCCCCTCCGCCCCACCCCCAGCCCACACTAAACAACATCAGCAACAAAAATAAGGAGCACACAACCTAGATCCCTCACATGCACAGTTCACAGTAGGATTCATGCCCCTGTGAGAATCAAATGCTGCTGCTTATCTGACAGGAGGTGGAGCTCAGGCGGTAATGCCAGCGATGGGGATCAGCTGTAAATACCGATGAAGCTTCACTCACTCACCTGCCCGCTGCTCACCTCCTGCTGTGCGGCCCAGTTCCTAATAGACCATGGACTGGTACTGGTCTGGGGCCTGGGGGTTGGGGACCCCTGCCCTAACTTTTAGCAAGTGCTTGCCTAAACTACAGTCACTTAAATCTGCCTTTAACTTGATATCTATTATTCCTATCTCTGGCTGGTGCTGGCAGATTTGATATCAAGAATTTATAGTCAAATATATTTCCCAAATTCTGGTTAGTAACACATAATAACAAGGAAGAGGCCTACCATTCCCAGTGACCACCCCCATATACCATCCAGAGTGCATGCACACCAGCTTGATTGCTTTTCTGATGAGGGAACTGATGTTATCAGCGATGTTCACAATTTCTGAAAACATTTTCTTGAAATGGGCAAAGCAATGCTGACAAGGTTCCAAACAAGAGAAATCTAAAAGTGTAGAGTCCCCTCCTTTTACAAAAGGAACTGCTAGAGGAAGAAAAACATCTGTCATTTAATGTTTAAAGTTGCCTTGGAAAAAGTAGCCTGGATATACCCCTGTCTTTTAAACAAACTCAGTATACAACAATCTGCTAATGTGTGTGAGGGGTGAGTGTGTGAGTGTGTGTGTGTGTGTGTGAGAGAGAGAGAGAGAGTTGGATCTCTTGATCTCTTCCTCTGCTGTCTAACCTAATATGTCCTACTGTAATTTTAGGCTAGTTTCTCTAGTCTAGACCTCAATCAAAATGTACTAGAGCTATTCAGCACCTCCAGAGTTTCTTCCCCATCTCTTCTTCCTTTGTAGATGTGTGAGTAACTTCCTTTCCTATACAGAGGTTTCTTTAGCATTTGGAGATTTCTTTCTCAAATATTTTAAAAATTTCATTCTTTCTCTGGAAAAGATGGCTTTAGCTATAGGTTCAGAAAAATGGACACGTAATATTTGTCACCTCTGTTAATGCTGAAAATGAAAATAAATATCACAATGTTTATAAAGTGTTATTGCTTTTTTTTTTTTTTTTTTTTAGACGGAGGCTCGCTCTATTACCGGGCTAGAGTGCGGTGGTGTGATCTTGGCTCACTGCAACCTCTGACTCTGTGGTTCAAGTGATTCTCCTGCCTCAACCTCCAAGTAGCTGGGATTACAGGCACGTGCCACTATGCCCAGCTAATTTTTGTATTTTTAGTAGAGATGGGGTTTCACCATGTTGGCCAGGATGGTCTCAGTCTCCCGACCTCGTGATCCGCCTGCCTTGGCCTCCCAAAGTTCTGGGATTACAGGTGTAAGCCACCGTGCCCGGCATATATTTTCTTAATAACACTGGATTTCTTGTGACTCACCTTCTTTTGTTATATGCAGTCATCCCTGTCCTGATTTTAAACAAATTTAAGATCAGAGCACTCACTGTTACTGATGGGTGTGTTAACTTTTTTGGGCATAAAGAACTAAATGACCCAGAGTGAACTTACTGAGGAAAAATTTCCCAACAAAATGCTATATTTCCTCTTCTCTCTTCCCTGGAGACTAGTTTGGTTCTCATTCAGTGTCAGGAATGGTTTACGGCCTCCCCAACCTAGCCCCAACCGCAGTTATCCCAGCAGAAAGAGTGTTAGAAGCCCGAGGCACTTCTCAGATCAGTGTCAGCTCAGGCCCCTCTGGGAACACCTAAATCCCACCCAGGCCTAGTCCTATAGCACTGCTACTTCATTCATTTACATGCATTTTAGATATGTTTCCTGAAAGACCGCCATGGGCCGTGCACTGTACTAGGTGCTGCAAATACAGAGGTGAACACGACTTATATGGGCGCTGTCCTCACAGCAACTGACAGAAGTAAATAGGCAATTAGAGAAGTGTGGTTAGAGCCATGATGGGGAAGCAGAGTGCTGTGTGAAGATTCAGTGGGTCCCTTGAGCCGGCCTGGATTGGAGGACGGTCAAGAAAAACCTCTCTGAGGACAATATGCTTGAGTCAATTTCTGAAGGATTCTTCGAAGTTAGAACAAAAGGGAACAAGTATGAAGAAAGAAAAAGGAGATCGATGTTTTTAAAGAACTGGGGAAATTCAGTATAGCTGATTACATTGTGTGTTTGGTGGGGGACAGGATTTGGTGCATGTAGGGCACTGAGGGGGAGTGACTTATGGCAAGAAATGAGACTAAATATTAGCTGAATCCCATGTTAGGAAGTTTCAACTTGATTCTATGAATAATGGGTAGCCACTGCAGAGTGTAAGTGGATGAGCAATATGATCAGGCATACATTATAAACATTACCATGATTACAGTGTGAAGAGGAAAAGTAAAACCAGCAGCAAGAAGACTGTAGAGATCCAGCTGTGAGAAGACAGCGGCCCATTCACTACAGTGGCTCTGGGTTCTGGCCTCTGGACTCATGACTGGACCAAGCCCTCCAGGAATCACTTTGTCTCCCCTCTCTCATTCCCTGATGAAGACAAGTCTCTGTGAGGTTGGTCAGTTTGTTATAGTTGTGTATCAGTCATGTTTTTTTTTCTGCATTTTATGATGCTTTGACAACTTGGGACCTGCCCCTCCCAGGGTTAATTAATTTCTGAGATAGCAAACAACTTGCCTGTGAGCATGCCTTTCGTATGCAAACTAACTAGTCCAGAACTCTTACTTCAAACCATCTCTAGCTGGTTTTTACACTTCAGAAGGCAATATTCCTCTGCTCTAATCATTCCAGGGCCATGCAGTGGACAACTGAGGACCACCCCAATAGCCCAGAGCCCATAGAAATTATTCAAACCATCCAATCCTACCCCTGCTTTGCTCCTTACCCTTTCTCTCCCATCCTTTCCCATGACAACCACAATCAAGGCTTCTGCCCGTGCTTTCCCTTTTCTCTTTCTGCCTCTCCTCTGACCCACATTTCGAAATCTATGTGTCCCTGTGTGGTACTGCAAGCTCCCTCCTCCTGAGAACTGTGAGAAACAGACTACCTTTTCAGTGGCAACTGTCTCCTCATGTGTTGGCCTCACCATACCTGAATAAAAACAATATCCCAGGTGCATTTCCAAACAAGTGCATTTCACTTAGGTAAGCTCCACGCTGTCTATGAAACTTTTAAGAATTCATGACTAATTTTATTTAAAGTGCTAAACAGTACTCAATGGTCTTGAAGTGTCCAAAATGAAAAATAAAATAAAATAAAAATAAAGTGCTAAATAGGTTTACTCAGTGCTCTTACATGTCATTCTACTTCTGCCATCTGTATAGTTTTATGAGTTCTGAAGGAGAGTTAACTGTCTTTTGTGAATCTTAAATACAGGCAATATTAGATTTAGCAATCTGGAGATCATTGGTGGCCTTCATGCAAAGAGTTTCAGCAGAATGGTGGGGCAAAATCTAACCGAGGGACTTCTCCTTTGACCAAGGAGAATTAGCAGTAATAGGAATCACTCTTCAATTATAAACAACTCGAAAGCTTGATGAAAATAGATGAAATAATCATTTTCAGATGTTGGACAATAGGCAGCATAGGACTGATCACTGAGAGAAGGGAAAAAAAGAGATGCACTTTAGGATGTCCTAGCTTACTACTGAGAGCCAGTGTTTAGCCACAGCGCAGGCAGGAGAACATAAAGAACCTGACATGCCTGCTGAGCTAAAGAGATCAAGATCAGGTCTGAGGATACCAAAATGGCTAGAACTTATAAGGCAGAGTACCAAAAAAGAGTGTTGCACAGAGAAAAATCTCTGAAGATCTGAAGAGGAGTCCCTTTGAGACTTTGGCTGAGTATTAATCTGAACATACATAAGAGAAAACACCCCCTGGCTGGGAAAAGGCTTCCCAGAACAATTCTGAAGATCACACAGAATTGGAAGGCATTCATGTTCCCACTAACCAAAATAAAGAGACTCCATACAATAGTTAGCACCCCCAGAAGGCTCATGCCTAGTGAGGGAACTCAATTAGTCCCAAAATAAAGGTTTCTCTGGACCCATTCTAAAAAAAAAACTTAAAATCCAACCTTAAATGATACTGAAGTACCTTAACTGGATGCCAGGAAAAACAAAACCACAACAACAACAAAAAACCTCTACAATCTTTAAAGGAATACATTAAAGCCAGTAGCAAAGAAAGCAAAATTTACAATTTTGTATCCAATTAAAAATTACCAGGTCTTAAAAGATGCAGAAAAATATTACCCATAACCAGAATAAAAAGCAATTAACAGAAACAGACCCAGAAAAGCCATACATCATGGAATTCATAGACAAGAACCTTAAAACAAGTACCACAATCTTATAAATATGGTCAAGATGTAAAGGGAAACATAAACTTGATGAGGAGAAAAATGGAAGATTTAAAAAGAGCCAAATAAAACTTCTAGAGGTAAAACATGCCATACCAGGAAAGAAAACTGAACTTGAAGACACTGCTATAGAAACTAACCAACATGAAGCACAAAGAGAAAATGATACTGAAAAAAAAATGGCACAAGATCTTAGTGAGTTGTGGGACTAATCAAAGTGTCTCATATTCATTTAACTGGAGTCCTAGCAGGAGAGAAGACTTGGGGAAGAGAAGTGGACATAAAATGTAATTGAAGAAATAATGGCCCCCAAAATCCAAATTTGTTGAAATTAAAAAAAACATAGATCCAAAAACCCCAAGCGGAATAAATATAAACTAAACCTCTTTAGGCACTTCATAATCAAGTTATTGAAATCCATTAATAATGAGAAAACATTTTAAAGCAGTCAGGGGAAAGAGATACACCACATAAAGAGAAACAAAGATAAAAAATGACAGCTGACTTACCAGAAACCACACAGGTCAGAAGACAACAGAACGTCTTTAAAGTGCTGACAGAAAAATAAAATAAAATAAATTGTTGGCCCAGAATAGTACACCCATGAAAATATATCTTTCAAAAATCAAGGTGAAAGAAAACCATTTTAAGATCAACAAGAGGGGAGGAGTTGCTATTCGACAATTATAAAATTTCAGTTCTGTAAGTTGGTTAAGTTCTATAAAACTATTGTCCAATCTGTAGTTAATGATACTGTATTGTACACTTAAAAGTTTGTTAAGAGGGTAGCTCTTACGTTAAGTGTTCTTACCACAATTTTTTAAAAAAGAACAACGATAACAAAAGCTTAGAAAGTTAATTGCCAGTAGCCCTATACAACAAGAAATAAAGGATTCCTGGATCTACACAAAGAAATAAGTGCCAGAAATGGTAAACATGTGAATACATATAAAAGTTTTTTCTGATTTAGAAAATGTTTTTAAAAGGTAATCGACTATAAGCAAAACTAACAACTCTGTATTATAAGGTTTACAGCATACACAGAAGCAAAATATCTGAGAACAATAGCACAAAGGAATGAGGGGGAATTTGGAAGGATGCCTTTGTAAGGTTCTTAAACTATACATGAAATGGTATAATATTTTTTGAAAGTAGACTGTGATAAGTTAAAGATGTATACTGTACACCCTAGAGCAGCTATTAATTTTTTGAAAAACAAAACAAGTATAGCTAGTAAACCAAATGTGCAGATAAAATCATTAGGGAAATGCAAATCAAAATCACAATGACGGACTGAGCATGGTGGCTCATGCCTATAATCCCAGCATTGTGGAAAGCCAAGGCAGGGGGAATCACTTGAGGCCAGGAGTTTGAGACCAGCCTGGGCGACACAGTGCCTCGTCTCTACAAAAGATTTTAAAATTAGCCAGGCATCGTGGCATGTACCTGTATTCTAGCTACTCAGGAGGCTGAGGTGGGAGGATCAATTGAGCCCAGGAATTTAAGGCTGCATTGATCTATGATTATGCCACTGCACTCCAGCCTAGATGACAGAGCAAGTCTCTATCTTAAAAAAAAAAATCACATGAGCTATTACCTCACACCTGTTAGGATAGCTATTATCAAAAAGATGAAAAATAAAAAGTGCTGGAGAGGATATGGAGAAAAGACAATGCTTGTGCACTGTTAGTAGGTATGTAAATTGGCACAGTCATTATGGAAAACAGTAGAAAGATTTCTCAAAAAGTTAAACATAGAACTAGCATATATATAGCAATCCCACTCTTGGTATATGTCTGAAGGAAATGCAAGCAGTATTTTGAAGAAATATCTGCACCCTTGTGTTCACTGCAGCATTATTTAAAATAGTCAAGATATATAAACACCCTAAATGCCCATCCATGGGTGAATGGATAAAGAATATGTTTTATAGAGAGAATGGAATGTTTATTCAGCCATAAACATGAAGGAAATCCTGCCATACACAACACAGATGAAACTGGAGATCATAATGCTAAGTGAAATAAGCCAGGTAGAGAAAGACAAATACTGTATGATCTCACTTATATATGGAATCTAAAAAAGTCAAATTCATAAAATCAGAGTAGAAATGTAGTTGTCAGGGGTTGGGAGTGAAGGAAATGGGGAAATGTCAGTCAAAGGGTAAAAACTTTCAGATTTAAGATGAATAGGTTCAGAGATCCAACAAAGAGCATGGTAACTGTGGTTAATAACACTGTATTGATTAATTGCAATTTGCTAAGAAAGTAGATCTTAAGTGTTCTCAACACACACACAAACTTAACTATGTGGAGTAATACGTGTGTTAAGTTGATTGTGGTGATCATCTCGCAATATACATGTAAAAGAAATCATCATGTTGTATACTTTAAACATATACAATTTTATTTGTCAATTACACTGCAATAGAATTGGAAAAAGTAAAAAATAAATAGTGGGGATAAAAATAGATAATTTTAAAAATCCTTGTTTAATCCAAAGGAAGCAGGATAAAAGGAAAAATAAACAGAAGAGACAAACAGGAAACAAACAGCAAGATGGTAGAGTTAAACCCAACCATACATACAACAATTACATTAATATAAATGTTCTAATCACTCCAATTACAAGGCAGAGATTATGATATTAAATAAAATATATACTAACCCAATTACACATTGTATACAAGAAAATCACTTTAAAAATCAATTTTTAACATATTAATCTATGTAAAAGCACACAGATTAAAGTAAAAAGGATGGAAAATATATAACATGTAAAACACTGATGAAAAAAAGAGTAGCTATATTATCTCCGAAAAGACTTCCGAACAGAGAATATTACTGAGGATAAAGAAGGGCATTTGATAATATTAAAGGGATCAATTAATCAAAAGGATATAACAATCCAAAATTTATATGCACTTAATAATAGAGCTTCAAAATAAATGAGTCAAAAAATGATAGAACTGAAAGGAAAAATACATCAATCCACAATTTTAATTGGATATTTCAACATTCCTCTGTCAGTAATAGATAGAACAAGTAAAAATAATTTTTTAGAACAAAGACAGAAGACCAGAATAACATTATCAACCAACTTGACTTATTTGACATTTATAGAACTCTCTATTCAATTACAACAGAATATACATTCTTTTCCAGGGCACGTGAAACATTTACTAACAGAGACTATATGCGCAGGCATTAAACAAATTCAATATGTTAAAAAGAACTGAAATCATGTAGAGCACATTCTCCTTTTTCTTTTTTTTGATACAGGGTCTCACTCACTGTTGCCCAGGCTAGAGTACAGTGGCACAATCTCCGCTCACTGCAGCCTCAACCTCCCGGGCTCAGGTGATCCTCCTCAAGTAGCTGAGACTACAGGCATGCGCCACCACACCTGGCTAATTTTTTGTACTTTTTGTAGAGACGGGTTTTGCCATGTTGCCCAGTCTGATCTCAGACTCCTAGGCTCAAGTAATCAGCCTGCCTCCACTTCCCAAAGTGCTGGGACTACAGGCCTAAGCCACCACGCCTGGCCTAGAACACATTCTTTGACCACAATGGAGTTAAAGTAGAAATAAAGAAGAAAAATATATTTGAAAAAAATCCTAAAATATTTGGAAATTAAAAATATACTTTAAAATAACCCATGGGTCAAAAAATAAACTGTAAGAGAAATTAGAAATAATTTGAAGTAAAGGAAAAGGAAACACAGTGTATCAAAATGTGTGGGATGCAACAAAAACAATGTTTAGAAAAAACTTAACAGTAATAAATGCTTATGTTAAAAAATAAGAAAGGCCTAAAATCAATAATCTAACTTTCTACCTAAAACTAGGGAAAAAGACCAAATTAAATGCAAAGTAAGTGGAAAGAATGAAAAATGAAGATATGACTGCAAATCAATGTAGAATAAAAAACAAAAATAAATAAAACAAAAAATTTGTTCTTTAAAAAGATAACTGAATTTGATAAAAGTATAGCCAGATTGGTCAAGAGAGAAAGAGACAGGCAAAAATTATGAATGTGAGGAATAAAAAGGGGGGGTTCACACAGATCCTAAGACATTGTAATGATAATAAGGGAATGTTATGAAAAAAATGTATGCCAATATATTTGATAACTTAGTTTTAATGAAAAAATTGCTTTAAACACACAAACTACCAGTCTTACTCAAGACTGGATATGGATAACCTGAATAGCTCTATATCTATTAAAGAGGTTGAATTCATAGTTTAGCACCTTCCCACAAAGAAAATACCAGACTCATGTGGTATTACTGGTCAACAGAACTAAACAAAGAGAAGAAATAGTACCAATTCTACTAAAACTTTTTCAGAAAATAGAAGAAGAAGGAACAATTTCCAAGTCATTTTATGAGACAAGCATTAATCCCAGTACCAAAAACAGATAAAGATATTTTATTTTATTTCATTTCGTTATTTTTTGAGACATAGTCTCATTCTGTTGGCTAGGCTGGAATACAGCAGTGCAAACTCAGCTCACTGCAATTTCTGCCTCCCAGGTTCACGTGCTTCTTATGTCTCAGCCTCCCCAGCAGCTGGCATTACAGGTGCGCGCCACCATACCAAGCTAATTTTTGTATTTTTAGTAGAAATAGGGTTTTTCCCTGTTGCCAGGCTGGTCTCAAACTCCTGGCCACAAGTGATCCACTTGCCTTGGCCTTCCAAAGTGCTGGGATTACAGGTGTGAGCCACAATGTCTGGCAAAAATCAGATAAAGATATTTAAAAAGATAAAAACGAAAACCCTGCAGACCAGTATCCCTCATGAATATGTGGAAAACTCCTTTATAAACCTTTGAGAAAATTGAATCCAGAAACACATATTTTTAAAAAATCACAGTAAAGTGAGGATTTATACCAAGAATGTGAAGTTGGTTTAACATTCAAAAATCACAAAAAATTTTAGGTTCTTATACCACAATTTTTTTTATAAAAACAGAAAAAGTCTATGTAATCCATCATGTTAATAGACTAAAATAAGAATTGAATCAGTAGATGCAGTAGATGCAGAATCAGTAGATGCAGAAAAATCATATAAGAAAACACAACATTTTTTCACAGAATACAGGAGAACTTTCTCAACTTTATAAAGGGCATAAAAAAAATATTGGCCAGGCATGGTGGCTCATGACTGTAATCCCAGCACTTTGGGAGGCCAAGGTGGGAAGATTGCTTGGGTCAAGGAGTTTAAGACCAGCCTGGGCAACATAGTGAAACTCCATCTCTACAAAAAATAAAAATATTAGCCAGGCATGGTGGCATGTGCCTGTGATCCCAGCTACTTGGGAGGCTGAGGTGGGAGGATCACTTGAGCCCAGGAAGTTCAGGCTGCACTCCGCAGTGATCACGCCACTGCATTACAGTTTGAGTGACAGAGCAAGACCCTGTCTCAAAAAAAAAAAAAAAAAAAATCTTACAGCTAACATCGTACTTATTGATGAAAGACTCACTGCATTCCCCCTAAAATCAGAAACAAGGCAAGGATTCCATTTCAGTCCTTTTGCTTAACATTGCAGTAGAGGTTGTAGGCAATGTAATAATGCATAAATAAAAATAAAAGGCATACAGAAGAAAATAAGAAGTAAAACTGCCATTATTTGCAGATAACAGAATATCCTAAGGTATATATAAAATTAAGAGAAATAATAAGTAAATTCAGCAAGGTTGCAATATGCAAAATCAATATACAACACCTAATTGTATTTTATATACCAGTAATGAGCAATTAGAAATTAAATTTTTTAATACCATTATAAAAACGCCAAAAACATAAAATGATGGCTGGACACGGTGGCTCACGCCTGTAATCCCAGCACTTCGGGAGGCCAAGGTAGGTGGATCACAAGGTCAAGAGATTGAGACCATCCTGGCCAACATGGTGAAACCCCATTCTTTCTATAGTTTTATTATAGTCTACCTCAATGATGACTATATTTTAAAAAATGGAAGGGAGAAATTGAAGACTGAGTACAGACAAAAGAATTTAAAGAGTTTTGCTAAGGGGATGATAGTTGGCAAGGAAGGCGGGTCAAGAGAAAATAGTTTTATTTTTAAGATGGGGGAATGGCAGCATGTTTGTATGCTGATAGGAATGAGGCAGTAGATGAAAAATGATAATAAAGAAGCAAGAGAGCAGTATTGCTAGAGTGACATCCTTGGAGTAGCCAGGAGCAGGGACCACTCATCTGTAGTAACAGCTGGGAAGACAGAGTGTAATAGAACACTTGCCATGAAGACAGTAATGTGGTGGGAGGAGCCTTGAGTGTTTGTTCTCTCTTCTGGTTGCTTCAGTTTTCACAGTGAGGTAGAAATCTGAATGCAAGGATGGGAGAGGAGGCAGTTGAGAAAAATAAAATCGTGTGAAATAGCCAAGAAGCATAGTGGGAGAATGAATGGTCTGAAAACAACTAGCATGATGACCTGCCAACATTAAGGACCCATTTGAAGTTGGTGGTCATAACTTTAACATGAGACCAGTCAATAAGGTCGTGCATTTTTCTCCAGCTGCCTGGTTGCAGGTGCAAAATGGTATAGCCAATTTGGAAAATAGTTGGGAAGTTTGTTTTACAGTTAAATGTTTACTTATTATACATTTCATTCTGGGACCCAAAGAGAAGGAACAATTCCCCATATAGGACATTTCCGTCTTGTGGCAGAGAGGAAAGAGATCATGGCAGAACCACAAGATGGCCGTTAAAGCTTCTGAATGCAAAGGGTGTGTCTCACTTCTCACATTTCATTGGCTAAAGCAAAGCCACATGATCAAGCTTAATAGACATGTCAGAGAGGGGCATTGGAGAGTAGCTGAGTGCAGGTACACAGTAGATGAGAATTAGATTTAACAAGAGTTATAGTTTTGTCACAAGTACAATAAAGTGAGGGGGAATGGGGGTTGAGGGTATGTGCAAGGGAGTAATAATGATTTGTTGTGAAACTTAAGTTGGGTAAGGTAGGAAGTGAGAGCATCAAAGGACTGGGAGATAGTGAAAGATGGAAGGACTAATGGTTTGGAATCAAAAGCCCTAGAGATGTATATACACCACTTCAGCCAACAATCCACACTTAGAAATTTATCCTTAAGAAATATTGATGCAGATGCTCAACACCTATAAGAAAGTTCATTTCAGTGTTTTATGTAACAATAAAAATTATATAAAATACAATTATATAAATACTCATCAATTGACAATTGGATAAAAAATAATTGTGGGCCTAAGACCGGGCGCAGTGGCTTATGCTTGTAATCCCAGCACTTTGGGAGGCCAAGGCGGGCAGATCATGAGGTCAGGAGTTTGAGACCATCCTGGCCAACATTGTGAAACCCTGTCTCTACTAAAAATACAAAAATTAGCCGGATATGGTGGCGTGTGCCTGTAGTCCCAGCTACTCGGGAGGCTGGGAGAGGAGAATTGCTTGAACCCGGGAGGCAGAGGTTGCAGTGAACTGAGATGGCACCACTGCACTCCAGCCTGGGCAACAGAGCGAGACTCCATCTCAAAAAAAAAAAAAAAAAATTGTGGGCCTAAATTAAAAACAAGTTTTGTGTGGTTGTGTGTTTATCTCTGTCAGGTAATATGCCAGGCTATGCTGTGGATTTATCTGGAAACTAGACTGACAAATTTATCTGCTGTTTTTTGAATTACTGTTGTTTGTCCTTGCATTGTTCTGATACCCATATCATAACATAAGTTGACTGTCTAGAATGATTAAGTAATAAAACAAATGAGAATGCAATTGGGTCCTTGCAGTGGTTTTTATCATCCTACAGATGAGTCATGATAGAATAGTCTCCACAGGAACAGCCCTCAAATTAGGCAGGTAAACACAGTGCCTTTCCTCATTCCTAATGACTGTGTTCTGGAGCCATTCGACCTGCCTGTAAAATTGAGTGATGAACACTCTCCCAAATGTCACCAAGAGCCTGTGGTGTAGATGTTGCTCAAGGTAGTGGGAAAAGACATAGTTCCCGAATTCTTCTGGAGTCTATAGTGTAAAGTATATCATGCATGTAGTATATGCTTTATAGTGTGAAATATCACATTGCCATAGTTCTTCTTCTGGAAGTTTAGAAGATAATTAACATTGCAAACATGCATAATATTTGGCTATAAATTAAACATTTAAGAAAAATACAAATGTCATAGAGTGTATTATTTTTCAAAGTCTTATCTGTAATACCCCTCCCTGTCATGCTGATCTCAAGTTTGATCATGTGGCTTTGCTTTAGCCAATGAAATGTGAGAAGTGATACATGCCCTTTTCAATCAAAAGCTTTAACAGCCATCTCATGGTTCTGCCATGTTCTCTTTCCTTTCTGCCATAAGACTGAAATGTCCTATATAAGGAATTGCTTCTTCTGTTCAGTTCCTAGAATAAAAACAAAATGGAGCAAGGCTGCAGGGACATGGAACATAAATAAGAAACAAACCTTTGTAGTTAAACCACTGTTGTGTTAGGGTTGTATGTTTCTACAAAACCTAGTCCAGGCTGACTCTGTAATCAAGTAAACAAATTGAATATTATATTGGATATATGTAAAAGATATGCATTCTATAGAATGGAGTAGGGACTACATTTGTTCAGTGCCAAGTATCAGATACTATACATGTATACATGCATTTAATATGGGTATTAACCATATGTGGTAGATGACATTATCTCTAGATTAAGTTTGAAGACACTGAGACTAAAAGTAATTGCACACAATCAGTGTGACAGCCAACATGAAATTTTTTACTTCAGAATCAAGGCTTCATTAATGCCCAAGTCCATGCTCTATCCACTCTATCACACTGCCTTTGGAGTGAAAGAGTTTTGAATTTAGTTGCAGCTTTAGACCAGATAGACCTAACAAGAATTCTTCTCTTTCAATTCATTAGGGAAAGCTTTATGGACAAAGTAGAAGTTCTGAAACTGAAACCACTTGAAGAAAAGAGTCTGGTGACTTATAGAGGAGAACATTTTCTAGCAAAACGTATAGTCTAAAAAAAGTTCCAGGGCAAAAGTGTGATGACTGGATGATGAAAGCACAGTGGACTTCCCTGAGATGACCTGAGGGTTCCAAGGTCATCAGCGTGTAATCAAACGTGGGAATCGAGGAGGTCTTGGTGAGGACCTCCTAGAACCAGGATGAAGGAAAGTCTCGAGCAAGAGCCATGAGGTTATGAGAAAGTATCAGCTGGATAGAGCAGCCATAGATAGCTATGTTCATAAAGTTAAGGGTCAACAGAATGATTAAGAGAGTTAATTTGAATTTTTTTGGTAGACATTTTGGCTTTTTTAAAAAAAAATGAAATGATGAACTACTTTTTTCATTTAAATGACAAATATAGATTGTATACATCCAAGGTGTACAATGTGATGATTTGATATGGGTACACTGTGTAATGATTACCATAGTCAAATTAATTTACATACCCATCACCACCCATGCTGTATCTTAGAACTTGTTCATCTTATAACTGAAAGTTTGTGGCCTTTTACTAACATTTCTCCATAGTCCCCACCTTTGCTCTTCTACTCTGTTTCTGTGTGTTTGAGACATTTTTAGATTCCACATATAAGTGAGGTCATACAGCATTTGTCTTTCTCTGCCTGGAGTATTTTACTTAGCATAATGTTATCCAGTTTCATCCATGTTGTCCCACATGGCAGAATTTCCTTCTTTTGTGGTGAAATAATATTCCATTAAAATATTACATTTCCTTTATCCATTCATAGGTTGTTGCCGCCTCCTAGCTATTATGAATAATAATGCAATGAACATGAAGATACAGATGTCTTTTCAAGGTACTGATTTCATTTCCTTTGGATGTATACCCAGCAGTGGGATTGCTGATCATATGGTAGTTCTATTTTTAATTTTTGAGGCACCTTCATACTGTTCTTAATGGTCATAGCAATTCACATTCCCAGCAAGAGTGCACTAGGATTCCCTTTTCTTTTCATCCTAGCCTACACTTATTGCTTGACTTTTTGCTAACAGCCATCCTAATAGGCATGAGGTGATATCTCATTGTGGTTTTTATTTGAATTTCTCTGATGATCATTGATATTGAGCACCTTTCCATGTATCTTTTGGCCATCTGTATGTTCTTTTTTTGAGGAATATCTATTCAGATTTTTTGCTTTTTTTTTTTTTTTTTGAGACAGAGTCTCACTCTGTCACCCAGGCTGGAGTGCAGTGACACGATGTCAGCTTACTGCAATCTCCACCTCCCAGGTTCACACCATTCTCCTGCCTCAGCCTCCCGAGTAGCTGGGATTACAGGTGCCCACCACCACACCTGGCTAATTTTTTTGTATTTTTAGTAGAGATAGGGTTTCAACATGTTGGCCAGGATGGTCTCGATCTCCTGACCTCATGATCTGCCCGCTTCGACCTCCCAAAGTGCTGGGATTACAGGCGTGAACCACTGCACCCAGCCCTTTTGCCCATTTTATAATTGGGTTTCTTTTAAGCTATTGAGATGTGTGAGTTATTTATATATTTGGGATATTGATCCCTTATCACATATAGAGTGTGCAAATATTTTCTCCCATCCTGTAGGTTGCCTTTGCACTTTGTTGTTTGCTTCCTTTGCTTTGCAAACAATGAGCTATGATCCCATCTTTGCAGAAATTGCTTTCTTGCCCTCTATCAAGTCTGAGTAAGTAAAATCAGAAAATTACTTATCTGCCTGTGGCTTCACAGCATCATTAATTGCTAAGAAGTTAGAATTCTAGGTCCTCCTTTGTAGCTGCAGATCAGTTGACTAAGATATCATATGGTGACAATGGTGGGAGAAAGTTAATGCTGCACAAATTGCAATGATGCCTTTTCAGAAGGATTGAAGGCAACTAAACATTCTGAAATCAGTTTAGAATGAATCATTCACATATGTTCTAAGGCTTACTTGGCACAAGCTTTAGGTAGTGGTGCTTGTGAGGTAGAGTTTCCCTGAAAACCTTATAGCCCTGCCCAAACCCACATATCCTGCCAAGTGAGAAACAAGCAGCCAATTCCTTCTGTCTATACCCTTATGACCTTCTCCATAGTCTAGTTTTCACCTTGTTAATGGCAGAAATGGTTGTGGTTTCCAATACATGATTCTTGGAAGAGGGGAACAATCAGAGGCTGCAGAGAAGGGAAAGCAAGGATAAAGGGGGAATTGTTCTTTCCACCACGTCAATATGGTCTCAGTAACTTCTCTTTGTGGTTATAGTTTACAATGATGCAAATGAGATTTCCTCCCTTACGTTTTAATAGTTTACCTGGGTCTCCTATTCATTACACTACTATTCTACTAATGAGAGAGCAAATGTCATTATGAAAACAGATAGATTTAAGAGCATAGCTTATTTACACATTTCTGTGCTTTCCATATTATCTTACAAAGAAAATATTTGTCCTATATGGGTTTGATAAGTGGGATTATAAATCAGAGTTTTTCTTTCTTATTAAAAGAACCCAACATTTCCAAAATCTGTTTCATACCCACTTATATGTGTAGTACATTCATGCATAGTATATTTATATAATTAAAATGCAATTGTGGAATTAGGTCCTCCCATTGTTGCGCATACCTGTGCTATTTGAATATATATTCACTTTTCTCTTAATCAGTGCCAAGCTCAGTGAGGAGAGGGAGGATTCTTGTAGTGTCTCCTGAACATCAAAATTCTGGCAGATCTATTTTATTTTGTTAGTCCTCTCTGCTCCCATGCAGCACCACATTGGTAAATTGACTAGCCTTATTTAAGATAATGCTCCATCCACAAATGAGAAATAAGAAAATCCTCCCCTTTCTCGACATTTTAACTTGAGTTAAAAATGAAACCTTCTCTCAGTGAATCAGGAGCACAACTGAACACTTGGTCAGATAGATGACTAAATCTACGAGTGTGATGAGGCAGTAAAAACAGTGCCCCAGGAAAGCAGTTCTATCTTTACTCACCATACCAGGTTTCTTTGTCTTTTCCTGATAATTTGGGTTTCTTACTCTGCATTTCAATTTTGTTGTAAAAATGCGTTCTTGCCATTGTACTGATGCTTATCTGATTGCCACTGACCCTGACATGTTATGATGAATTGGGGTTGGCTCTAGTTGAGAATTTACCTACCAAGGGATCATTTAAACCAAAGCTGATAACTTCTTTAGGGTTGGAGGAATAGCTACTTAATACACAATCCTTCACCAAAGCCGGAGGAGTAAGATGTAACAGAAGGAAGATATCTCAGGTGAGAGATTCAAGGACTCTTTTCACGATTTTTTTCTGGACACTTTTGTCTCTACTTTAATTTGCAAACAGACTCCATTCCCTTCCTAGTGAATTCTGCCAAATAGCCTTTCCAGTCCCTGGGAAAAGAGAGAGAGAGAGAGAGAGAGAGAGAGAGAGAGAGAGAGAATGCAGTTGGTATTGGGAGTAGAGAAAAGGGACAGTCCAATTCAGAGCTTTTAGCTAGGGTAAAGCATTTGAAAACCTGTTGACTCATAAAGGACCACCCAGTCAGAATACAGGAGGAAATAAAGCATGACCAAAGCCCCCTCAGAGGTTTCTTCCATAGCACCCTACTGATAGAAGCTCTGTGAAACTATAGCACCTTTTGAAACTACATGACTTCAGTAAAGACCTAGAAAGTTTTTATTAGTCCATAGGGCAGGTTATTGAAGAGAAATGATCTCTACCTCTAATATGTGATAATGTTACTTTCCTGGATAAATAATAAAACTCTCCACTGGACATGGTTGGAAAAAATGAGAATCTCTGTGCTTGAGAATTTGAGAGAGATATGGAAAAAATCTGGGGTTGAAGGAGAACTCGACTGTTTCATAGCCTAAGCAATTCTTCCTGGTTTTTCTCTAAAGTTAAGTCACCACTCTATGGCTCAGCATCAAAGGAATACTGCTCAATTCTTTGTTGGACTTACAGACTGAGTAACATGAGTGGTGGGTACAAACGAGAAAGGGAAATACCATACACCTTTAATTATGGGGGGAAATGGAGGTGGAGGGAAATAAACAGGCACAGAATTGGAATTCTGAAAATAATTAAGATACTATTTAGTAAACCCTCTCCCACAGCATGGCTTGGAAAAATGATAAGTGACCCAAAGGGATACAATTTCTCATGCAAATTTTGAATACTAACTGATGGAATCACAGTCACAGAAATCACCTTGCCCTGGGGTAGGGACAGTACTTTCTCGGCATTCAGAAAACTCTCTTGACTATTGTTCATGTTTACAAATAACCTGCTTAGGCTGGTTAACTGATACACCCAGAAAAGATAAACATGTTTAACAAAATATTCAGCCATGCTAAGCCCACAACTATCCTGCCTGGGCAGTTTATTCGTGAGTCAAAAATGTTTTAAAGGTAGTGAAGAGAGAGAGAGAGAAAGAGACAAATTAATGGTGTCAACAAGGCAAGAGAATAATAAATGTCTAAATACCATTGTCAGAAGGGAAAGTATAGGTTAACCTGGGCTCAAATAACTTCCTTCTAACCCATCAGGAGCACATTATTTAAGATACTGAAGTGCTAAATTGGTCAGATAAGAGACGTGCTGAGATGTAAGATCCATTGAACAATGAGGAAAGAAAATTGAAGTGAAAATTGCAATCTCCGCCTGCAAGAAACTTAAGTGAGATGAAGTGAAAATGTTTACAATGGAAGAAGAGAGAGAAAATGTGAAGAGGATGATGTTTAATAATAAGGATAAAACTGGAGACCTAGGGAGGAAAAAGATGGCTGGGAAGAGGGTTAGGAAAGCCAAAGCCATCAAGCTCCACAGGGACCTGGGCCTGGGATTGGGGAAGAGCTTAGGGGAGCTTATCAGAGTCAGCAGCGACTCTACCCAACACTGAGTGGACAACTGGTGTCAAGGCAGCAGCAGCACATGTTTTTCTGGAAGAAGAATGGTGGAATGATAGTCACAGGAGAATGTTGCAAGCTGCAGACAAGAGCTCTGTTTCATTGACAGCTGGACAAGAATGCTCGCAAAGACTTAGCAGAAACACAGAAGCTGTGTCCAAAAACTGGAAGTCTGGTAGACAGGGGGAGAGACAAAGACAGAGAGACATAGAGATGCTAAAGAACATGTCTTTAGAGATGCATCTGTGAGGAAGGTAACCAGAACTGTCAGCCGGGAGAAATAAAACAAAGAAGGGGAAACAATTCCCACCATGTGGCCAGAGGTGTAAGATCTGGAACTAGACGGCTTGGGTTCAGATCCTCTATGTCACTTACCAGCCGTATGACCCTGGACAAGTCTCTTCTAACCTTTTTGGCCTTCAATTTTCCCACTTGTGTAGTGGGAGTAGTAGTATCTGGTGGAGTTGTGAAAATTGAATGAGTTAATATGAGGTAAAGGTCTTAGAATATTGCCTGATACACAGAAAACATCAGTACATACTAGCAACTACTGTGATATGTGGCCAGCCTCTGTGAGTGGCCCTGAGCTGTGTAGAGTACTTTTAAGTGTGTTTTTTCATCCTTTCAGACTATCCATAAGAGAGCTTATAAGGGTTGTGTGATTATATATATATATCAGGAAGCTGAGACAACTTTGGGATTCTTGTCAGTGGGAGGCATCTCTGGCCCCAGAGTGACTCCAAGGCTCCGCTGGGCTCCCAGAGCTGCCGGCGTTCCAAATACCAAAAATTCAACCCTGTGGACCATGACAGGGCAGAAGGAGTTTCTCCGGAGATGAGCCTGGGACCCTTTGAAAAGTGCCTGGGGACCTGAAGAGCACCGGCGAACTTGTAACCCCTAGTTAAGCCACATTTTTATATGTATATAATCATTACCTCCAGATTACAATTGTTCTGAAGGGCAGCTTGTAGGGTGACTAAATATGAGTTAAGCTGAGGACAACAGTAACATTCCTTGAGGTTTATAACTGCTTTGGGCAAGCCACTTAGCCCCACCCATTGAGCCTCAGTTTCTTTCTTTCTTTTTTTTTTCCTGCCTCAGTTTTACGTGTACAAATAGCACAGGAGGACCCCAGCCCCATGCAGACGGCAGCCTGGGGGTGGGGGAGTCACACCAGTCCTGTCCTCATGGACATGTCCCCATGTCCAGATAGATAGACAGAGATATCTATCTGAAGCCTTTATAGGGGCCTGGGCACCTTTTGGAGCCTGAGCTGGAACTGAAGCGGGAGCTGCAGCCTGGGCCTTGGTTTGATCCTTTGCCTTGGCCTTTGGCTGGCACAGCTTGAGCCCCTTGGCAATGCGGGCACGGGCATGCTTCCCAAGTTTGGGGTGGGCAATGTAGGCAAGTCATTTGAGCTTGCAGGTGACACCCTTCGGAATCTTGGGGTTAACCTCCTTGGCCTTTACGAGGGCCTTGATAGCCTCGGCACATACACTCACAGCCTTGGCATTGCTGGCCTGCATCTTCTTTAGGCTCTTCTTGTTGTGCTCTTGGCAAAGCACATGTTCCTCAGGAACTTAGGGTCCATTCCCTTAAGAGATTTGTATCTTTGTGATTGGGGTTTCTTGACACTATTTCTGTGCCATTTTCGGGACTGGTTGTGTGTGGTGTGGTTCTTGGACTTGGCCATGTCTGCACCTTAAGCCGCAGGTCCCCAAGCCGCAGTTTCTTATCTATAAAATGGGAGTATTATGTATACAGTGTAAGGTTTCTGTGAGATCAACTGTGAAAGTACCTTTAAAAATGCCTGCAACACAGTACGTTTCAATAAGTTTGCTGAGTGTGAATCTGCCTTGTGATGTTGGTGATGGGTGATGGGTTTGAAGTACTTTCATCCAGGATGGGAGATCTTAACTGTTCTCACAGTGGCTGGTAGAGAGGCCTTGGGTTCAGCTTTTGTCAGAAATTGTAAGAATTCATCTTTAGACCACAAAGGAGATTGACATTTATCTTTTCCAGCTTATCTTGTGAACAACAAAAAAAATCCCCCAAAAATCTGACAGCCTAGGTCTCTGAAATGGATTGGTGGTGATGAGAGTGCTAGTTAAACTTTCCCCTAAGGTTTTTTCCTCTTTAAAGGAAGGACCTTATCAGCCTAAAGGAAAAGGAGAGAAAGGAAGTGGGCCACAGTTTATACCTTATGGCTGCCAGTGCTTCTGTCACAGGAAACTGCTGCCCTCCTCTTGCCCAGTACACAAGCTGGCTCCTGAGTGGGCAACTTGCTGGGGCTCTGACCACTCCACTGGCAAGCAGCTGAATGTGGCTTCTTGGTTAGACCTCTGCTGACCATTTAGGACCAGGATGAATTTGACTAAGGCTGTGCTCCCACAAAGAGCCTCCTGGAAAGAGGCCCTCTCTACAGTCTAAATCCCTTTGTCCTGTGGGCCTCCTATGTAAGGCCTTCTCCACTGCACACTCCAAGACCTACTTTCTCTGGAGCTCTAGAAAAAGTCAAGGAATTGGACAGGCAGTGATTTTTCAATTTCTCCCTAAGAATATTCTGGTGGTCTTTGTCACCACCAATAGTAGAAAACAAGCTACCAATCTTTACCCCCCTTCTTGGAGAAAATACCCCTATGCAGGAAGAGCATGGAAAATCCAAGCACCCAGCCAGATGACCAGAGGCAGTCCCAACACTGGCCTTCTTCAGAAATCATTACCTCCTTTTCTTTCACATCTGCTGTGCCAGAGCTAACTGGGAAGCCCCCTGGCAGGTCCCAATATCTGTCTTACAATGTTCAAGCTCCCTCCCCAGCAATCATTTATTAGAAAGGGGTTTTATGATACAAATTTGATAATCTCCCATGCACACTGGCACTGTTCTAATTGAAGTTGTAAGCCCATAAAATTCAAGCCCTTTGTCTTCCTGAAGGCCACAAGGTTTAAAAAGATACTATTGTCCTGCCTAACACCCACTACATTGTCACCAGGGACTGATTAAACAGAGTCCTGAATCCAAACAGTGCGGATTTTGTCTAGGTCCTTTTCAGGCCTGACAATGCCCTTTTCAGTTCCCAAGACAAAAAGAGGTTTAAGGATCGAGATTCTTCTAAGATAACCGCATCCATATGGAAGGCAAGGTGGCCGGCAGCTGAGACCCAAACACCCCACTCCCTTCCCCCTCTCCCCTTCTCTCTTTCTCTCTCCACCCCCCAAAATCCCAGGTGATAACACTGCCTCAGCCACCCTTCATCCTCCCCTTCTTCCTCCTTGGACAAGAAAGCTAGAGCCCCTAACAGGCCCATGACTCCTCCTTAGAGACCTCCATAAGGGCCCTTGGCTCCCTTCCCCGCACCTGATGCCCCAACTGCTCTCCTCTGGCGCATCTCCCAGCAGCGGGTGCCTGGGAGCGAGGTCGTCGCTTCTGTGAGAAAGTGACTGCTTGCACAAGAGGCCCTAGCGGGGCAGTTACAAATCCAAGGGGTGCTAGTGTGCACTGGCCGGGGTGGACCTGCCCCAATCTCGGATTCCCAAGGCTCCCCCAGGCGGCCCTCCCTCAGCTGGGAGTCGCGTCCTCCCGGATCTGCCCAGAGGAAAAGCCCTGTGCCGGTCGTTCCCCCGACCCTTTGATGTCTTCACGTCCTCCTCCCCACCCTGGCCAGGTACTGCGCCATGAGGAGACAGGAAATCACAGCTAACTTAGGCACTTGCAGGCTTAAATAGGGGTTACAAATTCCCCGGTGCTCTTCAGGTCCCCAGGCACTTTTCAAAGGGTCCCCGAGCACTTGGCTCCTGCACTCTGGAAACAGCTTGCGGCCCGGCCTGGGCTGCTCCGGTGCAGCGCGCCCCGCACCTGGCCTCGCCGGCTCATCTCCGGAGAAACTCCTTCTGCCCTGTCGTGGTCCACAGGGTTGACTTTTCGGTATTCGAAACGCCAGCAGCTCTGGGAGCCCAGCGGAGAGTCGGAGTCACTCTGGGGCCAGTGACGCCTCCCGCTGACAAGAATCCCAAAGTTGCCTCAGCTTCCTCCTCTCCTTTTCTTCCCGCGCCCAACCCTGACATCACCACCCCTCCATCCCCCAGGTATCTTCCTAAAGCCGTGTCGGGACTGCAACCCGCCCTTCGATCCAGCTGGGGCCGGGCCCCACTTAGCCAGTCAAGGGGCGAGCCAGCGATGCGAACACCGGTCTGGGGGGCACGACTCCCGCCTACGTTCCCCGCAGGCGCGCAGGGGACCCAACCCCACACATTTTATTCTCGAACTACGAGGAAAAATACTCTATTTTTTAAAAAAATAACTTGCTTCCTATACAAATCGCTATTTAAAAATATACAAATAAGGCCCAAGCATAAAATCTAACTCTGGGGCTGGCGGTGGAGGGAAGGTGAGGGAGGGGGCTCTGGCACACGTCCCTCGTGTGTGCTTGCGCGACGGCTGATGAGGGCGCGCCAGGGACCCTGGCGCCCAAGGAGATGGGGCTGCAGGGAGGCGGACGGAGAGCGTTCCAGGCGTTCGGCTCCGGCCCTGCTCCAATCGCAGAGCGCGCTCCAAAGTCGAGGGTAGCCCCAGGTGCCGCCCTGCGGCCTCACCAGTTCCAGGAGACCAGGGCGGGGGATGCTAAGTGCTGGTAGGCGGGGAAGAGGCCAAGCGCCGAGCCGGGACCGAAGGCAGGGTAGCCCGGCAGAGGGCAGGCGGCGGCTGGAGGGGCGCCGCACTTCTCCTGGGCCGCGGCGGTTCCCACCTCGCCACCGCCGCCGCCGCCGCACGGCTGCCCGTCGCGAACAAGCACCGGCACCACCACGCGACGCAGCAGGCCGGGCGCGGCGTGCAGCTCGGCGGATGCTGCCAGGTCAGGCGACTCCGCCGCCCCTGGAGCGCGAGCGCGCTTCAGCTTGTAGCGATGATTCTGGAACCAGATCTTGACCTGCGTGGGCGTGAGGCGAAGCAGGCTCGCCAGCTGCTCGCGCTCGGGCGCAGACAGGTACCGCTGCTGCCGGAAGCGCCGCTCCAACTCCAGCGTCTGCGCCTTGGAGAATAGCACCCGCCGCTTCTTCCTTTTCTCGGCGTCCGAGCCCGGAGACGCGGGCCTAGCG